>NC_000001.11:173790647-174093677 GCF_000001405.40 Homo sapiens | reverse complement strand
TGAGACAGGGTCTCCTTTTGGTCACCCAGGCTGGAGTGCAGTGGCACCATCACGGCTCACTGCAGCCTCGAACCCCCCCCAGGCTCAAGCAATCCTCCCACCTCAGCCTCCTGAGTATCTGGGACCACAGACTTGCACCACCATGCCCAGCTAGTTTTTGTTTGTTTGTTTGTTTGTTTGTTTGTTTTTTGTAGAGACAAGAGTTTCGCCATGTTGCCTAGGCTGGTCTCAAACTCCTGGGCTCAAGTGAGCCAGCTGCCTGGGCCTCCCAAAGTGCTGGGATTACAAGCATGAGCCATCATGCCCAACCATATTTTTTCTATATAGGAAATGGATTAGACTGTAGTAGATAAGTGGGTGGATTCATAAGATGTTTGCAAAAAAAGATAGGAAATCAAATCAACAGGATATGGTGAGTGACTGGAAACAGCAGGTAAGGGAGAGGAGAAGTTAAGAGCAACTTCTAAGTTTCTAGCAGGGGCTGTGAGGTGGATAATGGTGCTGTTACTGAGAAGGGATATCTTGCAGGAGGACCAGGTTTAAGGGAAGGGCTAAGTTTGGAATATTTTGAGTTTGAGGAAGCTAGGAATCATTCAAGTAGACAACTAGTTATATGAATCTGAAGCTAAGGGACAATATCTTTCTCAGTATACAGGTCTTGGAGTTAAAAACAATTGTCAAAAAGATTAGCCTAAGAATGTTCATAGAAGCTTTATTCACAAAAACCAAAAACTGGAAACAATCCAAATGTTCAATGGGAGAATGAATATACATACTGTGGTACATTTGTATTATGGAATACTACTCTGTAATAAAATAATAAACTATTGATATATATATATAATACAATAGGTGACTTCAAAACAACATCATATTAAGGAAAAAAAGCCAGAAAACACTACATATTTTATTATTCTATTTGTGTGAAGATTAAGACTAGTAAAACTAGTCTATAGTGATAAAAATCAAAATAGTTGTTGCCTGGAGTTTTTGGGCAGTAGGAGGGGGTGTTGGTGGCAAGGAGGAGGATGAGGGGATTAACTGGAAAAGGGCTGGAGGGAACTTGCTGTGTTGACAGAAATGTTCTGGGTTTGTCTTGACTGGGGTGTTTTTTACACAGAAGGGTATATTTGTCTTAACTCATCAGATTATATACAAAAGATCTGTGCATGTTACTGTATGCAAATTATATCTCAGTAAAATTAATTAGTGAAAAATAAATAAAAAGCACCCAGGAGAGAATTTCCACAGGTTCCTACCATCATCATATCTACCCATCCTATATCTGTGCCCAGGTACTGCCTTTCCTCCTGTTTATAAAAATGAACTGTCTTTTCTCCTAAAGCCACTCTTCCATTGCAACACTATATCCCATTCCTTCTCATCTCACCTCATTGATGACATTACTCTGGTAATTCTCCCTTCACCCTCCTGCATCAGTTTTTCTGTCTCTACTGGATCATTCACATGAGCACAGAAACATGCTGAAAAATCCCCCATTCTAAAAAGAGAGAGATGTCCTCCTTTGACCTGACATCCTCCTGCAGCTTACATTCCATTTCTCTACTTTTGATACAACAAAATTCTTCATAAGTGTTGCCTGTATTTTCTGTCTACAAGTTCCTTCCGTGTCTTCTCTTAAACCTACTCCAGTTAGGGTTTTGCCCTCGTCACAACTCAAACTGCCTGCCAAGGTCACCAATAACCTTTTTGTGGCCAAATCAAATGGTTAACTCTCAGACCATTGATCTTTCTTTTCTCCGCTAAATACATTCTACACTTGCTTCAGGGTTTGTTTTCCTCTTACCTCACTGGCCATTCTTCCTTTGCTGATCCATTTCCCTCAACCCGATCCCTAAATATTGGGTTTGGCCCTTGCAACTCTTTTCTTTCCTATCTATGCTCACTGTCTTGATGGTCACATCCAATCTTGTGGCTTAAATACAATCTATATTCTGACAATATCCAATTAAAAAAAAAACAATTCTCTCCTCAAGACCTGCATCAACCCCAAACTCACAATAATAATTAATTCCCAGTATAGCTCAGAGGGAAAATTACAAGCTCTACTGAGTGAGAGAAAATACTATATACACAGAAAATGCAGCAGTTGAAGGATAACTTGTATTGTCAGAAATTTGGGGAGCATATTGACAGTATATTCTAAAGGTATTAGTCCACAGAGAAAAAAATATAAGGTTGGATCTGGCTAAATTTATTAATATAAATATGGAGATTTAATATGTTTAACTGCCTGGGTGTAACTAACAATTTGCTTGGTTGGTTAGCAGGACTGACTTCAATAGTGGCCTATAGTGAATGAAATTGAGATGCCATCCCAGCACTTTGGGAGGCCGAGGCGGGTGGATCATGAGATGAGGAGTTCAAGACCAGCCTGGCCAAGATGCTGAAACCCCGTCTCCACCAAAAATACAAAAATTAGCTGGATGTGGTGGTGCACGTCAGGCACACCACCGAGTAGCCTAATCCCAGCTACTCAGGAGGCTGAGGCAGAAGAATCGCTTGAACCCGGGCGGTGGAGCTTGCAGTGAGCCGAGATCGCGCCACTGCACTCCAGCATGGGTGACAGAGTGAGACTCCGTCTCAAAAAAAAAAAAAGAAAGAAATTGAGATGCCAGTACTTCTTTGGTATGCTCTAGGAATTAAACCTCAGGCTTAGGGAAATGAGTATGTTAGAGCAGATATGATCATCCACATACCAACCATACCTCCTGGAGGCCTAGAGGGTATTCTCTTCACCAAGCCATTAATAAATTAATAAATATGAAAAATTAATCATTTAATAAATGCCTGGGTTGGGAGCTTCAGTATCCTTTTAAAGCTCTGTGTTGGCTGTATTCCGTAGGTCAGTGATGACGGTCGGAAATGTTGCCATGAAATTAGGAATCCCTGATTGCAATGGAATAATAGAATCCTGGTGTGTAGAAGGCCAGGTGGCAGCATTTAATCATCAGAGACAGGATAGATGCAATTACCACATTAAGCTGCAGAGAGGAAATGTTAATCAAGTACTTTAACCCAAGAGATTTGTGGCAATAATTAATTACAAGGTTCCTGGGAATGAAACAGGTGGGCAGCCCATCAAAGTTTTGCTTTAGAAAAATTCTAGGTCTTCCCTTCTTGCCTCCCAGTTACCTTGGCAGCTGCTTTTGTTTGGGGGCCATCCCACACCTAATGCAGGAAGATGGTGCTTGCAAAGAAGATTAAAAAGTCAGTGGAATGGATCAACTCTAGGCTTCTACTTGTTATAAAAAGTGGAAAGTACATACTGGCGTACAAGCAGACTCCAAAGATGATCAGGCAAGGCAAAGCAAAATTGGCTATCCACACTGAAAACTGTCCAGCTTTGAGGAAATCCAAAATAGAGTACTATACCATGTTGACCAAAACTGGTGTCCATCACTACAGTGACAATAATTTTGAATTGGGCATAGCATGTGGTAAATACTGCAGAGTATGCATGTTGTCTATCATTGATCCAGACGATTCTGATATCGTTAGAAGCGTGCCAGAACAGACAGGCCACCACCTTGACCATTCAGGCTTCTCAGCCAGTCCAGCCTGTGGGCCTTGGAGAGCCCAAACTGATCAGGGGCTGAAAGGTTCTCCAACACAGCACAGCTGCTCTACCAAAAAGCAGCCAGACTGCTTCTTTAAGTGGGTCTGTGATCCCGTTCCTCCTAACTGGGTGAGACCTCCCAACCAGGGACTCCAGCCATCTCCTACAGGTGCATTCAGGCTGACAATAGATTAGTACCCTCCCTGCGATGCAGCTTCCAGAGGAAGGGGCAGGCTGCCATTTTTGATGTTTCACAGCCTTCATCAGTGATACCTTCAGGTACAGGAAAAACAAAGGTGACTAGGGTCTGGAGCAGACCCCCAGAAAACCGCAGCAGCCCTGTGGAAGAGTGGCCAGATGGTTAAAAGAAAAACAAACAAATAAACAGAAAACAACAACAACAAAGAAAACAACACAAAAATCCCACCAAAGGTCAGCAACCTTGAAGATTGAAGGTGGATAAGCCCACAAAGAAAAGAAAGAATCAGTGCAAAAACAATAAAAACTCAAAAAGAAAGGAAGATGACACAAAAACAAATGGAAAAACATTTCATGCTCATGGATAGTACGAATCAATATCATGAAAATGGCCATACCACCCAAAGCAATTTATAGCTTCAATGTTATTCCCAATAAACTATCATTGACATTCTTCACAGAATTTAAAAAGAACTATTTTAAAATTAATATGGAACCAAAAAAGAGCCCAAATAGCCAAGACAATCCTAAGCAAAAAGAACAAAGCTGGAGGCATCATGCTACCTGACTTCAAACTATACTACAAGCCTACAGTAACAAAAAGAACACGGTGCTGGTACAAGAACAGACACATAAGCCAATGGAACAGAATAGACAACCCAGAAATAAAACCACACACCTACAACCATCTGATCTTTGACAAGCCTGACAGAAACAAGCAATGGGAAAAGGATTCCCTATTTAATAAATGGTGGTGCTGGGAGAACTGGCTAGTCATATGCAGAAAATTGAAACTGGACCCTTTCCTTATATCATATAAAAAAATCAACTTGAGGTGGATTAAAGACTTCAATGTAAAACCCAAAATCATAAATACCCAAGAAGAAAATCTAGGCAATACCATTAAGGCACAGGCACAGGCAAAGATTTTATGATGAAGATGCCAAAAGCAATTGCAACAAAATCAAAAATTGACAAATAGGATCTAATTAAACTAAAGCACTTCTGCACAGCAAAAGAAAAGATCAGAATGAACAGACAACCTACAGAATGGGAGAAAATTTTTATAATCTATCCATCTGACAAAGGTCTAATATCCAGCATTTACAAGGAATGTAAACAAATTTACAAGAAAAGAAAACAACCCCATTAAAAAGTGGGAAAAGGACAAGAACAGACACTTCTCAAAAGAATACATACATGTGGCCAAAAAACATATAAAAAAGGGTTCAACATTACTGATCATTAGAGAAATGCAAAACAAAACCACAATGAGATACCATCTCACACCAGTCAGAATGGCTATTGTTAAAGTAAAAAAAAAAAACTGATGTTGGCAAGGTTATGGAGAAAAAGGAACACTTTTACACTGTTGGTGGGAGTGTAAATTAGTTCAACCATTGTGACAGACGGTGTGGCAATTCCTCAAAGACCTAGAAGCAGCAGAAATACCGTTTGACCCAGCAATCCAATTACTGGGTATATACCCAAAGGAATATAAGTCATTCTTTTTTTTTTTTTTTTTTTGAGATGGAGTCTCACTCTGTCACCCAGGCTGGAGTGCAGTGGTGTGAACTGGGCTTACTGCAACCTCCGCCTCCCAGGTTAAGCAATTCTTGTACCTCAGCCTCCCAAGTAGCTGGGACTACAGGTGCATGCCACCATGCCTGGCTAATTTTTGTATTTTTAGTAGAGACAGGGTTTCACTATGTCAGCCCGGCTGGTCTCAAACTCCTGACCTCAGGTGATCCACCTGCCTTGGCCTCCCAAAGTGCTGGGATTACAGGCATGAGCCACTGTGCCCAGCCCTCATTCTATTATAGATACATGTATGTGTATGTTCATTGCACCACTATTTACAATAGCAGAGACATAGAGATGCCCAGCAATGATAGACTGGATAAAGAAAATGTGGTACATATACACCATGGAATACTATGCAGTCATAAAAAAGGAATGAGATCATGTCCTTTGCAGGGACATGGATGGAGCTGGAGGCCATTATCCTCAACAAACTAATGCAGGAACAGAAAACCAAATACTGCATTTTCTCACTTATAAGTGGGAGCTGAATGATGAGAACACATGGACACATGGCGGGGAACAACACACACTGAGGCCTGTTGAGGGTGGGAGGAGAAGGGAGGAAGGAGAGCATCAGAAAGAATAGCTGATGGATGCTGGGCTTAATACCTAGGTGATGGTATGATCTGTGCAGCAAATCATCATGGCACATTTTTACCTATGTAACAAACCTGTACATCTTGCACATGTACCCCTGAACTTAAAAAAAAAGACATAGAAAAGAAACACAGAAATGCAAAACATAAAAAAAAAAAATTACATGAAATGTAGACCAGGCATGGTGGCTCACTCCTGTAATCCCAACACTGTGGGAGGCCAGGGCAGGAGAACTGCTTGAGTCCAACAGTTTAAGACTGCAATGGCAACGATAACACCACTACACTCCAGTCTGGGTGAAAGTGAAAGACTATCTCTAATAAAAATAATAATGATAATTACATTAAATATAAATGGTCTAAACATACTCCATTAAAAGGCAGAGTAGGCCGGGTGTGGTGGCTCAGGCTTCTAATCCCAGCACTTTGGGAGGCCAAGGTGGGCGGATCACGAGGTCAGGAGATTGAGACCATCCTGGCTAACAGTGAAACCTCATCTCTACTAAAAATACAAAAAATTAGCTGGGCGTGGTGGTGGGTGCCTGTGGTCCCAGCTACCCAGGAGGCTGAGGCAGGAGAATGGCGTGAACCCGGGAGGTGGAGCTTGCAGTGAGCCGAGATTGTGCCACTGCACTCCAGCCTGGGTGACAGAGCGAGACTCCATCTCAAAAAAAAAAAAAAAAAAAAAAGGCAAAGAGTAAGATTTCAATTATATCCTACCTGCAAGAAGCCCACATTAAATATAAAAATACAAATACATTAAAAGTAAAAGAATAGAATAATATATAATATGCTTACACTAATCAAAAGAAAACTGGAGTAGTTATAGGCAAATATTTCAGTACTTAGAAAGTACTACCAGAGATAAAGAAGATGATTTTTAATGATACAGTAGTCAATTCATGAAGAGGAAATAATAACCCTAAATTATGGACCTAATAACACATTTTCACAATACAAGGAGCAAAACTGATAGAACTGAGAATAAATAGATGTAATCCTCAATTATAGTCAGAGATTTTGATATCCATCTCTCCATATGTGATAGAACAAGTGAACAGAAAATTAGCAAAGACACAGAGTTGAACAACACTATCGAATAATTTGACAAAATTGAAATTTATAAAACACTCCATTCAATGACAACAGAATACATATTTTTTAAGTGCACATGGAACATTTACTAAGACAGATGATATTGTGAGCCCCCCCAAAATCTCAATAAATTTAAAGGATTCAAATCATATAAAGTATGTTTTCTGACCAAAGTGGAATCAAATTAAAAATCAAAAATAGAAATATCTGAAAAAAACCTTCAAAATAGTTGTAAATGAAATAACACACTTCTAAACAACCCATAGGGTCAAAGAAGAAATCAGAAAGGGAAATCAGAAAACAATTTCAGTTGAGTCAAAACAAAATGACAACATATTGATATTTGTGAAATGTAGCTAAAGCAGTACTCAGAGGGAAATTTATTGCACTAAATGCCTATATTAGAAAAAAAGAACTGAATCAGTGTCATCAGCTTCCTCCTTAATAAACTAGAAATGAAAAGAGTAAATGAAACCCAAAGTAAGCAAAAATAAATAAGAAGAATAAAGAGCATAAACAGAAGCAGAAAAGTAATGGGGGAAATTAATGAGACCAAAAGCTGTTACTTTGTGATCAACTAAATTGATAATCTTCTAGCCAGGCTGATCAGTAAAAGGAAGAAAGGAACTGCAGTGTGTATTCTGGATGTAAAAGGAGGAGGAAGAGAAGGAAAAAGAAAAGGAAAAAAGGAAGGAAGGAAGGAATTAAAAGAAAAATAGAGAGGATACAAATTGCCTATGTCAGGAATAAGGACGTGATATCAATACAGAATCCACAGGTATTAAAAGCAAAACAAAGGAAATTAGGAGCAATGTAATGCCAATAAATTCAACAATTTAGATGAAATGGACAAATTCATTGAGAGATACAAGCTACCTAAGCATACACAAAAGAAAGAGAATCCCAAATAGCACCATTTCTATTAAAGAACTTGCACCTGTAGTTAAAATCTTCCTATTAAAATAAAACTACTCCGGGCTCATATAAATTATTTGGTGAGACCTAAAAACAGAAATACCATTTGATTTAGCAATTCCATTACCTGGTATACGCCCAGAGGAATATGAATTGTTCTGTTATAAAGATACATGCATGCATATGTTTATTGCAGCACTATTCACAATAGTAAAGACATGGAATCAACCTAAATGCCCAGGAATGGTAGACTGGATAAAGAAAATGTGGTAAATATACACCATGGAATACTATGCAGCCATAACAAAGAATGAGATCATGTCCTTCGGAGGAACATGGATGGAGCTGGAGGCCATTATCCTTAGCAAACTAGCAAAGGAACAGAAAACCAAATACTGCATGTTCTCACTTATAAGTGGGAGCTAAATGATAACACATGGACACATACAGGGGAACAAGAGGCACTGGGGTCTATCAGAGGGTGAAGGTTGGAAGGAGGGAGAGGATCAGGAATAATAACTAATGGATACTAGGCTTAATACCTGGGTAATGAAGTAATCTGTATAACAAACCCCCATGACATAAGTTTACCTATATAACAAACCTGCATATATAACCCTGAACTTAAAATAAAAGTTAAAACATAAAAATTAAACAAATTTTAACAATTAAGTTATTTGGTGAATTCTACCATTTAGGAAATAAGACCAATGCTATGCAAATTCTTCCAAAAATTTGAGAAGAATAAAATACCAACTCATCCTATGAGACTAGAGGCTAGCATTACTCTCACACCAAAATACAACAATTACAAGACTCAAACAAACATACAAACAAACAAAAACTAAGGACCAACATACCTCATGAACATAAATGCAAAAAGAGCCTTAACAAAATTTTACTGAGTTGAATCAATGTCCAAAAATGGTAATACATTATGCCTAACTGGAATTTCCCCTCAGAAATGCAAGTTTGGTTTAACATTTGAAAATCAATGGAATTTACCATAGAAGAAAACCAAAACCAAACCAAACAAAAAACGAACCTACTATATGTTCATCTCAGTAGATGCAGAAAAAAGATTTCACAAAAATCCAATATCTGTTCCTGATTTTTTTTTTTAAATCTGCCAGGGCCAGGTGTGGTGGCTTACACCTGTAATCCCAGCACTTTGGGAGGCACAGGCGGGTGGATCACCTGAGGTCAGGAGTTTGAAACCAGCCTGGCCAACATCGTGAAGCCCCATCTCTACTAAAAATTCAAAATTAGCCACGAATGGTGGCACATGCCTGTAATCCCAGCTACTTGGGAGGCTGAGGCAGGAGAATCACTTGAACCTGGGAGAGGGAGGTTGCAGGGAGCCAAGATTGCACCATTGCACTCCAGCCTGGGCAACAAGAGCAAAACTCCATCTTAAAAAATAAATAAGTAAATAAAAATAAATAAAAAATCTGCCAGGTGTGGTGGCTCATGCCTATAATCCCAAAATTTGGGAGGTCAAGGTGAGAGGATCACTTGAGCCCGGGAGTTCGAGAGCATCCTAGGCAACATGGCAAAACTCCATCTCTACAAAAAATTCCAAAATTAGCAGGGCGTCGTGGCATGCATCTGTAGTCCCAGCTACTCAGAAGACTGAGGTGAGAGGATTGTTTGAGCCAGGGAAGTTGAGGCTGAAGTGAGCCATGATTGCATCACTGTACTCCAGCCTGGGTAACAGAGCAAGACTGCCTCAAATAAGTAAACAAACAAACAACCAAATAAATAAATAGAATGTTATCTAACTAAAAGGAATAACATTTCCTCAACTTTATAAAAGTTACCCCTCAAAATCTGAAGCTAATTTGATACTTAATGGTGAAAGACTGAATGTTGCTCCCTAACATAAGGAGTAAGGGAAGCATGTAAGTTCTCACCACTTGTATTCAACATTGTACTAAAGAAAGCCAGTATATTAAGGCAAGAAAAATAAATAAAATATATCCAGATTGGAAAAGGAGACATTAAATTGCCTTTACTTGCAGATGACATAATTTTAAGTAGAAAATTCTACAGAATGTACAAAAAAGCTGCTGGAACTAATAAATGAGTTCAGCACAGTTGAATGTTACAAGATCAATTTCAAAAATTAATTGTATTTCTAAATACTAGGAAAAAAAAGTCAGAATTGAAAATTGTAAGGCCCAACATTCACAATAGCACTAAAAGACATGAAAGACTGGCTGGGCGCGGTGGCTCACACCTGTAATCCCCGCACTTTGGGAGGCCAAGGCGGGTGGATCACCTGAGGTCAAGAGTTTGAGACCAGCCTGACCATCATGGTGAAACCCCATCTCTACTAAAAATACAAAAATTAGCCAGGCATGGTGGCATGCGCCTGTATTCCCAACTACTCGGGAGGCTGAGACAGAATTGCTTGAGCCCGGGAGGTGGAGGTTGCAGTGAGCCCAGATCATGCCACTGCACTCCAGTAGGTGGGACTACAGACGCATGCCACCATGCCCTGCTAATTTTGCAATTTTTTGTAGAGATGGAGTTTCGCCATGTTGCCTAGGATGGTCTCGAACTCCTGGGCTGAAGTGATCCTCCCACCTTCACCTCCCAAATGCTGGGATTATAGGCGTGAGGCACCACACCTGGCAGCTTTTTTATTTATTTTTATTTATTTATTTTTTGAGATGGAGTTTTGCTCCAGATTCATTCTTCCGTATGTGGCTTGCCAATTATCCCAGCATCATTTGTTGAATAGGGTGTCCTTTCCCCACTTATGTTTTTGTTTGCTTTGTTGAAGATCAGTTGGCTATAAGTAGTTGGCTTTATTTCTGGGTTCTCTATTTTGTTCCATTGGTCTATGTGCCTATTTTTATGCCAGTACTATGATGTTTTGGTGACTATCCCCTTGTAGTATAGTTTGAAATCAGGTAATGTGATGCCTCTGGATTTGTTCTTTTTTTTTTTTTTTTGAGATGGAGTTTTGCTCTTGTTGCCCAGGCTGGAGGTGCAGTGATGCGATTACTGCAACCTCCACCTCCTGGTTCCAGCAATTCTCCTGCCTCAGCCTCCCTAGTAGCTGGGATTAGAGCCGCGTGCCACCACACCCAGCTAATTTTTTGTATTTTTAGTAGAGATGGAGTTTCACTATGTTGGCCAGAATGGTCTCGAACTCCTGCCCTCAGGTGATCCACCCACCTTGGCCTCCCAAAGTGCTGGGATTACAGGTGTGAGCCACCACGCCCAGCCAGATTAGTTCTTTTTGCTTAGTATTGTTTTGGCTATGCGGGCTCTTTTTTTTGTTCCATATGAATTTTAGGATTGCTTTTTCTAGTTCTGTGAAGAATGACAGTGGTATTTTGATGGGAATTGCATTGAATTTACAGATGAATAGAATGTATATTCTGCAGTTGTTGGGTAGAATGTTCTGTAAATATCTGTTAAGTTCATTTGTTCTAGGGTATAGTATAAGTCCATTGTTCCTTTTTAGGCTTTCTGTCTTGATGATCTGTCTAGTGCTGTCAGTGGAGTATTGAGGTCCCCCACTATTATTGTGTTGCCGTCTATCTCATTTCTTAGGTCTAGTAGTAATTGTTTTGTGAATTTGGGAGCTCTAGAATTAGGTGCATATATGTTTAAGATTGTGATATTTTCCTGTTGGACTACTCCTTTAATCATTACATAATGTCCCTCTTTGTCTTTTTTACCTGTTGTTACTTTAAGGTCTTTTTTTTTTTTTGTCTGACATAAAAATAGATATTCCTGCATGCTTTTGATGTTCATTTGCATGGAATATCTTTTTCCACCCCTTTACCTTAAGTTTATGTGAGTCCTTATGTGTTAGCTGAGTTTCTTGAAGACAGCAGACACTTGATTGGTGAATTCTTATCCATTCTGCCATTCTATGTCTTTTAAGTGGATCATTTAGGCCATTTACATTCAACGTCAATATTGAGATGTGAGATACTATTCTGTTCATCCTGCTAGTTGTTGCCTGAATACCTTATGTTTGTTGTTGTTGTTGTTATTGTTTTAGAAGCCCTGTGGGATTTATCCTTTAAAGTGGTTCTATTTTGGTGTATTTCGAGGTTTTGATTCAAGATTTAGAACTCCTTTTAGCATTTCTTGTAGCGCTGGCATGGTAGCGGCGAATTCTCTCAGCATTTGTTTGTCTGAAAAAGACTTTATCTTTTCTTCACTTAATGAAGTTTAGGTTTGCTGGATACAAGATTCTTGGCTAATAATTGTTTTGTTTAAGGATGCTAAAGATAGGACCCCAATCCCTTCTAGCTTGTAGGGTTTCTGCTGAGAAATCTACTGTTATTCTGATAGGTTTTCCTTTATAGGTTACCAGATGCTTTTGCCCTCACCATCCTTAAGATTCTTTCTTTTGCCTCGACTTTAGATAACCTGATGACTGTGTATCTAGGTGATTATCTTTTTGTGATGAATGTACTGGGTGTTCTTTGAGCTTCTTGTATTTGGATGTCTAGATCTCTAGGAAGGCCAGAGAAGTTTTCCTCGATTATTCCCTCAAATAAGTTTTCCAGACTTTCAGATTTCTCTTCTTCCTCAGGAACACCTGATGGCAGTGACAGGTCTCATCCAGCTCCCATGCAGCCAGCAAAGCCAGTCTCACTCCCACCATGCCCCACCAACAGCATGGAGTTTATATCCAGGTGAGCAGGACTGAGATCTTGCCCCAGGCTACAAGCTTCCCTGCTGAGAAAGCAAGCAGGGCTTTCAGGCCCTGCCCCTCCCTGCCTGCTGTGTCTTCCATGCTCTTATCTGCACTCCTTGTTCACCCCCTTCTCCATTTTGCCCAGGAAAATTCACACTCCATCAAAATTATTACAAAGTTCAGCTTGAAGTTTCTTTCCCCCTGTGGTCCTTTCCCAGTTCCACTGGCAGCCCCCCAACAAAGACCCCTGTGAGAAAAAGTCAGAAATGGCTTTCCTGGCCTTCCTGGGGACCAGGAGTGCCTATAGGGCTTTTCCCACTGCTTCTTCTACCTTCATATTTCACTCAACTCTCTAAATTTGTTTCAGCTCTAGGTTAGGTCAAATCCTTCTCCCGTGATCTGGATTTTCAGGTTCCCCACTGAGGATGTGTGTTCAGAGGCAGACTTTCCCCTCTCACATATTGGCCACTCACAGTTTTTTTACCGTCTCATGGAGTTTAGAGCAGCAAGTTGCTTCTTTCAAAGGGTCTGTGAATTTTTTTGGTTTTTGTTTTTTGTTTGTTTTTGTTTTTTCTTTTTCTTTTTCTTAAACTGTACAGAGAAGTACCCTTACATCTGTTGGTGGACAGGTTGTTTACAATCTTGGCTATTGTGAATACTGCTGCAGTAGACATGAGAGTGCAGATATCTCTTTGATATTGATTTCCTTTCTTTTGGATGTATACCCAGCAGTGGGATTGCTAGATCATATGGAAGATCTATTTTTAGTTTTTGAGGAATCTCCATACTGTTTTCCTTTACGTAGTGTAATAGTGTACAGCCACTGTAATAGTAGCCATATTAATTTACATTTCCACCAACAGTATGTGAACATTCCCCTTTCTCCACATTCTTGCCAACAAATGGTCTTTTTGACAATACCTATTTTAACTGGAGTGAGATGATATTTCATTGTGGTTTTGATTTGCATTTCTCTGATGACTAGTGATGTTGAGCATTTTTCCATTTACCTGTTGGCTATTTGTATGTCTTCTTTTGTGAAATGTCTATTCAGCTTATTTGCCCATTTTCAAATCAGATATTTGGTTTCATTGTTGTTGTTTTTGCTATTGAGTTGTTTGAGTTCCTTACATATTCTGGTTATTAATGTGTCATCAGATAGATAGTTTGCAAATTTTCTCCCATTCTGTAGGTTGTCTCTTCACTCTGTTATTTCCTTTGCTGTTTAGAAGGGTTTTTTGTTTGTTTGTTTTTTAGCTTGATGTAATCTCGTTTGTGTATTTTTGCTTTGGTTGCCTGTGTTTTTGAAATCTTACTCAAAAAATCTTTGCCCAGACCAATGACCTGGAGTATTTCCCCAATGTTTTCTTCTAGTAGTTTCATAGTTTCAGGTCTTACATTGAAGTCTTTGATTCATTTTGATTAGATTTTTGTATATGGTCAAAAGAGATAGGGGTCTAGTTTCACTATTCTGCATATGGTTATCTAGTTTTCCCAGTACTATTTATTGAAGAGACTGTCTTTTCCCTAATGTATGTTTCTGGTGCCTTTGTCGAAAATGAATTGGCTATAAATGTATGGATTTATTTCTGAGTTCTCTATTCTGTTCCATTGGTCTATGTGTCTGTTTTTATGCCACTACCATGCTGTTTTGCTTACTATAGCTTTGTAGCAGATTTTAAAGTCAGATGATGCGATGCCCCCAGTGAGGACTAATATCACTTTGGAGAAAAAATATTTATTTGTAATTCAGTAATTTTTTTCACTTTTAAAATTTTCCTTTTAAGTAAATTAAATAAATTTTAACAAACACATATAATATAATCACATATAAAAATAAAGAGTTTTTCTTTTTTTTTTTTTTTTTTTTTTTTGAGACTGAGTCTTGCTCTGTCACCAGGCTGGAATGCAGTGGCACAATATTGGCTCACTGCAAGCTCCGCCTCACAGGTTCAAGTGATTCTTCTGCCTCAGCCTCCTGAGTAGCTGAGACTACAGGCATGCCACCACTCCCAGCTAATTTTTGTATTTTTAGTAGGGACGGTGTTTCACCCTGTTGGCCAGGATGGTCTCGATCTCTTGACCTCGTGATCCGCCTGCCTTGGCCTCCCAAAGTGCTGGGATTGCCAGCGTGAGCCACTACTCTCAGCCTTCTGTTTTTTACATGTATATATTCAGGGAAAGATGTTTACCTAATGTCAATGATGATTATTTCTGAACGGTGAAATTTGAAGGTAACTATTAGTTTCTCCTTTATAGCTTCCTGCATTGACTTCCTATTAAACATGCCACTTTGAAGCAAGTGTTCATTTCATTGCTTATACCAAAATGTCACAATTTTTTTTAAAAAAAGGCATAAGCTCAAAAGCACTAAAAGCCCAGGAGAGGAGACTATAGTGGCTAAGATGTGTCAGTAAAATTTTAGAAGCTGAAAAGTGGATCGACTAGAGAGAACTGACTTCAGAGAACTGAAAAAGCCAAAATTTAAGCCTACAGTTGTGTGTGTGTGTGTGTGTGTGTGTGTGTGTACGTTGGAGGTGGGAGTGTGAATCCAGAAAGTAGTAAGCTTAATTTTGTTGCAGCACCCTGGAATGGTTCTTAAATTGAAGGCACAGGTATCTCCAGAGGAGGGGTAAGTATGGTATTGAAAATAGAAGAACTGGTTGAACTATAAGGAGGGAAGGTCATTTGTAGATGCCTTCTTTCAACCCACATAGGCTGTCAATCAGTAGTCTCAAAGTGATGTCTCTGTACCAGCAGCAATAGAAAATTACAAATACAAATTCTCATGCTTCACCCCTGACCTCCTGAATGAGAAACTCTAGAGATGGTGTCACCGGTAGAGAGTCATGACTGCAAGTTGTCCAGGTTCTTGGTGTTTTGAACAAAGAATTGGAAGAAACACCCAGCAAGGCAAAGAAAGAACGAAGCAACAAAAGAACTAAAGCAAGGATTTATTGAAAAAGAAAGTACACTCCACGGTGTGGGAGCAGACCCAAGCAGTGGCTCAAGGGCCCAGATACAGAATCTTCCTGGGCCCCCTAGAAGCTTCCCATTGGCCACTTCATGCTAACCTCATGTAAATGAAGTGGTATCCCCCGCTCAGTCTGACTGGTTGCAGAAAGCAACCATTCAGACGCTGGAGTGAAGTTACAAAGTTGCAAACAAAGACTCCACCCGCACTCAGCATGATTTGTTGTAGACAGCAAATTTCCCATCTGCCACGCAGAAAAGATCCAAGGGAGTAGCCTCTGCTCTTTTTGTTACTTAGGTGTGCAAAGTTAGGGTTTTCCTTTCAATTTAGTTCTAGGAAGTCAGAGTGAAACAGCCTTACGTTCCCTGCCTCCAGACCCTATTCTCCTGCCTCAATGGGATCCAGCCACCTGTGTTTTACCAAGCCCTCCATGGGACTCTAGTACAGTTAGAATTTGAGAATCACACCATTAGATTGGAGGTTTATTATCTGGAAAGTCTGAAGCAGAGAAAAGGTAGACTCAGAGACACCAGGAATATCTGAAGGTATGAGTAATTTACTGAAATTAGTAAATGTGCAGCAAATGAAAATCTACCTATTCCAAGTAATATATTTAAACCCCAATTGAGCTCCATGATGTTGACATCCAGGGTTTCATTCCTTAGAGCGCGATTAACACGTTGCTACCCAATGTTTGGTTCACAAACTGGTATTCATTATTGGTCTACAACAAGATATGGAATTTGTGCAAGAATGTAAATCTACTATGTCACTAAGTGCACTGTGTGGTTTGGCTTACTTTTTTTAATTAGAGAACTTCTCTCTGAGGAAATTAACTAGCAATCTGAACTGTGTCTGATATCCCTACAGTGAAACCCACTAGTTTTGAAAAGCTTCAAACACACTAAGATTTAAGTGAGCATTTTTATCTCTAACTCTTAACTATAAATGAACAGCCAAGAATCATCAGACATTTGAAGAAAGTCTAATATGGAAGAAACCAAAAGAAATGGTCAAAAGGAACTTGGAGAAAACTGAGACAAGTAGTAACAGAAAAAAAAAATTACAGTTAAAAAAAAAAACCCATACTTTAACATCTTCAAAGAGATAAAAGGAGAGATAGCATCCCTATGCTAGATGATAAAGCTATTTTTATTTTTATGGTTTTTTTTTTTTTTTTTGGAGACAGAGTCTTGCTCTGTTGTCTAGGCTGGAGTGCAGTGGCATCATCTCTGCTCACTGCAACCTCTGCCTCCCAGGTTCCAGCAATTCTCCTGCCTCAGCCTCCCAAGTAGCTGGGACTACAGGTGTGCGCCACCATGCCTGGTTAATTTTTGTATTTTTAGTAGAGATGGGGCTTTGCCATCATGGCCAGGCTAGTCTCGAACTCCTGACCTCAGGAGATCCACCCGTCTCTAGCTCCCAAAGTGCTGGGATTACAAGCGTGAGCCACTGCACCCCAGCCTATTTTTTTTTTTTTTTTTTTTTTGAGATAGGGCCTCCCTCTCTCGCTCAGGCTGGAGTGCAGTGGCACGATTTTGGCTCACTGCAGCCTCGGCCTCCCGGGTTCAAGCGATTCTCTTGCCCCTGCCTCCCAAGTAGCTGGGACTACAGGTGTGCACCGCCATGCCCAACTAATTTCTGCATTTTTAGTAGAGACGAGGTTTCACCATGTTGGCCAGGCTGGTCTCAAACTCCTGAGCTCAAGTGATCCACCCGCCTCAGCCTCCCAAAGTGCTGGGATTACAGGCGTGAGCCACTGCACCCGGTCAATAAAACTATTTTTGAAAAGACCATTATGGCCAGGCATATATAGATAATTTAGATATCTATCTATGATAGATAATACATGCATATCATATCTTATATATATTATATATATATAATATATATATATATATTCTGTTTCTCAGGAGAACACTAATACACCAGCTAAATGGCTTGAAAGAGTGATTGCTGGGGAATGGAGGGAGGGGGCCATTTCGGGGGAGGGATGGGACCAGGAACTCCATTTTTTACAAGCCTTATCATCCTTTTTGGCTTTTAAAACTATCTGCATACATTAATGTGACAAAAATTTAAAGTAAATTTAGAAAACACAACAAACCCAAGATGTTTCCTTTGTTAAAATTAAATTATATTAAAATGTGACCGACTCCTTTAAACTAGTGTAGTGAAATAAACAATAAAAACTTGTTTGTTCCTGTCTTGTTCCATTTCAATGATTCCCAAGTTTTTCCTCTGTGCTCCAGGTTCCTCACATTGTATTAAAGGAAAACCATTTTACCATCTTCACAAGGAAGGAGGAAGAACTAATAAAAATGGTTGATAAGTGTAAAGAGGCCTGAAAGGATAAGGAGTCTAGGGCAAGTCTTTTTGGCTGAAAATTGTTAGAATGTGAGATATGAAAAATAATTATAGATAAAAGCTGGCAATTACTGACCAGTTGCTAAGTGGCACATGTTGTGCTGGGCCCTTTCTTTGCATTACATCATTTAAATCCTCACAATGATCCTATAAGTTAGGCTATTTTCCCCATTCTACAGATAGAAACCTTTTAAAGGATGAGTAATTTGTCAAAGAAAGTGGCAGAGCCTGGATTTAAACTCAGATCGGTTTTACTCAAAAGTCTAAGCTCTTGGAAACTTCCAGTGTATTTTGAGCAAAACCAAAATAACAATCTGGGGGGTGGGGGTGGGGAGATATGAGGAATCACTATGGCTGCCAAGTCTCAACACGGGGCTATAGGAGTACAAGAGAAAATTACTCAAGACTAATTGAAACTGTAAAAGAATGATCCTGCTTCACAAAGGAATGCCACAGTAGATTGTCACATGAGCACCACTAGAATAAACTGAAGTATATGTACATTAATTCACCAAATATTTATTAAATGTCCTGTGAGTTGGCCACTGAGTTAGGGACTAGTAATATAAATTCTTCATTTATATAATCTAATACACTTAGATATGAGGAGTTTCTTGAAGAAATTACTATAAAATTAGGGGGTTTTTACTATCCTGAGACATAATATCAATATTCAGTTTCTTAGAAGAAATTCGTTCCTCTATTACTAATTTGTTATACTATGACTGTTTCAGCAGAGGGCACTAGGTAACCAAGATAGTTTTGAACTTCATGTGGCAAAATAGTTAATAAAAGTATCTTTCTGAACTGTATCTAAAAACAGAGTCATGATTTTTAAAAGCATATCAAATGTTTCAAAACTGGAATAAGCCATGAACCAAAGAAAGGAGGCTTGAAATATGAATATTGGCAAGATCACTCAGGTCAATATTCGAGATGCTTACACAATTATAGATTTTTTTTTTAGTGTTTCTGCTGCTTGTAAAATGATTTCGATTATTTATCTGCAAGCCTCTATTAGTGCTACCAGGAAATGTCAGTTTATCATTTAGCACTTATGAGAGAGATGGCTTAGGGTAGTGGAATAAACCCTGGGCCAGAAGCAAAAAATCTGGAGTTTGAGAGCACCTCTCTCCACTCACATTGCCTTTTACTAATTCTGTGACCCGGAGCAAAATACTTGATACTTTAGAGCTGTTGTTTCTACACCTCTACAATAGTGATAATGTCTCCCTTGCTTATGAATGTGAAAATGTGTTGCAAAATGTTGTAAATGCATAAGGTATTATTAACATACAAAATGTCAAGCTGCTAGAAAAAGAAATTCTAGAAACAAAATGCAATCCTACATAATATCCTTTTGATTCCAGGCCTGTAACAATTGGCTTTGGAATCTTCTGGTAGTAGTGTATATCTTATTAGTCCAAACAGAGACAAAAAGCAGCAACCTATAGTCACGATTTTAAGATTATTTTCTCCAGCCCCTTAAGATTTTACAAGTCCATTTTTTTCTTTTTTTATACAGGGTCTCACTTTGTCACCCAGGCTGTAGTGCAGTGGCGCAATCTCACCTCACTACAGTCTTGACCCCCCAGGTTCAAGCAATCCTCCTGCCTCAGCCCTCCAAGTAGCTGGGACTACAGCCTATGCCACCATGCCCGGCTAATTTTTGTATTTTTAGTAAAGACGGGCTTTCATCATGTTGAGCACAAGTGATCCGCCTGCCTAGGCCTTCCAAAGTTCTGGGATTACAGGCGTCAGCCACCCCGCCCCAACTACTAGTCCCTTTTGCACATCAAAGAAGAAATACAAATTAATTCATAAAGATTTGCTAAAAGATCTTTTCATCATATGATCATGCACTGTCCTCAGACAAACTGCCACTGGTTTGCACAGAGAGATTTCTCAGTTTTCAGGGGGAAGGCACATCCGGCTGTATGCTTTTCATTTTCTTAAATGTACTCACACAGTTTGCATGCCTGACTAGAAGTATAGCCACTCATCAACACTTCCAAATTGCCTTTATGAGCAATGTTTCCGTAAACCAATGAATAGGGTATGATTATATGTTACTTATGTGTGGGAAACTAAAGAACAAAAGGATCAAATGTGTAAGTGGGAGCTAAACATTTAGTACATATAGACACAAAGAAGGGAACAAAAGACACTGGGACCCACTGGAGAGTGAAAGAGGGAGGAGGGAGATTACGCCTTCTGACAATCATAGAACCACCAGAAACCACTGGAACCACTTAAAGTTACTAGAAAATTAGCATTCTGCCAGGGAGGTGGCTCATGCCTGTAATCCCAACACTCTGGGAAGTCGAGGCAGGTGGATCACTTGAGCTCAGGAGTTTGAGACCAGCCTGGCCAACACGGTGAAACCCCGTCTCTACTAAAAATACAAAAATTAGCCAGGCGTGGTGGCACGCGCCTGTAGTCCCAGGTACTAGGGAGGCTGAGGCAGGAGGATTGCTTGAACCTGGGAGGCAGAGATTACTGTGAGCTGAGATCATGACACTGCACTCCAGCCTAGGCGACAGAGCGAGACTGTCTCAAAAAAAAAAAGAAAAAGAAAATTAGCATTCTATCATATTACTCTTCTGTTTACATAATCAAATATATTTTGAACAGTTAACTACATGCGAGGCCCTGTGAGAGATGCTAGAGATACATTAGGGAAAAAACAAAAATACAAAACCAGCTCAGTCCCTGCATATTTGTGGAGCTTATGTGAGGGGGAGGAGCAGACCAAAAAATGAGGAGAGAAGGAAAATAGTTGTGAGTTGTGAATATTTTGTAAAGAAAGTAAACATGAGGGTGAAATAATAAAGAACAGAGGAAAATGATCAAAGGCAGGCTGTTCAAGAAGTCAGGTCAAGAAAAGATGCTGACATTTCAGCTGAAAGCTGAGGAGAGGCAGCATTTCAGGGGTTGCCGCTCTCCCAACAGAGGCAATAAATAGCATGCGCAAAAGCCCTGAGAAGAGAAAGATCCTGATGTGCCTGACAAACTGCAAACAAAACAAAACAAAATAAAACAGAACTGAACTGAACAAAAACCAGATGCTCACAGCATAGCAAGCAAGGGGAAGAGAGCCTTTAAAAAACGAGGTTGAAGAGTTAAGTCCGGGTCAGATACCAGGTTTTGTGGGCTATGGTAGGAGTTTGGATTTCATTCTAAGGAAAATATAAAGTCACTGAAAGATTTTAAACAGAGAAATAATTGGATTTGTATTTTAAGAAGATTCTTGCTACTTTGAGAAGAATGGGTTGGAAAGAAACAAATAGCAACAGGGAGATAAAGTAAAACTCTAATGCAATTTTCCCTGAGATAGATGACAATGAACTCAATAAATGTGTTGACGGAGACGTAAAGTTGTTCATAAATTTGAAATGTATTTTAAGAGATATGGATCGTTCTACTGGTTATTAGTAAAGTGTTTCTATGCAAAATATATATTGGAAAATAACTCAAAATATAATAATTTCATTTCACATAATGAGTTCTGTTAACTTTTAATGAACTCAAAGCTGTTATCAAGCACTTTAATCACTTCATTATATTAATTGAACATCTTTGGAGTGTACAGAAATGAAATTTGAGGCCAGGGGTGGTGGCTCATGCCTCTAATCCCAGTACTTTGGGAGGCTGAGGCGGGTGGATCACCTGAGGCCAGGAGTTCAAGACCACCCTCGCCAGCATGCCAAAAACCTGTCTCCACGAAAAATGCAAAAATTAGCCAGTTGTGGTGTCAGGAGCCTGTAATCCCAGCTACTTGGGAGGCTGAGGCAAGAGAATCGCTTGAACCCGGGAGACGGAGGTTGCAGTGAGCCGAGATTATGCCACTACACTCCAGCCTGGGTGACAGAGCAAAAAAAAAAAAAAGAAAAGAAAAAAGAAATGAAATTTAAGAGATATCCTTCTTCCTTAAAATGCTTATCAGTTTGGAAATCAAAAGCTTCCTGAATAAACCAATTGGAAAATGACCTATTGTTTAACATAAAACTAAACTGTACAGGGCAGAAAATAAGCACTCAGAAAGGATAGAGATTAAAAAATAATTTGGACTATCAAGGAATTTTTATGGTCTCCAAATTGGAGATTCTTCCTGGGCTTTTAAGGAGGGATGAAGTTTAAGTAAACCAACAAGTTCAGTTAGGGAAAGGATTTGAGCAAGATCATTGTGGTAGATACTTGAGGGTTTCTGCTCATCTCAGAATAATTTCTCCTTTTTCTCTCAGAACTGGCTCTCCCTCCACAGGAATGGGCACCTGGTAGACATCCAGTGCAGTCTAATCAATCTTGCCACAAGAGAAGTAATTGCACTGGATGCTTGACCCAAACCAAGTGAAGCCAATCAAATTCTATCTCAGAAATTCTGAATTGAGGTTCAAAATAGGGAGGTAGTTCCCTAAGCATGGCTGGAACTGTACCACATAAAATCAGAAGCCATAGATGGGTACAGAAGTGGGGAAAGCTAATCTGCAGAGATAAAAAGAGAGAGAAAAAAAATCCTGATTCCTTGGTTCTAGAACCTACTAGATGCTTCCAGAGTCTCTTACTACACTCTTGTCCTTGAGTTCTGTGAGAAAACACCGTATCCTTAACATAATTTCCCTTTTTGCTTAAATCACTTTGTGCTAGTTGCTGTTATTCAGAACCAATGTACCTTATCCAAGTCCAGTAGTCATAAAAATAAGAATAAGCATGATGAACAGATAGGACTAACTGTAACAGAATATCATTCTATGCACAAAATATTGAGAAAAAATATAACACTAGGCACCATCTTTAACAAACATACATTTAGTGGAGTAAGATAAACAGCATACCAGAATTACAATGACACCTCATGGATACTGATATCAAAGATTCTTCAGGCAAAGAATGTAAATGACATCATCAGACAGGAAAAGCAGTCACAAATTAGGGACTCATACTTTCAGGTGAAAGTGTTAATTCTGAAGATTAATTTGGCAATATCTATTAAGATTCTTTAAATGGCTATAGTACTTCTTTCAAGAAACAAGGATTTCTCAAGTCCTTAGTGTATATCACGTGCATGTCTAGGTAGTGGAAATAAAGTACTAAACAAGAAAGGTAAATTCTCTGCCCTGTGGAACTTACAGGGAGGGGGGAAGAAATAATAAATTAATTACAAGATTGCCCATAATTTCTAGGAATTTGACAAGGTAAACAATCAGATAAATATACACAGATGTAGGCACAAACATGTTGACACATTATAACGTTACTTATAAGTTTTAAAAATTGGAGGCCAGGCGCGGTGGCTTACGCCTATAATCCCAGCACTTTAGGAGGCTGAGGCCGGTGGATCACCTGAGGTCAGGAGTTCAAGACCAGCCTGGCCAACATGGTGAAACCCCGTCTCTACTGAAAATACAAAAACTAGGCTGGGCGTGGTGGCTCACGCCTGTAATCCCAGCACTTTGGAAGGCCGAGGCAGGTGGATCACGAGGTCAGGAGATCGAGACCATCCTGGCTACCACGGTGAAACCCCGTCTCTACTAAAAATACAAAAAAAATTAGCCGGGCGTGGTGGCAGGCGCCTGTAATCCCAGCTACTAGGGAGGCTGAGGCAGGAGAATGGCGTCAACCCGGGAGGCGGGGCTTGCAGTGAGCCGAGATAGTGCCACTGCACTCCAGCCTGGGCGACAGAGCGAGACTCCCTCTCAAAACAAAAAACAAACAAACAAACAAAATACAAAAACTAGCCAGGCATGGTGGTGGGCACCTGTAATCCCAGCTACCTGGGAGGCTGAGCAGGTGAATTGCTTGAACCTGGGAGATGGAGGTTGCAGTGAGCCAAAATCGCACCATTGCACTCCAGCCTGGGCAACAAGAGTGAAACTCAGTCTCAAAAAAAAAAGGAAACAACCAGCCAGGCGCTTTGGCTCATCGCAGCACTTTGGGAGGCCGAGGTGGGCGGATCACCTGAGGTCAGGAGTTCAAAACCAGTCTGGATAACATGGCGAAACCCCGTTTCTACAAAAATACAAAAATTAGCCAGGCATGGTGTCAGGAGCCTATAATCCTAGCTACTTGGGAGGCTGAGGCAAGAGAATCACTTGTAACCTGGGAGGCGGAGGCTGCAATGAGCCGAGATTGAGCCACTGCACTCCAGCCTGGGCAACACTCCATCTCAAAAAAAAAAAAAAAAAAAAAAATTGGAAACAATCTAAGTGTCCAATAATAAGGAATCAATTACATAAATTATAGTATATCCAAATAATGGTGTGCTATGTTATAACTTAAAATATTTTAAAATAGTAATGGCTAATGTCCATTAAGTGCTTACTGTGTGCGAGGTATTGTTGTGTTTTATATCCAGTAACTCATATAATTACTCATTTAATAAACACAAAAATCCTGAAGTAGGTATTTCATTATCATCTCCGTTGTATACATAAGGAATCTATTGCATGGAGAGGCTAAGTAACTCACCCATAATCGTATAGCTAATAAGTAGGAGAAGTGAGATTTTAATCCAGAGAAGAGTTTAACTTTAGAAACCGTGCTCTTAACTCCGCAATTCCCTGAGAAACATTCCTATATGGAAAAATATCCATAATATAGTTTTAAGTCAAAAAATGCAATATATTAATAGAATTTCATATATAATTTTTAAAAATAAATTATGTATATACTTTTACCCAGAAAAAAAGGAAGAGATTCCAAAATATTAATAAATCAATTTCCCTGAATAGTAGGATTAAAAATTTCAATCTTCTTCTTGGTCTGTTTTATATTTCCAAAACTTTTTGTACTTAACATGGATTATTTAGTAAAGAGGGTATAATTTGTGCTGAGGTTTAAAGGATGAAGAGAAATTAAGTGAGAATTACAAGAAAAGTACATGGGAGGAGGTTTAAAATTAGCTACCACAATCTCTATAGTGAATCAGAAAGCAGGAGATAATCTAGCTTCTAGAAGTTGCACCTTCCAAGATGTTTTTGAAAAAAATATTTGATGACTGACATTTAGGACATTTTATTTGCCATTTTTACAAAATGAAACTGATATCATGAGAAAAAAAGTAACATGTCCACCAGAATTAATATGGAGCTAGAAAGAGAAAAAATATATTCCGATAATCCAGCCACTTGCCTACATTGTTAATATTGAGAAAATGGCTTTTCCAGGTTTTTGAGAGTCTCTTTGTTGAAGAAAAGCATCAGGATGCTCGGGAATTGCAGAATAAGTAAACAAGGCAGGTATAATAAAGTGTTATGGTGATATAAAACATATTTTAAGCAATTACAAAGGTGGGAAGGATGACTTCTAGGCAGGTCAATAGAACTTAGCTATGAAGAATGGTAGAAATTCAACAGACAAAAAAGAGAAGCAAAGAGTGCATTCTAAGTACTCTAGCAGGTGTGGAGGCAGAAAACCACAGGATGTATTAATGTTGATGCCTCACAGAGGATTTTGAATTCCAGGCACACTGCCAGAAATATACACCCTAAGTTTTTATCTTCTACTCAGCTCTAAGAAGCTGAGAAATAGGCCAACAACCTCTAGGCAGGAGATGTGAAAGGCTTTAGGATGTCTATTCAGGACTATCTGAGTTGTTCAAGAGTTGAAGATAACAGCATTGGGAATTCCTTAGCATAGTGGCCAAAGCAGCTTACTCTACAGTAAATTTCACAGTTAACAAACCATACTCATGGGCGCAGAGCTTCCTATCAGCCTTTTAGTGGTTTGAAACAGATGAGCAAAGATCGCAGTTATCTAAGGAAAGCCTCTAACAAATATATAAAAGTAGCTTGGAGGAAACGAAGACTGTGGGGAGAAGAATACTCCCTAAAGAAAATCCTCATTAAATATCCTCAGAGATGCCGGGTATGGTGGCTCATGCCTGTAATCCCAACACTTTGGGAGGCCGAGGCGGGTGGATCACCTGAGGTTGGGAATTTGAGACCAGCCTAGACAACATGATGAAATCCCCTCTCTACTGAAAATACAAAAATTAGCCGGGTGTGATGACACTCACCTGTAATCCCAGCTACTTGGGAGGCTGAGAAAGGAGAATCGCTTGAACCTGAGAAACCGAAGTTGCAGTGAGCTGAGATAACGCCACTGCACTCCAGTCTGGGTGACAGAGCAAAACTCTGTCTCAAAAGAAAGTAAATAAATAAATAAATATCCTCAGAGAAATAAGACAAAATGTTGCATCCATTAAACAGACCATGATGCCATACAACAGGAACATTTATGATACAAATAAACAAAATAAAACCAAAAAAATTAGCTCTTGTAAACTAAAACTTTGAGAACCTACATGAAAAATTCAGTATCTGGAAGATAATGTTGAGAAAAAATAAGTAAAGTTAGAAATGAAGGATGAAATAGCCAGTGGAGATTAGAGGATTAATCCAGACAGACCAACATGCAAATAATTACGTTCCAGAAACAAGAACAGAAAAATGAAAGGGAGAAAATAGTTAATGAAAATATTCAAATTAAATTGAAGAATGTGAGTCTCCATACTGAAGTGGTTTATATAGTGTACAGCACAATAGTTAAAAATAAGTTCATACAAAGGCATATCATGAAATTTCAGAAACCCGAGGACAATGGGAAATTTTATAAGCATCCAGAGGTAAAAATAGGACATATAAATCATAAATTAGAATAATTTTAGACTTCTGTGGTAGGCAGAATTCTAAGATGGCCCGCAAGAGTCCCCACCCCCTGTGGACATGTCTCTGGTACCAGAAATGTCATGGATTTCATGACCATAATTAGGTTGTTATCATGGCACAGTTGACTTTGAGAAAGGCATGACCTAATTAGCCTTATGAGGGGCTGAGAGGACTCTTCCTGGCAAAGGAGATTCTCCATAGCTGGCTCTGAAGATGAGCAGGCCTCAGTGCAAAGAATGCAGAGGCCTGTAGGAGCTGAGAGTGGTCCCTGGCTGATAGCCCTCATGAAAAATGCTGATCTTGGTCTTACAACCACAAAGCACAGAATTCTGCCAACACCTTGAGTGAACCTGGAGGCAAATTTTTCCCCAGAGTCTCCAGACAAGCATTCAATCCAGCTAACACCTCAATTTCAGCCTTAGGATACCCTGAACAGAGAATCCAGTCATGCTCTGCTCAGATTTCTGACCTATGGAACTGTAAACTAATACATGGGTATTTTTTTAAGCTGCTAAATTTGTGGTGATTTATTAACAGCAATAGAAAACTAATACAGCTTCTCAACAGCAACAACAGAAGCTGGACAACAACCATGACACTCAAAATTCTGAAGAAAAGTTACATATTCTTAAATAAAAATTTTTACTTTTTTGTGGGTACATAGTAGTGTATATATTTATGGGGCAGAGATATTTTGATAAAGGCATACGATGCATAATAATCAAATCAGGGTAAATGGAGTATCCATCACCTCAAGCATTTATCCTTTCTTTGTGTTATAAAACGATCCAATTCCACTCTTTTAGTTACCTTAAAATGTACAATGAATTATTGTTAACTATAGTCACCTTGTTGTGCTATCAAATACTAGATCTTATTTATTCCATCTATTTTTTGTCCCATTAACCATCCGCCCGCCCTCCTCGCCCCAACTACCCTTCCTCTGATAACCATCATTCTCCTATCTCCATGAGTTTGTTTTAACTTTTAGCTCCCACAAATAAGAACATGCAGTTTGTCTTTCTGTGCCTGGCTTATTTCACTTAACATAATGACCCTCAGTTCCATTCATGTTGTTGCAAATGACAGGATCTCATTCATTTCTATGGCTGCATAGCACTCTATTGTGTACATGTAACAAACTTTCTTTATCCATTCACCTGTTGATGGACACTTAGGTTGCTTCCAAATCTTGGCTACTGTGTATAGTGCTGCAACAAACATGGGAGTGCAGATATCTCTTTGATATACTGATTTTCTTTCTTTGGAGTACATACCTAGTGGTGGGATTGCTGAATCATATGGTAGCTCAATTTTTAGTTTTTTGAGGAACCTCCAAACTATTCTCCATAGCAACTGTACTAATCTACATTCCCAGCAACAGTGTACCAGGGTTCCCTTTTTTCCACATCCTTGCCAGCATTTGTTATTTCCCATCTTTTATATATAAGTCATTTTAACTGGGCTGAGATGATATCTCACCGGAATTTTGATTTGCATTTCTCCGATGATCAATGATGTTGAACACCTTTTCAAACACCTCTTTGTCATTTGTATGCCTTCTTCTTCTTCTTCTTCTTCTTCTTCTTTAAATAATGGTGTTGTACACCTGATACTGCCTAACATCTGACAGCATATAATGTCTGGTTTTCTCACTCGTTTTTTTGTTTTGTTTTGAGACAGAATCTCACTCTGTCACCCAGCCTGGAGTGCAGTGGCATGATGATGGCTCACTGCAGCCTCCACCTCCCAGGTTCAAGCAATTCTTGTGCCTCAGCTTCCTGAGTAGCTAGGATTACAGGTGGGTGCCACCACGCCCACTAATTTTTGTATTTTTAGTAGAGACAGGGTTTCGCCACGTTGGCCAGGCTGGTCTGAAACTCCTGACCTCAGGTGATCTGCCCACCTTAACCTTTTTCCAAAGTGCTGAGATAACAGGCGTGAGCCACCACACCCAGCCCATTTGTATGTCTTCTTTTGAGAAATGTCTATTCAAATCTTTTGCTCATTTTTATCAGATTATTAAATTTTTCCTATAGAGTTGTTTGAGCTCCTTATATATTCTCGTTATTAATACCTTGTCAGATGGGTAGTTTTCTCCCATTCTGTGGGTTGTCTCTTTACTTTGTTGGTTATTTCCTTTGCTGCGCAGAAGCTTTTTAACTTAATGTGATCCCATTTGTCCAAATTTGCTTTGGTTGCCTGTGCTTTGGGGGTATTACTCAAGAAATCTTTGCCCAGTCCAAGGTCCTAGAGTGTTTGCCCAATGTTTTCTTTTAGAAAAGTTATTTCTAACCTAGAATTATATATCTGATCAAACTACCAATTAGCTGTGAGAGTAAATTAAGGAAATTTTCAGACATACAAGGTCTCAAAAAATTTACCTCTCATGTACTCTTTCTTAGGAAGCTACTGGTGTGTGCTTCACCCAAATTAGGGGGAAACGTAAAACAAGAAAGAGGAATATGTTTTATAGAAGCGTGAGGAGTCCAGGCGCGGTGGCTCACGCCTGTAATCCCAGCACTTTGGGAGGCCAGGGCGGGCAGATCACCTAAGCTCAGGAGTTCGAGACCAGCCTGGGCAACATGGTGAAACCCCGTCTCTACTACAAATACAAAAATTAGCCAGGCGTGGTGGTGGGCGCCTATAATCCCAGCCACTCGGGAAGCTGAGGCTGGATAATCGCTTGAACCCAGGAGGCAGAGGTTGCAGCGAGCTGAATTGTGCCACTGCACTCCAGCCTGGGCAACAGAGGGAGACTCCGTTTCAATCAATCAATCAATCAATAAGGGGAGATAGTGAAAGGGACCTCTACAATTTAATCAGTTGCAAATAGCTTTCTTGGGAGGAAAACAGACAACCCTGTGATCATAATGAAGTGTTTTCATGTTAGCATCCATTTTAAAAGGCAAAGAGGTTTTTATTTTATGTGTCAAACAATGGAGCATTGTTGTAATTTATTATTATTTTTTTTTTTAATGAGACAAGGTCTTGCTCTGTTGCCAAGACTAGCACAGTCATGGCTTACTTCACCCTCAACCTCCTGAGCTCAAGCCATCTTCCCACCTCAGCCACCACAGTAGCTGGGACTACAGGGGCACACCATCATGCCTGGCTACTTTTTTTCTATTTTTTATAGAGACAGAGTCTCACTATGTTGCCCAGGCTGGCCTCCAGCTCTGGGGCTCAAGCTATCCTCTTACTTCAGCCTCCTAAAACGCTGGTGTTGCAGGCATAAGCCACTGTACCCAGTCTGTTATAAATTTCTGAGCAGAAGAGATTCATTCATTATGGCAAGTGGGGATGGAAAGGAGTAGATTAAAAATTTTTTTTGAAATATCAGATTCAATAGGACCTGGTGATTGATTGCTAGATGGATGGAAGGAGTGATAACATGGGTGTGAGGAAGGAGGGAAGAGTCAAGGATGGTTCCCAGGTTTCTGCCTTGGAATACTTGGGTGGATTGCGGTACCCTTTTCTGAAATAAGAGAAATAGAATTGGAAAGACAGGAAAGAATGCAAGTTGGATTTGAGACATCATCAAACAAAGTAGCTATGTGACATTCAGGCAGAGAAGACGGGTGACAACTAGATATGAAAAAGTTCATAAGGGATTTGGCCTGAAAGGAGAGAATCAGGAATGTAACAATATGAATAAGACGATGAGGGGAGAAGAAGCAGGAGAATCCTTCCCTGGGTACAGACCTGCTTTGATTAAACCCATTTAGAGAGACCAGCCTTCAAAAGTCATGGGAAGGTTGGCAATGATAGAGAAGTCAAAAAGTGCTAAATTACTCTAAGAGAGGGTGTATGAAGGATTAGGCGAGAGCGAGAGACTGGCTGGTAGCATTCTGGGGAGAGGACAAAAAATGTTCAACTGGGAACTTTAAGTCATTTGTGTGTGGTGTGCCTTGTAAATTCTTCGCCTTTTTCTTTCCATAAAATCGTTAGTAAAAACTGGCTCTTCTTCTCAGTATTTTGTGGAGCAGAGTTGTGGGTGGGAGGTAGGGGAAATGTGACAAAAAGATAAATTGTGTCTTGAGGTTTTTACAGGGAGAAGTCCAACATGAGCCAGGGAAGGATGGCTACATGACTATAGGTATAGCTAGCACAGTGTTAGGGAAACATTTGCAAATGCCTCTGGCAAAGACCAAAACAGAACAGCACCCAAAGAGGTCACTGCGGTAGGAGCCAATCATAACCCTGAAAGACACAATCCTGAACACCATAATCCTGAATGTTGAAATCTCAAAAGAGCAAAATTATGAAAATATAATTCTGGAATAATTCTGGAAACATAATTGTAAAAATTTTAAAGATATTTATTTACATATTTAAACAGGGACTTATTAGAGAAACATAAAAACAACAGAAGTAGGCCAGGCGTGGTGGCTCACCCAAGTCATCCCAGCATTCACAGCTGAGGCAAGTGGATCACTTGAGCCCAGAAGTTCTAGACCAGCCTGGGCAACATAGCAAAACCCCATCTCCACTAAAAATATGAAAAATTAGCCAGGTGTGGTAGCACCTATAGTCTCAGCTACCTGGGAGGCTGAAGTGGGAGGCCTGACCCTGGGAGGTGGAGTTGTAGTGAGGTATGACCACGCCACTGCACTCCAACGTGGGTCACAGAGTGAGGCCCTGACTCAAACAACAACAACAACAAGCAGAACACTTTATAGACCACTTTACACAATAGATGAGACATTAAGATACATATTTTTGCAAGCATAAACACTCAGATATTCTAAAAACAGTCACCTGGGTGTAACATTTATGAGCAGATGAACCATATTCATTAAGAACTATGGCCAGGTGCAGTGGCTCATGCCTGTAATCCCAGCACTTTGGGAGGCTGAGGCAGGCAGATCATTTGAGGTCAGGAGTTTGAGACCAGCCTGGGCAACATGGAGAAACCCCATCTCTACTAAACACACAAAAATTAGCTGAGCTAATTTTAGGTGCATGAGCTAAAATTAGGTGCATGCCTGTAGTCCCAGCTACTCAGGAGGCTGAGGCAGGAGAATTGCTTGAGCCCAGGAGGCGGAGGTTGCAGCAAGTGGAGATTGCACTACTGCACTCCAGCCTGGGTGACGAGCAAGAACCTTTCTCAAAAGAAGAAAAGAAAGAAAGACAGAGAGAGAGAGAGAGGGAGGGAGGGAGGGAGGGAGGGAGGGAGGGAAGGAAGGAAGGAAGGAAGGAAGGAAGGAAGGAAGGAAGGAAGGAAGGAAGGAAGGAAAAAAGAATAAAGAGAGCTTATATAACTTCAATAATCTGGTATCTCATGATAGAGCAAGAATCTGTCTAAAAAGAAGAAAGAAGGAAGGAAGGAAGGAAAGAAAAAGAAAGAAAGAGAAAGAGAAAGAGGAAGAAAGAAAGCGAGCTTAAATAACTTCAATAATCTGACATCTCGTGACGGGCAACCCAAGTCTTCTGATGAGGTTGATCAAAAACCATGATGGTTCACCACTGCAAATGCAGTCATCCAAAGAGCTGAACTCTCGAGAAATTTTATCTTTCACTAATGAAAATGCACAAAATGAACATCTCTTCATTTTTTGAGGACATTTCAATGTTTTTATGTACATGTACGTGCTTATACACAAATGTACCTTTGTGGAGACAAATTTGCAAAAAAATGCATGAAAAACTCAGGAGGCTGAGACAGGAGAATCGCTTGAACCTGGGAGGTGGAGGTTGCAGTGAGCGGAGATTGCGCTATTGCACTCCAGCTTGGGCGACAGAGCAAAACTCCATTAAAAAAAAAAAATGAATTAGAACTCTGAAAGTCTTTGTACAATTTATGCCGCCAGTATTGGAAATGATACAAAGATGAGATACATACCATAGAGACTTCTAAAAAATAATGCCAGCAATTTAAAATAGCAGGAAAAAAAAAAACTAAACTAAACTAAACCAAACCAAAAGCCAAAAAGAAAACCTGACATACAAAAAAGTGCATTACAGAGATAGACTATGGGTAATTGCACAGAGGTAGTCCATAAGAGCTGAACAACTTTAGCAATCATTGACTATGTTTTGAAGTCTTACATCTCAATGAATACCTGCTTTTTTTTCTTTTAGGGCATAGGTCTCCTTGAAAAATACGTTTACATTCATTTTCTATGTGACACTGCTCTTTTTGAAATTTTTCTATGATTCTCTATACATAGACATCAGCATTCCCTATTATTTTTTCCCATGCCATGCTTCTGTGTTGTTTTGGTCATGTGGAAATCCATTTCACTTGCACTCATATACAGACCACAGATTTGGTGAAAACAATACTGGTGATCAAACAGCAATATCAGGCCAGCGAGATGGCTCACACCTATAATCCCAGCACTTTGGGAGGCCGAGGCGGGTGGATCACTTGAGGTCAGGAGCTCAAGACCAGCCTGGCCAATATGGTAAAACCCCATCTCTACTAAAAAATACAAAAATTAGCCAGGAATGGTGGCACGCACCTGTAATCCCAGCTATTCGAGAGGCTGCAAAACAAGAATTGCTTGAACCCAGGAGCCAAAGACTACAGTGAGCTGAGATCGCGCCACTGTGCTCCAGCCTGAGCAACAGAGCAAGACTCTGTCTCAAAACAAAAAACAAAAAAACCTCAGCAATACCGTTGAGTGTCTTCTCATCCTACCACATACGTAATTATTTTTTAACTAGTCAGTAACTTCACTGGCTTCTTCAGGCACATGTAGCTTTAATTTATCAAAAGCTCCTGGAATGTCATCATCTGGAAGGAATGTCAATGCAGGCAAATGACACATTTTTTAAACTGAGGTTTTCATTGTTCTCTTATTGCCTGGCTAATCCACTCATTGAATTTCCCACCAAATGCATTGGGCTGAATGGAAAAAAAAATTTTATTAGTAATACCTTGAAATTCACTTTTAGAAGGATTGATTAGTCTTAATTCCAAACCTGTCATTATGGTTTGAGGATTCAGTTGAAATCCATTTTCTTCTACCAAGTCCACCAAATCTACAAGTACTGTTTTATAAAGTGCCTCACTTTTTTCAGTCATTAATACATAAACAAGCAAACAAATTCTAGAACTTTTGGATTTAACAGGGGCATAAATTGCATATAATTCATTAAAAAAGAAAAAACAGTGGGGACAGTTCTGAAAGTGCCATCCATTAGCCAAAGATAAGCATGTGCTGATTTTTCTGTTAGATTTACTGGAAAATAAAAGAAGTCTATCTTCTGCAACAGTCAAATCCCGAATTCAGGATAGTTCGCTATTCAATATCAGCAAATAACTTTGATTCAGAAGGTTGCTGAGCTTGTTGAATTATTTTTATTCTCTGACAAAGGACATTCTTTAAAGGTAAGAATGTTGTTATGTATGAAGGGGCAAAAGTTGTACATGATTGAATAATTTGGCAGGGGAGACTTGTGGATTTTTTGCCTGTGTTTTCACTTCTTCTGTAATCTTCAAAATACTCACTGCACTTGTATTTAAAGAGCTGTTGTGGTATAAATTTTTTTTTTTTTTTTGAGATGTAGTCTTGCTCTGTTACCCAGGCTGGAGTGCAGTGGCACCACCTCGGGCTCACTGCAACCGCCGCCTCCTGAGTTCAAGTGATTCTCCTGCCTCAGCCTTCTGAGTAGCTGGGACTACAGGCATGCACCACCATGCCTGGCTAATTTTTTTGTATTTTTGGTAGAAACAGGGTTTTACCATATTGGTCAGGCTGGTCTCGAACTCCTGACCTCAAATGATCCGCCTGCCTCAGCCTCCCAAAGTGCTGGGATTACAGGCGTGAGCCACCGCACCCGGCCTACAAATTTCTAAAGTATATGCTGTCCATTTGAAACTCTGGTTATTGCTCAGCCATTGCAATGAAGCGATTTTCTGCTTTCACAGCATCAATAATAATTAGCTTTTAGACTTTTATATTTCATCATTAAGCAAACTCATACAATTATCACAGCCTTTTTGTGAGGAAACAATTTCACAGATCTTTTCATTATGTTGTGAGAAAGTCAGTAAGGGGGAATCATACTCAGCTTCCCCAATACTGAGTCTGTATTAGTCAGGGTTTTCCAGAGAGACAGAACCAATAGGATATGTATATACATATAGGAGAAAATATTAGGGGAATTGACTCACGCAGTTATGGAGGCTGAGAAGCCCCACGACATCTGTAAGCTGGAGACCCTGGGATGCCATTAGCATGGCTCAGACCAAGTCTGAAGGCCTCAGAACCAGAGAAGCCGAGGGTGTAACTCTCAGTCTGAGGCCAAAGGCCTCAGGGCTCAGCGGCCTGATGATGTAAATCTGGAGCCCAAAGGCTGGTGAGCCTGGAGTTCTGATGTTCAAGGCAGCAGGAAAAAGAAAAAGAAAAAAGAAAAAAAAAAAAAAAGCTTGTCCCAGTTCTAAGAGAGAGACCAATTCACCTTCTGTGTTTGTTCTCTACAGGCCGTCAGTGGATTGGGTGGTGCCCACCAACACTGAAGGCAGATCTTTCCCACCTAATCCACTCCAACTCACACTACAGTCTCCTCTGCAAACACCCTTCCAGACACACCCAAAATAATACATTACCAGGTTTCTAAGTATTCTTTAATCTAGACAAGTGGACACCTAAAATCAAATCCAAAAGTTTACCCCTTGTCAACTTGGAACCCATACAAATCTCCTTAAATATATTTAATTTCCAAATAAAGACAATAACAGGCCGAGCACGGTGGCTCAAGCCTGTAATCCCAGCACTTTGGGAGGCTGAGGTGGGCGCATTAATTGAGCTCAGGAGTTCGAGACCAAACTGGGCAACATGGTGAAACCCTGTGTCTACAGAAAATACAAAAATTAGCCAGGCGTGGTGGCATGTGCCTGTAGTCCCAGCTACTCAGGAGGCTGGAGGTGGGAGGATCGCTTGAGCTGAGGAAGCTGAGGTTGCAGTGAGCTGAGATTGCACCATGGCACTCCAGCCTGGGTGACAGAGTGAGACCTTGTCTTGAAACAAACAAACAAACAAATGCAATTGCTATCAAAATATCAATGACATTCTTCACAGAAATAGAAAAAAAAATCTTAAAATTTATGTGGAACCACAAAAGACCCTGAATAGCCAAAGCAATCCTGAGCAAAAAGAACAAAGGTGCAGGCACCATATTACCTTGACTTCAAAATTTACTACAAAGCTATAGCAACCAAATCAGCATTGGAGTGGCATAAAAACAGACACATGGACCAATGGAATGTATAGAGAACCCAGATACAAATCCATGCATTTACAGGCAACTCTGACAAAAGTGCCAAGAATATACAATTGCGAAAGGACAGTCTCTTCAATAAATGGTGCTGAGAAAACTAGATAACCATATGCAGAAGACTGAAACTAGACCCCTGCCTCGTACCATATACAAAATCAAATCAAAATGAATGAAAGACCTAAATGTAAGACCTGAAACTATGAAGCTACTAGAAGGAAACTTTGGGGAAAAACTCCAGGACATTGGTATGGGCAAAGATTTTTTTTTTTTTTTTTTTTTTTGAGATGGAGTCTCACTCCGTTGCCTAGGCTGGAGTGCGGTGGTGCAATCTTGGCTCACTGCAACCTCCATCTCCAGGTTTCATGCAATTCTTCCTGACTCAGCCTCCCAAGTAGCTGGGGTTACAGGTGCCTGCCACCATGCCCAGCTAGTTTTTGTATTTGTAGTAGAGACAAGGTTTCACCATGTTGGCCAGGCTGGTCTTGAACTCCTGACTTCAGGCGATCCACCTGCCTCTGCCTCCCCAAGTGCTGGGATTATAGGCATGAGCCACTGCACCCGGCAAGGGCAAAGATTTTTAGGATAAGACCGCAAAGGCACAGGCAACCAAAGCAAAAATAGATAAATGGGATTGCCTCAAGTTTAAAAGCTTCTGTACAGCAAAGGAAACAACCAATAAAGTGGAAAGATAACCTACAGAATGGGAGAAAATATATTTGCAAACTACCCATCTGACAATAGTCTAATAACCAGAATATATAAGGAGCTTTAATAACTCAATAGCAAAAGAAGAAATAATCTGATTAAAAAGTGGTTAACAGACCTGAATAAGTTGGCGGGACTCGGTGGCTCAGGCCTGTAATCCTAGTGAGAGGTGACAGCGTGCTGGCAGTCCTCACAGCCCTCCCTCGCTCTTGGCGCCTGCTCTGCCTGGGCTCCCACTTTGGCGGCACTTGAGGAGCCCTTCAGCCCGCCGCTGCACTGTGGGAGCCTCTTCCTGGGCTGGCCTGAGCCGGCTCCCTCAGCTTGCCGGGAGGTGTGGAGGGAGAGGCGCAGGCGGGAACCCGGGCTGCGCGCGGTGCTCGGGGGCCAGCGCGAGTTCTGGGTGGGCGTGGGCTCGGCGGGCCCCACACTCGGAGCGGCCAGCGGGCCCCGCCGGCCCTGGGCAGTGAGGGGCTTAGCACCGGGGCCAGCAGCTGCTGTGCTCAATTTCTCGCCGGGCCTTAGCTGCCTTCCAGCCGGGCAGAGCTCGGGACCTGCAGCCCGCCATGCCTGAGCCTCTCCCGCCCACCCTCCCTCCCATTCCTGTGGGGCCCGGAGCCTCCCCGACCAGAGCCGCCCCCTGCTCCACGGCACCCAGTCCCATCGACCACCCAAGGGCTGAGGAGTGTGGGCGCAGGGCGCAGGACTGGCAGGCAGCTCCACCTACAGCCCCAGTGCGGGATCCACTGGGTGAAGCCCCCTGGGCTCCTGAGTCTGGTGGGGACTTGGAGAACCTTTATGTCTAGCTAGGGGATTGTAAATACACCAATCAGCACTCTGTATCTAGCTCAAGGTTTGTAAACACACCAATCAGCACCCTGTGTCTAGCTCAGGGTTTGAGAATGCACCAATCGACACTCTGTATCTAGCTTCTCTGGTGGGGACTTGGAGAACCTTTATGTTGACACTCTATCTAGCTAATCTAGTGGGGAGGTGGAGAACCTTTGAGTCTAGCTCAGGGATTGTAAACGCACCAATCAGCACCCTGTCAAAACAGACCACTCAGCTCTCTGTAAAATGGACCAATCAGCAGGATGTGGGTGGGGCCAGACAAGAGAACAAAAGCAGGCTGCCGGAGCCAGCAGTGGCAATCTGATCTGGTACCCTTCTACCCTGTGGAAGCTTTGTTCTTTCACTCTTTGCAGTAAGTCTTGCTGCTGCTCACTCTTTGGGTCTACACTGCCTTTATGAGCTGTTAACACTCACCGTGAAGGTCTGCAGCTTCATTCCTGAAGCCAGCGGGACCACGAACCCACCGAGAGGAAGGAACAATTCCAGACCCGCCGCCTTAAGAGTTGTTAACACTCACTGCGAAGGTCTGCAGCTTCACTCCTGAGCCAGGGAGACCATGAATCCACCAGAAGGAAGAAACTCCAAACGCATCCGAACATCAGAAGGAACAAACTCCAGACACGCCACCTTTAAGAATTGTAACACTCACCGCGAGCGTCCGCGGCTTCATTCTTGAAGTCAGTGAGACCAAGAACCCACCAGTTCTGGACACACTAGCACTTTGGGAGGCTGAGGCGAGTGGATAACCTGAGGTCAGGAGTTGAAGACCAGCCTGACCAACATGGAGAAATCCCATCGCTACCAAAAATACAAAATTAGCCAGGAGTGTTGGCGCATGCCTGTAATCCCAGCTACTTTGGAGGCTGAGGCAGGAGAGTCGCTTGAACCCAGGAGGCAGAGGTTGCGGTGAGCTGAGATCCACCATTGCACTCCAGCGTGGGCAACAAGATTGAAACTCCATCTCAAAAAAAAAAAAAATCTGAATAGTTCGGGCGCGGTGACTTACATTTGTAATCCCAGCACTTTGGGAAGACAAGGTGGGCGGATCGCTTGAGGTTGAGAGTTCAAGACCAGCCTGACCAACATGATAAAACCCTGTCTCTACCAAAAAATACAAAAATTAGCTAGGCGTCGTGGTGCGCCTGCAGTCCCAGCTTCTCAGGAGGCTGAAGTGGGAAAATCACTTGAACCCAGGAGGTGGAGGTTGCAGTAAGCTGAGGTCATGCCACTGCACTCCAGCTTGGGCAATAGAGTGAGACCTTGTCTCAAAAGAAAAAAAAAAGATCTAAATAGACATTTCTCAAAAGAAGACATACAAACAGCTAATAGGTATATGAAAAAATGCTCAGTGTCACTAATCATCAGAGAAATGCAAATCAAAATTTCATTGAGATATCATCTCACTCCAGTTAAAATGGTTTCTATCAAAAAGGCAACCAGGCATGATGGCTCACGCCTGTAATACCAGCACTTTGGGAGGCTGAGGCGGGTGGATCACCTGAGGTCAGGGGTTCAAGACCAGCCTGACTAACATAGTGAAACCCAGTCTCTACTAAAAATATAAAAATTAGTCAGACGTGGTGGCAGGTGCATGTAATCCCAGCTACTCAGGAGGCTGAGGCAGGAGAATCGCTAGAACCCCGGAGGTGGAGGTTGTGGTGAGCTGAGGTTGCACCATTGCACCCCAGCCTGGGGGACAGAGTGAGACTCAGTTAAAAAAAAAAAAAAAAAGGCAGTAACAGGTGCTGGTGAGGATGTGGAGGTATGGAAACCATCATACACTGTTGTTGGGAATATAAATTAGTATAGTCACTATGGAGAACAGCATGGAGTTTCCCCAAAAAAAATGAAATTAGAACTACCATAAGATCCAGCAATTCCACTACTAGGTATGTCTATCCAAAAGAAAGGAAATCAACATGTGGAAAAGATATCTGCACTCTCATGTTTATTGCAGCACTATTTACAATAGTCATAGTATGAAATCAACCTAAGCGCCATCAATAGATGAATAAAGAAAATGTGATATAGATATATATATACACACACACACACAATGGAATATTATTCAGCCATAAAAAGAATGCAATCTTGTCATTTGCAGCAACATGGATGGAACTAGAGGCCATTATGTTAAGTGAAATAAGCCAGGCATAGAAAGACAAATATCACATGTTCTCACTTACATATGAGAGCTAAAGAAGTGGATCTCATAAAGACAAAGAGTAGATTCATGGTTACTAGTGGCTGGGAAGGATAATGAGAAAAGGGAATGAAGAGAAAGAAGTTGATAATAATGAGTACAAACATACATTCTGATAGAACAAATAGGACCTATTGTTATATAGATCAGTATGGTGACTATAGTATATTTCAAAATAGCCAGAAGAGAAGAATTGGAATGGTTCTAGCATAAAGAAGAGACAAATATTTAATGTGATAGAAAAAAATTTTAATGATCTTCAAATTAAAATAAGTGGGAAAAAGCTAGTTATCAGGGAATTCGAGTCCAAGGAGTATAATATTATACAAAGATTTTCTAAGTAATAATCATTGCTCTCATTTATTGAGTTACCAAGTCGGTATCAGGTACTGTGTGAAGCACTTAACCTGACTTACCTAATGTAACATTTGAAACAACAATTATTAATCCCTATTTTGTAAAAAAAAAAAAAAAAAAAAAAAAAGCTAAGTTCCCAAAAAGTTGGAGAACTTGCCCAATCTGGCCAATGTCTAACCTAAAGTTCAAATTCAGGTCTCAGAACTCAGGGCCTGTGTCCTTAAGCACTCTGTGATTTGACCTCATAATTTTTTTTTTTTTGTGAGACAGAGTCTTGCTGTGCCACCCAGGCTGAAGTGTGGTGGCTCAATCACAGCTCATTGCAGCCTTGACCGCCCAGGCTCAAGTGATCCTCCTGCCTCAGCCTCCTGAGTAGCCGAACTACAGGTACACAACACCACGCCTGGCTAATTTTTTTTTTTGGTAGAGACAAGGTCTCACTATGTTGCCCAGGCTGGTCTTGAACTCCTGGGCTCAAGCAATCCTCCTGTCTTGGCCTACCAAAGTGCTGGGATTACAGGGGTGAGCCACTGTGCCTGGCCACTTCATGAAATTAAAACAATATTTCCACACTACATTTAAATCTCTTGAGAACAAACCAAATTATCTACCAGATCCTGAAATTATTGAAGTGATCTCTGTAATTTTTTAAAAATTGGGAAAAATGGGCTAGGTAGTAGAAGGCTGGTGATAGATACACGTATTTGTGATTTTTAAGAAGAATGAACTGTATAATAAGGGGCCATACAACTATGTAGTTTAGTTGTACCATGTCTATAACAATCTTGGCATTTGAAATACCTTTAGACTAGGAACTTCAGTTTGTATATGACTCACCACTTCCAGTTGTCTTCTTCCAGACATTTTACGTTTCAATTTTCTGCCTGGCCTTCAGAGAAACTGCAATGTATAAGCCCTAAAAACTACAGAATTCTGTCCCAGGAGAAATTTGAGGACACACACATTGTTTAGAATCACTTTAAAAAGAAGTAGTAATCAATTGTTAAGCATCAGCAGAGGTTTATTATAAACTCATAAGACTAAATTCGTTTTCTAAAACAAAGCTATTATATATATATTGATTCTTAGAAGGTTGTGGCAGCAAAAATATAAAGTGTATATTTTAAAAGCCTACACATTAGAATATTTTAGAGGCAAATAAATACTCCAGAAACTGGAAAAAACGTTTTCCTTTGGGAAAGGAACGGGGAAGTTGGAGGACAGAGGAGGAAGGCTTGTTTTTCATTGCCTATCCGAAAGTACCTTTTGAATTTTATCGGTCCAAGATTTCACAGTTGATGGATCTCTCTTTGATACAAAGACAGGAACAACTGAGCATACGGAATGGAATTCAACTGAATGAGCCTAATCTCCAGGAAAAGTTTTCTGAAGATTCTCTGAGATGATGCTGAAGCCACCCCGCTTCCCACACCATTTTGGAGCCTTTATTATGACACAGAGAAACCAGTTGCCTTTGTTCTCAATTCCCACATGACACTGAATCCAGCTGCCTCTTGGAAGTGAAGCTCAGTTGTTCCAATACATGACGCAGCCACTGCTTGGCTTCACAATGCGTCTTGTCATACTGAACCCAATTAAGTCACCACCAAACGAAAACTTGTTCCCTCCCTCTTTAAACGTCTTGGGTTATTTGATGAATGTTCTTCAGTTTCCCAACAATGGAAAATTGATTCTTAGGCTGTGAAGTTCCTCTCTCTTCTTTTACCTTCTGTTTTCCACAGATTTTAAGCTTAAGAGAGCAGAATTAAAGTTTCAAATCATTGCTTCCCTTAGCTTTTTGTCTTGAATGACTTTTATATATCTTTGCTTAGAAAATATTAAATTGCTGACTTTTTATCAACAACAAAAGATATTAAAAGATGTTACTGCCGGGCGCAGTGTCTCATGCCTGTAATCCCAGCACGTTAGGGGGCCAAGGCTGGCGGCTCACCTGAGATCAGGAGTTCAAGACCAGCCTGGCCAACGTGGTGAAACCTCGTCTCTACTGAAAATACAAAAAAAAAAAAAAAATAGCAGGTGTGGTGGCACATGCTTGTAATCCCAGCTACTTGGGAGGCTGAGGCAGGAGAATTGTTTGAACCTGGGAGGTGGAGGTTGTAGTGAGCTGAGATTGTGCCACTGCACTCCAGCCTGGGCAACAGAGCAAGACACCCCATCTGAAAAAAAAAAAAAAAAAAGATGTTACTAAATTTCCCTACCTTTTCCAAGAAATACAATGTAATTTTAGAGATAAAATAACATACATAAACCCTAAATTGGAGAGAGGGGGAGAATAAAAGACAGAGAGAGAGAGAGAGAAAAAAAACTGTGGGTCAGGTTGAAGGTGGAAACACTTTAATATACTAAAAAAAGTTTTGTTCTTCACGTTTGTTTATTTATTTATTTTTGAGACAGGGTCTTGCTATCTCTCAGGCTGGAGTGCAGTGGCTCACTGCAGCCTCAACCTTCTAGGGCTCAAGAGATCCTCCCACCTCACCCCCCTGAATAGTTAGGACTACAGGTGTGTGCCACCATGCCTGGCTAATTTTTTTTTCTTTTCTTTTTTTTTTTTTTATAGATAGGGGTTTCATTATGTTATCCAGGCTGGTCTTGAACTCCTGGACTCAAGCAATCCTTCCAAAGTGCTGGGATTACAGGAAGTTCGTGCCCAAACTTCTCTATATCTTTAAAGACTTAACTATTTTAGTATACTTACATCACTATTTTTCTCTTTCTCCTTAAATACAAAGCAAAAAATTAGAATTTTTGACTATTACTTTTCCATACCTGTTAACTGAAGTTAAAATACATGCCGAGTGTTTCTTTCTCCTGTAAATATTGAGAAAAATTTGAACTTCCCCCAACTTAGTACTATAAACCTAAACATAATGACTTTGGCTTCATATTTAAAACTTAAGAGTGATTGCTAAACAAAGGGAATACGCCCAAGATGCAAAAATAGCATGAAATAAAATAGTTAAACTCTTCAAAAGCTTATTCCATTCATTCTGTTTCTTGGATGCTAATTATCTAGTTTGCAGAGTAAACAGGTCTTTTGTTCCTTCTCAGTTCAAACATAGTTTGTTTTCTTCTCCTGTAGGTATCTAGAAGAAATGAAAGAAAATACAATATTTCAGCTCATGAACTTTCAAGAGATCAGGTACTACTTTATGTAGTCTAGTGCTGCAGTCCCCAACCTTTCTGGCACCAGGGACCAGTTTCATGAAGGCAATTTTTCCATGAACCAGTAGCAGGAGGGATGATTCAAGCACATTATATTAATTGTGCACCTTATTTCTATTAGTATTACATTGTAATATATAATGAAATGATTATACAACGCACCATAAAGTAGAATCAGTGGGAGCCCTGAGCCTCTTTTCCCATCTGAGAGTGATGGGAGAAGTCCCATCTGGGGGTGTTCCCATCTGGGGGTGATGGTGCCATCTGGGGGTGATGGTCAGTGGTCAGTGACAGATCATCAGGCATTAGATTCTCATAATAAGTGCACAACCTCGATCCCTCGCATGTGCAGTTCACAATAGGGTTCACGCTCTTAAGAGAATCTAATGCTGCCACTGATCTAACAGGAGGCAGAGCTCAGGCAGTAATTGGAGTAATGGGGAGTGGCTATAAATACAGATGAAGCTTCACTCGCTTGCCCACCACTCACCTCCTGCTGTGTGGCCCAGTTCCTAACAGGCCATGGACCAGTACCAGTCTGTGGCCTGGGGGTTGGGGACCCCTGGTCTAGTGGATGCTGTGGTCTGGCACCCCAGCTGCCAGGTGTATTGATTGCTGGATCACAGCTGCAAAACTCTGGAGACTGCTGTCAGCTGAAGAGAGGCGCTTCACTGAAGTCCTGACCCCAGAAGGTCATGTCCTTTCTTGGGGATAGCTCTTATCCAACAACTGGTCAATGTGAGGTTAGAAAGTTCTGGCCTCTTGCCTCAAAGTGAGACAACTCTGAAGGAATTCCTAGTTCCAGAGCTTCTTGTGGGATCAGCTGAGGCCTCTGTTGTGATTGTGTCACAGGTCAACTTCTCCCCCTGCCCTTACTCCCTTGCGGGTGTTGTCCTTCAGAGCACTCCCCAATAAACCTTTCTCTTACAAACCAGGTGTGGTGACTTATGCCTATAATCCAAGTACTTTGGGAGGCTGAGGAGGGCAGATCATTTGAGGCCAGCAGTTCAAGACCAACCTGGCCAACATGGTGAAACCTGTCTCTACTAAAAATACAAAAATTATCCTGGTGTGGTGGCACACGCATAGTCCCAGCTACCGGGGAGGCTGAGGCAGAGAATTGCTTGAACCTGGGAGGTGGAGGTTGCAGTGAGCCAAGATTGTGCCACTGCACTCCAGCCTGGGCAACAGAGTGAGACTCTGTCTCAAAACAACATCAACAAAAAGACTTTCTCTTACCAATCTCCATCTAAAAGTCAGATTCTGGGGAAATGACCTAAGTAAGATAAATGGGCTGATTTTCTCTCCCAGCAGAAATAAATTGATGTATGGTGATATGTCTGTACTATTTTTCTCTCTCTTTTCCTTTAATTTGCCAGTATTTTTTGTTCCTTTTATGTTCCTGTAGTAACACGTAGAATTTCATTAGGACATAGGGTCCTAATAGCAGCAATAAAATGAAAGCTGGATTATTTTTTGCCTATAAAATTGACAAGAAATAATCCAGCTTTCATTTTACAGCTGCTGATAGCTACCCAAAATAACATTTATAGCTTCCCAAAATAGCATTCTTGACCTTCTCTGTGAGTTAGGGGAGAAGATGGAGTCCATGAAATTAAGTAAGTTTAATTAAACTCCATGGAGAGCAAACTCATAACCTTGACATTATTTTGCCATCCTCTGTCCAACTGGGCTAATAGGCTTAGATAGAAAGCTTATTAAAAAGTGAAATTTAAAGATTATTTCTATAAACCTTGCTACTCCTACTAATGACAATCATCAAGAGGAATCTAAATATTGTATATGTGAAAGCCTTTCTATTTCTCTCGTAGATTCTGGTTGAAGATGGCAGTTGATCACATGAAATTATCTCCTCTCCCACCTAAGACCCCACTAAAATTAAAAGATAACTTATTCCACAGAGCAAAAACTGAAGAACCCCTGAAAAAAGATGGCCCTCAAGTGAAACAGCTGGTTCCCACCTAATCATCCTAAACTAAATAAACAGAACAAAAGGACCCAGGGAAGACAGCAGTAACATAGAAAGAAGAAACTCTTTTTAAAACTCTAAAATTTTCTGAGAAGTAAGAGATTATATGATACCCATTTTAAAACAAAAACAGGATGCTGTTAAAAAAATAAGCAGAGAGCACAAAAGATATCTTAGAAATTAAAAATGTGATCCCTTAAAGTAGCAGTCACCAGGGACTGGTTTTGTGGAAGAGTTTTTCCATGGACGGCGGTTGAGGGGTTGGGGGAATGGTTTGGGGATGAAACTGTTCCACCTCAGATCATCAGGCATTAGATTCTCATAAGGAGCACACAACCTAGATCCCTCACATGCGCAGTTCACAATAGGGTTCACGCTTCTATGAGAATCGAATGCTGCCACTGATCTGAGCTCAGGCAGTAATGCTTGCTTGCCAGCCACTCACCTCCTGCTGTGCAGCCTGGTTCCCAGCAGGCCACAGACCAGTACCAGTCCATGGCCTGGGGCTTGGGGACCCTTGTAAAGAATAATATGGTTAGAAGGGTTAAAAGAGAAAGTGAAATCTCTCAGAAAACAAATAGTAGAGAATAGAAAATAAAAGAGATGTAAAGGATCAATCTAGAAAGGCCAACATCCAAGCTATAAATTTCTGAAAAAGTAAAGAGTAAATAGAGAGGAACTATCAAAGAAATAATACTAGAAATTGCCCTGACCCACAAGACAGTAGTCTACAAATGGGGAAAAAAAAAAACCCAAATACCTTGAGCAATGACTGAAAAAAGTAATTCACACAAGGATTTGTCATTGTGAAATTTTAAAACTCCATAGATAAAGAGAAGATTCTAAAGCTTCCAGAAAGGAAAAATGGATCCTATTTGAAAGAGAACAGTATCAGAATTCTGTCGTCAATACTGAATGCTAGAAGGTAATTGAAGCAATGCTTTCAGAATTCTGAGAAAAAAAAAATACCTTTCAAACTGGAAGATAGATTTAAAGACATTTTCATGTATTCGAGGACCCAGAAAATTTATTTCTATCTTTCTCTGACTTTCATTAAAAATACACTTCAATAAAAATGGGATATAGATCAAGACAGAGAAAAACATAGAATCTAGGAAATAGTACAATGCAATAGCAAAGAAGCAGGCCTAGAGAGCAATCAATACAGACAGAAACAAAACAGCAGTTTCCACATATGAGGCTCTAGGAAAATAAGAAAATTGACTGCAGCCAGGTGCGGTGGCATGTGCCTATAGTCCTAGCAATTAAGGAGGTGGAGGCAGAAGGATAGGAGTAGTTAGAGGCTGCAGTGAGCTATGAATGCTCCTATGAATAGCCAGTGCACTCCAGCCTAGGCAACATAGCAAGAACCCACCTCAAAAAAAAGAAAAAAAAAAAGACTACTTTTTCTGAGATGTATGAACATTTGGGGGTAAACTAGTGAAAAAATGGATTGGGATTCTAATTAGGTTGTTAATAACCTGCTATAGTCTGAATGTGTTGCCCAAAATTCATGTTGAAACTTAATTTCCAACGCGATAATATTAAGAGGTGGGGCCTTTGGGAGGCAATTAGGTCTTGAAGGCCCTCCTTTGTGAATGGGATTAGGGTCTTATAAAAAAGAAGTTTCACACAGAGTTCAGCTCTTTTTGCCCTTCTGCCTTCCTTCCGCCATGTGAGGATGCAGCAAGAAGGCCTTCACAAGATGCTGAATGCCTTGATCTTGATCTTCCAGCCTCCAGAACTGTGAGAGAGAAATATCTACTGTTCATAAATTACTCAGGCTGTGGTATTTTGTTATAGCAGCACAAATGGTCTAAGGTATTCAAGAGTTGCAGAAAGAAGAAATATGATTATAGTACAGTTTAGAGCACCACAGTGAACAATATCTACACAAACAAACACAGATGATTAATTTAACTAAAATTATTATATAATTATAACAGAACTATGGGAAATGGATGGAAGGATTGTAAAAGGGTCTAATCCACTTGACTGCAAGTTCCACAAAATCAAGGCATTGTCTGTTTTGTGCCTCTGGCACCCCCAGCACATAGAGCAGAATTTGTCATATAGTAGTTGTTCAATTAATATTTGTTGAACAAGTAAACTCTTTCTACTATGCCAGGAAGTCAACTGATAATTTCTAAAAGTGATAAACCAAGAGGCAGTTTTATAAAGATATTATCAAGAATATGGGCATAAGTCATAAAGAAACAGGTAAAATGGAAAAAAAAAAGAGGGGAGATTGTTTCTAGGACAAATATTGGAAAGTAATTTGGAGGAATAGGTCAACAAATTATTGTTTGTTGACCAGGTGGAGTGGCTCACACCAATAATCCCAGTACTTTGGGAAGTTGAAGCAGGTGGATCACTTGAGGTCAGGAGTTCCAGACCAGCCTGGCCAACATGGTAAAACCCCATCTCTACTAAAAATACAAAAGTTAGCCAGTGTGGTGTTGCACACCTGTAATCCCAGCTACTCAGGTGGCTGAAGCACAAGAATCACTTGAACTCCTGAGGGGGAGGTTGCAGTGAGTTGAGACTGCACCACTGCACTCCAGCCTGGGTGACAGAGCAAGACTCTGTCTGAAAAAATAATAATAAATAAAAATAAAATTTAGCTTTCAGGATTCCATGTGACCCTTTGAGATAACTGTGCTGTTGTCAAACCAAGGGACTGGGAATTTCTGCAGTGTACATTACATGACAATGTTTGAGTAAGAGGAGCTGAGATAACTGCTAGAGGTGGGTGGTGGGTACTTGAGGTTTTTATTAATTCTTTTTTTTTTTTTTTTTTTGAGACAGAGTCTTATTCTATTGCCCAGGTAGAGTGCAGTGGTGCAAAATCAGCTCACTGCAACCTCTGCCTCTCGGGTTCAAGCAATTCTCGTGCCTCAGCCTCCTGAGTAGCTGGGATTGCAGGCGTGCGTCACCACACCTGTCTAATTTTTCTATGTTTAGTAGAGATGGGGTTTCTCCATGTTGACCAGGCTGGTCTTGAACTCCTGACTTCAGGTGATCTGCCCGCCTTGGCCTCCCAAAGTGCTGGGATTACAGGCGTGAGCCACTGTGTCCGGCTCTGAGGTTTTTATTATATAATTCTATCTACTTTATGTGTACTTGAAAATTTCTAAATAAAAGGCTAGAATAAAGATGAGCTCCCAATAAAAGAAAAGGTGTTAAATCAGTTTCCCTGAGCAAAGCATTTGTTGGTACATATTCTTGATGTTTCAGTGAGTCAACTTAGAAAAGAAGGAAACCATTTTCTTGTAAATATTTTCCTTTATAAATTATATTTCTAATTTTGTTTTTGTTAAAGAGAGTGGCCTAAAACACAATAATGATTTCATCTCTTTTCTGCTAAATAGGGCTTGGCCTGCTACGCACCTGAGTGAGAGAAACTCAGGGGAATCTAGGTAGGAAGCAGAGTGTTGATGAATCAGCCTGTGGCACACTTTCTTTGACTGATACTAAATCAAAGCTGCAGTTAATGACTAGGCCTGCTTCCTTTTTGCCGAAGTGCTTGTTCTAGGAGTAACAATAAGATTGAAGGTGTAGCTATTAATAGACTCTAACGCCTCTTTCTTTTTCTGATAATGTTTGTTTCAAAACTCCAAGTTTTGCTTGTGGACACTTAGATAAGTCATAATTTGGATAATCATTTTCTTATTGAAACTCCATTTGTGGTTTCAGTTAAATGAAAAATGATGTCTTCTTTCCTGACCTAAACTATTTGAATAGGTTGTTTATATATTAAGTTGTGCTAAGCCTAGTCTTCCCTCACAAAGGCTGTGCTTTGCTGGTCTTTGGGTGATTCATTTACTATATGCACATAAAAATTATAGTTCACAAAGTTGTTGTAAGAATTAATTAATGTTTGCTGTGCAGTTTATGATCCTCAGATGAAAGGCACTAAGGAAGTGCAGTGTGTCTACATAAAATAATAAGACCAGTATATATTATAGAGAACGCTGGGATCTTTCTGAAAGGTACAGCATTAAATCTAAGTAACTCTAGATAATTCTAAAGTTATCTTTGTTAGTGTTTGCAGAAGAATCAAACAATATTTGGAGGAATATAATGAAACTCAAGAGATTTTCAGGTGTATAGGTAACTAGCAAAAAAAAAAAAAAGTAGTATCCACAGTGGCTCATGTCTGTAATCCCAGCACTTTGGGAGGCTGGAGGATTGCTTAAGGCCAGAGGTTCAAAACCAGCCTGGTCAACACAGTGAGACCCTGTCTCTACAAAAGAAAAAAATATATATGTGTGTGTATATATACACATATATGTGTGTATATATGTGTATATATATATATACACACACACATATATATATACACACACACTTAATGTGTATATATACACATATATATATATATCTTTGAGACGGAGTCTTGCTCTGTTGCCCAGGCTGGAGTGCAGTGGCACAATCTTGGCTCACTGCAAGCTCCGCCTCCTGGGTTCATGCCATTCTCCTGCCTCAGCCTCCCAAGTACCCGAGACTACAGGCTCCCGCCACCATGCCCTGCTAATTTTTTTGTATTTTTAGTAGAGACTGGGTTTCACCATGTTAGCCAGGGTGGTCTCGATCTCCTGACCTCATGATCCGCCCTCCTCAGCCTCCCAAAGTGCTGGGATTACAGGTGTGAGCCACTGCTCCCGGCCAAGAAAAAAATTTTTTTAATTAGCCGGGTGTGGTGGTGTGCACCTGTAGTATCAGCTACTTAAGAAGCTGAGGTGGGAGGATTGTTTGAGCCCAGGAGTTCAAGAGGTCAAGGCTGCAGTGAGCTATGATTGTGCTACTGTACTCCAGCACCAGCCTGGGCAACAGAGCAAGACCAGGTCTCTGAAAAAAAAAAAAAGGTAGTATCCAATAATTCTCTTATAGACTAATAAAATACATCCTTTTTGCTTTTGGACACCTAAATATCAAAAAGAAAAAAAGAAAGAAGTGAAAAAAGAAGTATATGCTCAATGTTCAAAGAATGCAGCCTAAAAACAATAACGAAGATTCTTGATTCTTGAGATTTTTTCCTATTGAGATATGCATTTATTAACTAGTCAAAAAGAGTTTATAGGAAGTATTTGAGCCAGACACGGTAGCTAATGTCTGTAATCCCAGTGCTTTGAAGGCTGAGGTGGGAGGATTGTTTGAGGCCAAGAGTTCAAGACTAGCCTGGGCAACATAGCAAGACCCCTCTCTACAAATAATAAAAAATTAACACCAAGCATGGTGGTTCATGCCTGTAATCCCAGAACTTTGGGAGGCCAAGTGGGGCAGATCACCTGAGGTCGGGAGTTCGAGACCAGCCTGACCAACATGGAGAAACTCTGTCTCTACTACAATTACAAAATTAGCCAGGCATGGTGGTGCATGCCTGTAATCCCAGCTACTCAGGAGGCTGAGGCAGGAGAATCACTTGAACCTGGGAGGTGGAGGCTGTGGAGAGCCGAGATCACACCATTGCTCTCCAGCCTGAGCAACAAGAGCAAAACTCCATTTCAAACAAACAAACAAACAAACAAAAACAAAAACAAAAACTTAGCCAGGCGTGGCATGCGACTGTAGTCCTTACTTGGGCACCTTAGGTAGGAGGATCATTTTAGCCCAGGAGCCCAGGAGGCTGCTGTGAGCCATGATCATGCCACTGTACTCCAGCCTGCGTGACAGAGTGAGGCACTGCCTCAAAAAAAAAAAAAAAGAAATATTTGATCTGATTTCACTGCTGAAAGTTTTACATACGAGTTGAGGGAAGACAGTTCAATGAGAGGGGAGGAAGAGAGAATTGGGTCAACATGGCCAGCACGGTGGCTCATGCCTGTGATCTCAGCACTTTGGAGACTGAGGGGAGTGAATCACTTGAGGTCAGGAGTTCCAGACCAGCCTGGCCAACATGGTGAAACCCCATCTCTACTAAAAATACAAAAAAAATTAGCTGGGTGTGGTGGCATATGCCTGTAATCCCAGCTACTCGGGAGACTGAGACAGGAGAATCGCTTGAACCCAAGAGGCGGAGACTGCAGTGAACTGAGATTGCACCACTGCACTCCAGCCTGGGCGACACAGTGAGACTCCGTCTCAAAAACAAACAAACAAAAAACTGGAGACCAAAATGGTTGAGATTAGACTTTGGATTTTTTCTGGATTTTAAAATATTTGGGCCAGGCACAGTGGCTCACGCCTTTAATCCCAACACTTTGGGAGGCCGAGGCGGGCAGATCACCTGAGGTCAGGAGTTCGAGACCAGACTGACCAATATGGTGAAACCCCGTCTCTACTAAAAATACAAAAAATTAAGATCAGGCACGGTGGCTCACACTTGTAAACCTAGCACTTTGGGAAGCTGATGTGCGTGGATCACGAGGTCAGGAGTTCAAGACCAACTTGGCCAAGATGGTGAAATCCGTCTCTACCTAAAATACAAAAAATTAGCCAGGCATGGTGGTGGATGCCTGTAATCTCAGCTACTTGGGAGGCTGAGACAGAGGATTGCTTGAACCTGGGAGGCAGAGGTTGTAGTGAGCCGAGATTGTGCCACTGCACTCCAGCCTGGGCAACAGAGTGAGACTCTGTCTCAAAAAAAAAAAAAAATTGTGTATACATAATGAGATCTCTCAGGGATAAGACCTAAGACTAAATATGAAATTCATTTATGTTTCTTTTCTTTCTTCTTCTTTTTTTAGAGAAAAAAAAAATACCCTGTCAACCAGGCTGGAGTGTAATGGCTTGATCATTGCTCACTGCAGTCTTAATAGGCTCTTGGGCTCAAATGATCCTTCTGCCTTAGCCTCCCAGTAGCTAGAACTACAGGTACAAGCTGCCACACCTAGCTAATTTAAAAAATTTTTTACAGATGAGGTCTTGCTACATTACCCAGGCTGACCTTGAACTCCTGGCCTCAAGCAATTTTCCCATCTCTGCCTCCTGAGTAACTGGGATTATAGGAGCTAGCCATGGTGCTCAGCTCATTTATGTTTCATACATACTTTATACACAGAGCCTGAAGTTAATTCTATACAGCATTTTAAATAATTTTGTGCATGAAACAAAGTTTGTGTACATTGAACTGTCAGAAAGCAAATGTGTCACTGTCTTGGTTACCCATGTGGACAATATGTGTTTGTTCGGCATCACCATCATTCCTGACTCAAAATTTATGTGCTATTGATAAACAATAATTTTCTGACACTTATTTACACAAAAGTGAATTCACACACAAGTGGGAGGGTCTTGTTTCCTTTGAGGATGCTGAATAAACTGTGTTGTGCATCTGCATTTTGACTACAATCCATTACATGAGATCAGGTGTAGGATTGTTCACTTGTGGCATCATGTCAGTACTGAAAATGTTTCAGATTTTGGAGGATTTTCGATTTTGGATTTTCAGATTAGGGATGCTCAACGTGTATTACCTCTCAAATTTTCTACTTCCTTTGCTACAATTCCATTCTCACTAGTAAACTCTGGTTTTCCAGGGCCCCTGATGGCAGGAAGAGAGAGCCCCAGAGAGCAGTAAGAGTTTCCAGATGATGAAAAGAGAAATGCCTTATGATATTATGACCAGTATATAAGTGTCCTGAGTTTGGTCAGTGCGAATTGCCTTCAAGACACTATTCACATCTGGGTAATGGAGAAAATCCAGTTTACAAATCTCCAAAGCTGAGGAGCAGTCACCAGGCAGTGGTGATCTTGCCAAGTATTCTGCTAAGGAGAGCCTGCCAGAACAGTCAACCCTTAAGCCATACTTCCACTCAGTGCCCCAAATTGTTACACGCTTCCACTTGACAACCATCTGTCCTGATGTGACCATACTAGAGAAGCCATATAGTGCAGTAGTCAAGAGAGTAGACTTCAGAGCTAGGCAGCTGCAGTTTGAATCATGACTCTGTTATTATTCATTGTCACCTTGGGCAAGTAGCCAACCCTTCTGTGCCTGTTTCCTCATATGAAATAGGATGCTAACTGTGCCTACCTCACAAGGATGTTATGAGGAGCTAGGATGAGTAAAATGGTTCAGACAGTGCCCAGTGTATAAGTGCTCAAAAAATAGCAATTATGCAAAAAGCAAGTTCCGGGTAGGACTATGATAAAACTAGTTTAGGCCCAGTCTATTAACTCATTTTGGTAAAATATTAGGAAAAAATTGTAGAACTTGTTTACATTTTGTGATTATTTGTTGCTTCCCCATTTTCATCTATTTCTTTTGCCTACAAATTTGTTTCCCCATAGCTATTAACAGTGATTCCTTAAAAAGGAAAAGGGCCTCTAGGCTTTTTTTCTAAGGTAATCAAGGAGGGTTAGAGAAGGCTGAAGAGATGGTTTCTCAGACAGCCTTGTGAGGAGAAACATAGATGGTGTGGTGGCAACTGTGTAGAACAAAGGAATGCAGGACAAATTACATAAACCCCTGAGGGAAGAAATAAGTGTCCAAAGGTGTTGCTGGATCTCAAGATCTGTTTTTTTTTTAGAGACAGGATCTCGCCACATTGCCCAGGCTGGTCTTGAACTCCTGGGCTCCAGTGATCCTCCCACCTTGGTCTCTCAAAGTGTTGGGATTACAGGTGTGAGCCAGCATCACACCCAGCCTTCATTATCTCCTTATGAACAAGAGCTGATTTAAGCTTGGCCCAATGCTTACTCTCAGCCTACAAAAAGACAGTCTCCAATTGTTCAGTAGATAAAGTTGTTTGTAATACAAGTAAACTCTTGGTTAATACCCAAGGATGTGCTTTTTTTGGTGGCTATTTTCCTAGGGTATCGAAATACATTGTATCCCATATATTCTTTGGGTGATTTAGAACACCGATGAATTTTTTAATTCGCTCTAACCTTCAATAAATTTCTATATTTTATTTAGTTTTTAGAGACAGAGTCTCACTCTGTCACCTAAGCTGCAGTGCAGTGGCACGATCATAGCTCACTGAAGCCTCAGTTCCTGGGTTCAAGTGATCCTCTTGCCTTAGCCTCCCGAGTAGCTAGGATTACAGGTATACACCACCACGCCTGGCTAATTTTTTTTTTATTTTTTGTAGAGACAGGGATCTCACTATGTTGTCCAAGCTGGTCTCAAACTCCTGGCCTCAAGCAATCCTCTGGCCTCAGCCTCTCAAATTGCTGGGATTATAGGCATGAGCCACTGCACTCAGCCCAGTAAATATTTCTGAGTCTTCAACCTCTTATGAAGGTCAAAACCAAACTGATCTCTTGGATTGATTCCAAAATCTCCACTGAGTATACTGGAAAATATGTTTTTGCATATTCAACAATATTGGGCAGTTTTTCCTCCTACTCTTTAGCAGGATGACTTCACAGTCCAGATCCTGCAGCAGATTGCCAAGCTCAATTTCCAGCTCTACCACAGTTTTGATGAGTGACTGCTGGGCGATAACTTAACCTTTCTCTTTCCTACATTTCCTCATTTGTAAAATGGTGATAATAATAATACCAATTTATAAAGCTGTTTAAGAATTTAAATGAGTTATTACATTCAGAACAATGCCTGACACAACCTCAGCACTCAATTAAGATTAGCTGCTAGCTGGGCATTGTGGCTCACGCCAGTGATCCTAACACTTTGGGAGGCTGAGGTGGGCGTATCACTTGAGGTCAGGAGTTCGAGAACAGCCTGGCCAACATGATGAAACCCCATCTCTACTAAAAATTAGTCGGTCGTGGCTGGGTGCGGTGGCTCACGCCTTTAATCCCAGCCCTGTGGGAGGCCGAGGCAGGTGGATCATGAGGTCAGGAGTTCAAGCCCGACCAACATGGTGAAACCCCATCTATACTAAAAATGCAAAAATTAGCAGGGCGTGGTGGCATTCACCTGTAATCACAGCTACTCAGGAAGCTGAGGCAGGAGAATCGCTGGAACCCAGGAGGTGGAGGTTGCAATGAGCCGAGATCACGCCACTACACTCCAGCCTGGGTGACAGAGCAAGACTCAATCTCAAAAAAAAAAAAAAAGAAAGAAAAAAAAAGGATGGAAAAAATCTAAAGATGCCTTAAAAACTGTTTTAGGTTTTTATATCAGTTGCAGGAAACATAAGCACACTCAGATTATATCAAGTAGTAGACGGTTTACTAAAAAGATATTCAGGGAAATTTTAAAAAGAAAATAAAGACGAATCTTAGCCACAAATCTCAGCCAACCAGGAAAATAGGAAATGGCAAGATCACTGGATCACACAGGAATAATGTGAATCTGAATACAGCTGAACTAGACAGAGTCAATACTGTGGTTTCTGAACTAAAAACTTCTTCAGGATTCAGCACAAATAAAGCATCCCCTCTGCTGCAAGAACTTGCTGACATTTCCTGAGTGCTCAGCTATTGACATCGTATCTTTTCTCTACGATTCTGTTTCTCTCAGGGTGACTTTCTGCCCTTGCTCCTAATACCAACTAATTGACCCCCTAAATCTATAGATCAAATACCAGATAGATTGTTGCTAAGGACCTGATGACAAAGCTCTCACTCCAAGTTCTTTCATAGGAAGCCAGCCAGTCAATCGTTTGCTGTTCTTGGGCCAATGGCACTCACCTGGTCCAGTCAAGAGGAACAAACACATCCACTTATTCTGATACCCAAGGATATCGCATTGTTAAAGATTTCCCTAGAAAGAGGCTGTGGGTACAATTAGCCCTTCCAGTGAAACAGACTGTTCTTTGAATATATATACATAAATATATGTATATGTATATATATCAAAACAGGGTCTCACTTGATCACCCAAGCTGGAGTGCAGTGGCGCCATCTTGGCTAACTGCAGTCTTGACCTCCCAGATTTCAAGCAATCCTCCTGCCTCAGCCCCATAAGTAGCTGGTACTACAGGCGTACGCCAACATGCCTGGCTAATTTTTGTGTTTTTTTGTAGAGATGGTGTTTCACCATGTTGCTCAGACTGGTCTTGAACTCCTGAGCTCAAGCAATCCACCCTCCTCGGCCTCCCAAAGGGCTAGGATTATAGGCATGAGCTACCATGCCCAGCCCTGTTCTTTGATTATATTTGAAGCATGTAAAAATGTTTGGTGGTATTATCAATGACAGAATTCAAAGCTTTAAGCTAAAAATAAAAATAATAATAATATTTTTAGGCTCTCACCAGTAAGATTAGAGATTATCAGAATGAGAAGAGAGGTCTTTCAGTCCAAACTAGCAATATCCTATCCATGACACTGGCCAAGACAATGTCCATACCAGGGTCCTATCAGGCTTGTGGAAGATACTCTAAATATTTAAAACAGACAATGTTTGATGTACGGAATTAGTTACATAGGTGTTAGGAGGGGCAATCCAGAGATTAGCCACCAACAACACTAGTTTAAAGGGACAAAGAGAGGAAAATGTTTTACTGGGGCCCAGGGACTAGGGTTTCCTGGTGGAAGCCTGCTCAGCCTCAGGTGGGGCCATGAAGGAAACAGCTGTTGCCCAGGATTCCACCTGAAGCAAGAGGAAGAGAATCAGCAAGAAGTAACTTGGCTTCTTTTTCCTCCTTCTTAGCCAAACACACCAGGAAGGCAGCTGACACAGGAAGGCCAGTCCTTACTGTGAATCAGGGATCAAGTAAAGCAAGAAATGGATCTGGAGGTAAACAGTCTCAGGACCAGCCCTGTATCTCATGATTAACTGAGTCAAATTGGTTATTACTATCATTAAAAAGAGAAAGCCATTCAAGCTTTGGATTGGCTAAATTTACTTGAGATATCTAAGAGAGTCAGTACTGTTATAATATAGACTGAGTACATTGGAATGAGTATAACTGGCTTTGAATCCTAGTTCTGCTATTTACTCTGTTTTATTTGGAGTGAGTTATTGAACCATCCCAAACCTCAGTTTCTTATTCTGTAAAACGGCAGTAATAATATCCATCTTCTAGTATTGTAAAGATTCAATATAATGAGTATAAAGCTTCTAGATGTGGGGGATGCTTTCTTTTTATGATGGTGGTCTTAAATACCTGGGCTCAAGAGATCTGTCCTCCTCAGCCTCTCAAAATCCTAGGATTACAGGCATGAGCCACTGCGCCTGGCCAACAGGGAAATCTTGCCATGTCCCTCTTCAGCCTTTCAGACTTTGCTCTTAAAATAGAGAATAGCCCAGTGAGGTGGAGCTTGCCTGTAGTCCTAGCTACTGAAGAGGTTGAGACAAGAGGATCACTTAAGCCCAAGAGTTTGAGGTTACAGTGAGCTATGATCGTGCCACTGCACTCCAACCTGGAGTGAGACAGAGTGAGACCCTGTATCTCCTAAATAAATAGATAAATAAAAATAATGGATAATTTTTTCAATTTATGTTCCATGCAATATTTGGGACATATACTAGAATACTATTGTTTATTTAAAATATAAATTAGTTTAACATCCTGTACACTATCTAGCAAACTTATCTTAAAATAAAGCTCAAATGATTTGAAGATATTGAAAAAATAAATTAAATAAAGCTTGAAATTCCTACTTTGGCTTCCAAGGTCTACCTGCTGGCCTCTGTGGCATCTTCTTTGTTTGCTAGGCTCCCTCTGAATCTGTATACTTTCTTCAGCCAAACTGGATTTCTGTTAGTTCCTTAAATATACCACACTTTTTCCTACCTCAGAGATACTGCACATGCTATCCTCTGCCCTGAAACATTTTACCCCTCGTTTGCCTAGCTAATTCCTACTCATCTTTTCACTTCAGCTTAAACATCACTTTCTTGAGGAACCTTCTCTGTTCATCAGATTAGGTCAATTCTTACTGCTAAACATCCCCATGTACTTTGGCCTTCAGGACACTTAACATACTTGTGGTTATTTAATTATAAGTCTTCTATCTCCCACACTAAACTATAAGCCTCTGAGGGAGAGACCCTGTCTGTTTTGTTTACTGTTATATCAACATAGCACGGCCAGACGCAGTGGCTCATGCCTGTAATCCCAGCACTTTGGGAGGTTGAGGTGGGCGGATCACCTAAGGTCAGGAGTTCAAGACCAGCCTGGCCAACATGGTGAAACCCTGTCTCTACTAAAAATACAAAAATTAGCCAGTTGTGGTGGCAGGCGCCTGTAATCCCAGCTACTTGGGAGGCTGAGGCATGAGAATCATTTGAACTCGGGAGACAGAGGTTGCAGTGAGCCAAGATGGTGCCACTGCACTCCAGCCTGGGTGACAGGAAAAAAAAAACAAAAAAAATAGCACGATGTCTGTGGTGTTATGTGGCACATAGGAGGTTACCAAATATTTGTTGTGGTTGTAATAAAGTGAATACGAATTAATTTTGTTCTGTGACTTTTATATCATCACTTGAGAACATTTGTGACTCAATTAGATGTTGCAGAAACAAGGTTAAGTATCTTTGCAGAAAAAAAAACCATAAATGAACATTTCAATTTTGGTAGTTAAAATATTTTTGCAAAAATGTAGAAAATAATTCTTTTTCCATGTAATTTCAGCAAGGAAGGCTTTGATTGCTTGATTGCCCCAGATGAAATGCTTGATTAGAAAAATTCTTCCGAGATCACGCCACTGCACTCCAGCCTGGGTGACAGAGCAAGACTCCGTCTCAAAAAAGAAAGAAAAAGAAAAAAAGAAAAATTCTTGTTAGGAATTCAAGAAAAAAACATTTATTTTTTGTAATAGTTTTTAGCCAAGGAAGAGATTATTTTATTCTTCTTTTTCTCCCCTAGGATATAAATCCTGACTAAGAGAGAAATTGATATGGACACTTTCCCCTTGAGAAATTAGTGCAATATTAGTTTTAAAGTAGACACTGAACATTCTTGACAGATGGGTAAAAAGTCCAAATCAAAAGCTTGACAGGAGGGCTTATTATTTGGGAATAATAAATGAACTGAGTTAACAGAAGGAAACATGTCATTTAGGATACCTTCACTTCAATTTAAGTGAAATGGATATAGATGTACCTTGAAGTTTTGAGACTCTGACAACTGCAATCATAAAAATCAGGGCACAGAAAAAGAAAAAACATGGATAAGTCCTTTAAACTGAGTAAAGGGTGTCTATATGGGAAATAGAAAAATAGATTATTTCTGCAGTCCCTTGATTTCTACACTCTTCCTTATAGGTGAAACTATCTCAGTGGCTAACTTAGGCAGAATAGGAATTTACTAGGAGCAAACTGAGTAGCTCAAAGTTTTTTTGTTTTGTTTTGTTTTTTTGAGATGGGGTCTCACTCTGTCACCCAGGTTGGAGTGCAGTAGCCTGATCTTGGCTCACTGCAGCCACTGCCTCCCAGGCTCAAGTGATCCTCCCACCTCAGCCTCCTGAGTAGCTGGGCCCACAGGCATGTACCACCATGCCTAGCTATTTTTTTTTTTATATATATTTTTGGTAGAGAAGGGGTTTCGCTGTTCTGCCCTGACTGGTCTTGAACTCCTGAGTTCAAGCCTCCTAACGTGTTGGGATTACAGGCCTGAGCCACCGCGCCCAGGCAGTTCACAGTTATGAAGAACAGGAATTGAGAGAACCTAGATAGCCAGAATCACAGCTAATGTCAGCCTTGAAATGCCCTGATAAGAGTACCACTGCCACTGCCAGTGGATGCTGGCCATCACCTCAGGGATTGCTGCCATCAGACTCTGATGTCCCACCAGACTCTTGGTACCAGCGCTGCTAGTGGGATGAATTCTACTTAATTCTGTGTAACTTACTGCAGATTCACAGTCCCAACTAACAGCATCTATAGTCGTCCAAGCTTAGATCACTTTCCTTCAGCCTAGTTGGGTGTGTATTTTGTGTTTGGCAGATTGAGGGAGGGCATTTAGGCAAGTATCTGACCTTTCCAGTCCTTATAGTGGGAGAAGAGACCCTGCCATCCACTAAAACTCCCAAATGGAGAATTCCCAAAGAGAGGGAGGAGGAGAGAGTCAGATGCTGGGCAGCCAAAATTACTAATGTTTACAACACTTACACATCCCTCAGGGCTATATAAGAACCTTGCCCTATCCAACAGCTACTACTGCATCCTTTCTACCATTGTAGGCAGTAGGTTACTAAATTACCAATAACTTTATTTAAACATACCTATACACACTTGCGCACACATCCACACAAACTGATCCACTGACTTTTCCTTTAAGTTCTATTCCTATTGAGACAGAAGATATTTTTCTTTGTTCCAGATTAAAGGTAATGAGCACTGGTATCATTAAATTTAACCATAATATAGCCCCTAAACTCAGAGGATAAATCAGACAAAAATGTATTTTGATGAAGAAATCAGTGTTGAGAGAAGGTAAATTCAGCCATGTGGAAAGCCATGAAGTACTATTTAAAGGATCCCTTTTTAAAAGATGCTCCCTTACAGCCTGTTGCTGAAAAAAGGGAGCTACTCTGGGGCATCATTCTCCTCTTTACATTGGTTCCTGAATGAGTCCTTATGTTCCTTTTATTTTATCTGATATTTGTAAATGGAAGCATTAGGAGAATCTGGCCATTCCTGAACTCAGTTTCACATGTAGTCTTGTATAGTCATTTGTTTATGTGATAATTACTCATGCAGGATTACTTATAAATATTATGTCTGTGTTGTTGTTTTGAATGACTAATTCCTTGGAAGGCAGGAGCATTGTCTATTTAATTAACTGTGTATTGCACCAAACACTGTAAGGCTTTTAATGCCGCCATTGAATATAATAATAATATACTTTCCCTGGCTATAGCAAATAAAAAAAAATCTCCCTCCACATAATAAAGTTTTGGCAAGCAATTGTCTGGGCACCAAATCTGGCCTGCCACTTCCTTTTGTCTGTTTTTATAAATAAAGTTGTATTAGAAACACTCATTCTTATTTGTTTATATATTGTCTACAGCTGCTCTAACACTACAATAACAGAGTCAAATAGCTGTGACAGAGACCATATGCCATGTAAAGCCTAAAATATTTACTATCTGGCCATTTACCAAAAAGGTTTGCTGACCATTGCCCTATGTCAGTGGTTATCACCCAAGAAGACAGGATAAAATCACCTGTAAAATCCAAAAAACATAAAGATGCCTGGCCCCAAACCAACACTCCAAATCAGAATTTCTAGGGTCAGAGCTGGAGATACATAGTTTTTTGTTGTTGTTGTTGTTTTGTTTTTGTGACAGGGTCTCACTTTGTGTCCCAGGCTGGAGTGCAGTGGTACAAACACGGCTCACTGCAGCCTCAACTTCCCCAGGCTCAAGTAAACCTCCCACCTCAGCCCACCAAATAGTTGGGACTACAGGTGTGTGCCACCACACCTAACGAATTTTTGTATTTTTTGTAGAGACAAGGTTTTGCTATGTTGTCCAAGCTGGTCTTGAACTCCTGAGTTCAAGTGATCCACCTGCCTCAGCTTCCCAAAGTGCTGGATCACAGGTGTGAGCCACCATGCCTGGACCATAGTTTTTAAAAGTTCACAGCAAAATTGAGAACCACCAGCCTAATGCAATGTACAGTACCTAGTATAATTTTAATAACTCTCATTCATCAAGTGCCTAATAGATGTCAGGCATTGTACTAGATGTTCTACATATATTTTCTCATTGTAATCTCCATAAAATAAATTTCACTATCCTTGTATTTTACATTAGATACATTTGACAAATCTTACACTAAAGGAAAGTGAACATTTCTAAGGTTAACTTGTACAAGATCACACAGCTAGTAAGCAGTGGAACAAGGGCTTGAACTAGATCTTTCTGCCTGTCCCAGTTTGACAACTGAAGAAAAATATCAAGATGGAGAAGGACTCTGACTCTTAACCCGAGTGATTTGCTTTTCCTCTGGTGGAGCTCTAGGTATTTCCCATCACTGGTGCTATACTGGCCCAAGTATGGTTGCAGAACTATCCCATTAATAGAAGATTAGCACTGAGAAAAGACTACAGCACTCAAACACTTTATTCAAACTTAGAGGATAACAAAAAGAAAATAAACTCATGGAGTAACATGAAGCTGAATATTCATCTTCAATGAGGAGCCTACTATACAGACATTTTACTGCATGGTTCATGAACTGCCTCCAAGTGATAGGGATAATCTTTGATCCCTAACCTCTTAGAAAAACAAAAAACTCTAAAGACTCCCCCAAGTCCAGATCATACAAAGTGAAGTATGGAGCAAAAGGAAGTTTCTCCTCCATATTGCTTAAAGCATTATGTTTCAAATTCTAGTTTCCTGAATGATTTACATATGAATGTCCAACTTTTTCTTAACTGATATTCATGATCGGATAAACCTAATATTGCCCAATAGATATTGAATATACATTTGTGCTAGAGGACATCATTTGGTTACAAAGTATATTGAACTCAGTATATCTAGAATTGTATGTTTAGATAGACAGAGCCCCACACGAGGTTCCAATAATTAGTTATATAAACAAACAGTCATCTTTCCCTTCACTTTCAGTCTACAAGAGTCCTTTAAGGCAATGATCCCCAAACTTTTTGGCACCAGGGAACAGTTTCTTTGAAGACAATTTTTCCATGGACAGGCCAGGCGTGAGGGATGGCTTCAAGATGAAACTGTTCCACCTCAGATCATCAGGCATTAGATTCTTGCATGTGCATTTCACAGTAGGGTTCATGCTCCTATGAGAATCTAATGCTGCCACTGATCTGACAGGAGGCAGAGCTGAGGCGGTGATGCTCTCTTGCTAGCTGCTCATTTCCTGCTGTGTGTCCAGGTTCCTAACAGGGTACAGACCTGTACTGGTCCATGGACCAGACGTTAGGGACCCCTGCTTTAAGGTGAAGTGAGTCTTATGTAGGCAGCATATACTTTGGTCTTGTTTTTTGTTTGTTTTTAGAGATAGGGTCTCATTCTGTTGCCCAGGCTGGAGTATGGCAGCACAGTCATAGCTCACTGCAGCCTCCAACTCCTGGGCTCAAGTGATCCTCCCACCTCAGCTTGCTGAGTCACTGGGATTACAGGGGTGAGCCACTGTGCCAGCTCCAAGGGTCTTTTTTTTTTTTGAGATGAAGTTTCACTCTTGTCACCCAGGCTAAAGTGCAATGCACGATCTCGGCTCACTACAACCTCCGCCTCCTGGGTTCAAGTCATTCTCCTGCCTCAGCCTTCTGAGTAGCTGGGATTACAGGTGCCCACCACCATGCCTAGCTAAGTTTTTTTTTTTTTTTTTTTTTGAGATGGAGTTTCACTCTTGTTGCCCAGGCTGGAGTGCAATGGTGTGATCTCGGCTCACTGTAACCTCTGCCTCCTGGGTTTAAGCAATTCTCCTGTCTCAGCCTCCTAAGTAGCTAGGATTACAGGCGCCTGCCACCATGCCCGGCTAATTTTTGTATTTTTAGTACAGACAAGGTTTTGCCAAGTTTACCAGGCTGGTCTCGAACTCCTGACCTCAGGTGATCTGCATGCCTTGGCCTCCCAAAGTGCTGGGATTACACACCTGGCCTCTAAGGGTCTTGTTGTTGTTGTTTTTTTTTAATCTTTTCAGCCACTCTATGCCTTTTGATTAGATAATTTAATCCATTTACATTCAAAGTAATTACGTATAGGTAAGGACTTATAAGTGCCATTTGAAAAATTGTTTGCTGGGTTTTTTTTTCTTTTCTTTTTTCTATGTTTTTTTTTTTTTACTTATTATACTTTAAGTTTTAGGGTACATGTGCACAATGTGCAGGTTAGTTACATATGTATACATGTGCCATGCTGGTGCGCTGCACCCATTAACTCGTCATCTAGCATTAGGTATATCTCCCAGTGCTATCCCTCCCCCCTCCCCCCACCCCACAACAGTCCCCAGAGTGTGATGTTCCCCTTCCTGTGTCTATGTGTTCTCATTGTTCAGTTCCCACCTATGAGTGAGAATATGTGGTGTTTGGTTTTTTGTTCTTGCGATAGTTTACTGAGAATGATGATTTCCAATAAACTGGGTTTTTTTAAAATTATTGTTTTGTTATTCTGGTTGATTTGAAGTTCCTTGTTCCTTTCTTCCCCTCTCGTTTTCTTCCTTTGTGGTTTGATGATTTTCTATAATGGTATGATTTAAATTTTTTCTTATCCTTTGCATGCATATATATATGTGTATATATATATATATATATATGTATTTTGGTTTATTTTTAGACTAAGTCTCATTCTGTTGCTCAGCCTGGAGTGCAGTGGCATGATCTTGGCTCACCGCAACCTCCACCTCCCAGATTCAAGCGATTCTCCAGCCTCAGCCTCCCGAGTAGCTGGGACTACGGGCGTGCGCCACCATGCCTGGCTAATTTTTGTATTTTTAGTAGAGACAGAGTTTCACTATGTTGTCCAGGCTGGTCTTGAACTCCTGACCTCATGATCCGCCAGCCTCAGCCTCCCAAAGTGCTGGGATTACAGGCGTGAGTCACTGTGCCTGGCCTGCATACCTATTATGGGCTTTTGCTTTATGGTTACCCTGAGGCTTACATAAAACATCTTATACTTATCCCGGCCAGGCGTGGTGGTTCATGCCTATAATCCCAGCTACTCAGGGGGCTGAGGTAGGAGAATTGCTTGAACTAGGGAGGCAGAGGTTGCAGTGAGCTCCAGCTGCACTCCAGCCTGGGCAACAGAGCGAGATTCCATCTCAAAAACAAAACAAAAATCTTATACTTATCCATTTTACACCAATAATAACATGCTGCCATGTGGGATTACGTTTAAAAAACAAAAAGCCACCCAGACTGTGGCATTTGGTGTGATAGCCCTAGCAAACTAATAGTGAAAACAACAATATTCCAGTGAGTTTTGCCACTGGAAAAGTGGAGCTACTTTCTCTTAACCTAACTGCCTAGAGTGGACCACTTTGCTGAAAGTTGTTTGATATCTCTTTTGTAAAGGCATTCTGTTTATCATTGGCTTCAGATAAGTCTCTAAGGGTCAGCTGAAGTTCAGACAGCTCAATGTTGGGCTGGAGGCCTTTATGGAAGGCAGGCCAATTTAGAAGCAATTTCATGTAAGACTCAGAAACATCATTTTACTTAACTCTTTTGGAATCTCAAGTCTGCAGGAACCTAGCTCTTGAAATCTCAGAACTAAATTGGGCTATATTTGCCATGTGATTAACACCCTGAATCTACAGCAATCCGTTAGGCTTAATTTGCAGATGATGATTTGGGTCTGATTTTGGACTTGACTCCAAAGGTGTAGGGTAGGTCAGACACCATCGGTTTCCTCATATTTCTATAGTGTATTGCATGGGACATCTTCCTCTGCTTCTTATTTTTTAGAGTTTTATTTTTAATGAAATTTTAATAGGAGGGGTACAATATTGTGGACTGGGGAGGAAGTAGGAGGTCATGGAGAATCTTTGTATAAGAATAAGAGATGATAGTAAGGATGGAGAAGACAATTAACTTCCCACTCTTACTTTACCTAAAGCAGTTCAGAAAACCCAAGTGGCTCAGCTCCAGTACCCGCTATTTTGTGTGTGTGTGTTTGAGGATGTCATTCCCTCCCCTTACATAAACTATTTAGACTGGAGAGGTCTCAGGTCCCAGCTGTACTTTAAACCAGGTTTTTTAGTTAATCCAGACTCTACTCTCATACCTTTCAATTTCTCCTTCCTTATCCTTCTTCATCCCCCTAGTGTCCCAAATCAAGAGCTGATAGGATTTCTATGCCCCGGGTACACATCTGATACCACAGAATTGCCACCTGTCAGAAGGTAGGTTCCATGACATTAGAATGATTTTAACTCTCAGAGGACTTTGTACTTACTTTCTTTCTTTTTTTGAGATGGAGTTTCATTCTTATTGCCCAGGCTGAAGTGCAATGGTGCAATCTTGGCTCACTGCAACCTCTACCTCCTGGGTTCAGGTGATTCTCTTGCCTCAGCCTCCTGAGTAGCTGGGATTATACGCACCAGCCACCATGCCTGGCTAATTTTTGTATTTTTAGTAGAGACAGGGTTTCACCATGTTGGCCAGGCTGGTCTCGAACTCCTGACCTCAAGTGATCCACCTGCCTTGGCCTCCCAGAGTGCTGGGATTATTGGCATGAGCCACCGCACCCGGCCTGACTTTTTACTTTCTATGCACTAATCACTAAGGTACTTTATATTCTAGTTTACATGAATATCTTATTGCATTGTTCCTACTAGGTTATTCAATTTCTCTAAGGCAGGGATACATACCTCATTCATCTTTTCTCCTCTTTTCCCAGCCCTCTTTGCTCCCTAACCCCCTCCTCAATTACATGGTGTTTATCTATAAAGAAGTAGTTGGGTAGGTAAGTGATCTATCCAGTCTTTCTTACTCTCAGCTTCGACTGTTGAAATAAATGAGTATCTAAGGTCATTTCTAGCCTTAATATGACAAACAGTGTGTTAGGCTGACATTTACACATTCTAGAACAATTTTAAAGCATGTAATAGGTTAAAAAGTCATGCAGCATAACCTAAAAAGCATTAAGTTATTCTAAAAAAAAAAAAATCAGAGGAGGCCAGGTGCAGTGGCTCACGCTTGTGATCACAGCACTTTGGGAGGCCGAGGTGGGAGGATCACAAGGTCAGGAGATTGAGACCATCCTGGCCAACATGGTGAAACCCTGTCTCCGCTAAAATACAAAAAATTAGCCGGGCATGGTGGCACGCACCTGTACTCCCAGCTACTCGGGAGGCTGAGGCAAGGGAATCTCTTGAACCTGGGAGGCAGAGGTTGCAGTGAGCTGAGATTGTGCCACTGCACTTCAGCCTGGAGACAGAGCGAGACTCCATCTCAAAAAAAAAAAAAAAAAATCAGAGGAACAAACAATATAGTACAGGCATATCAGAAAATACAGTACAGGCATATTAGAATATATATTGAAAACATAAGGCATTATTTTAACTGATTTGTGTATGATCTGAAAAGATGCATTAATCTTTTTTTAGGGGTCATGCAAAGAGCAAAAACGTATTTGATGACTTGTCATTCTTATCTGACTGATTAAGAAACAGAAGACTATAATAACATATGCACAAAATGAATTTGAAAAAAATTGAGTACTTACTATATGCCATGTGCTGATATTTTATATGAAATGACTCATTTGATTTTCATAGTGTATCAGTAGTGGAAGCCAGGGCAGAGTCTAAATTTATGGGTATTGCACATCAGAATTATTAACAAAATATGAGATAAAACAATTTGTTTAAGTTGTCTTGAAGCTACAAAATAGTGATTTTTTTTTTTTTTTTTTTTTTTTTTGTGAGACAGGCTCCCACTCCGTAGCCCAGGCTGGAGCGCAGTGGCATGATTTCCATTTGCTATAACCTCTGCTTCCCAGGCTCAATTGATTTTTCCACCTCAACCTTCTGAGTAGCTGAGTAGCTGGGACTACAGGCATGAGCCACCAATACCCAGGTAATTTTTGTACTTTTTGTAGAGATGGGGTTTTGCCGTGTTGCTCAGGCTGGTCTGGAACAACTGAGCTCAAAGCGATCCGCCCACCTCAGCCTCCCAAAGTGCTGAGATTACAGGTGTGAGCAAAATAGTGATTTCTGAGCACAAATGGCTATGAAACATATAAGCTGTTTATCTTAAGTAATATACTCTTAATTAACATATAATCTAAGCTCAAGACACTTCTCAAACACTATTTCAGTGTATTAATATGAGTTTCAGTGGATTAAAACAAATTTTAAGAGTTCTGAAGTTTAAATCTATATAATTTAAATTTCAACATAGTGTCTCATTAATCTTTTTTTTTTTGAGACAGAGTCTTGCTCTGTCACCCAGGCTGGAGTGCAGTGGCGTGATCTCGGCTCACTGCAACCTCCGTCTCCCGGGTTCAAGCAATTCTCCTGCCTCAGCCTCCTGAGTAGCTGAGATTACAGGCATGTACCACCATATCCAGCCAATTTTTGTATTTTTAGTAGAGATGGGGCTTTGCCATGTTGGCCAGGCTGGGCTCGAACTCCTGGCCTCAGGTGATCCGCCTGCCTCGGCCTCCCAAAGTTCTGGGATTACAGATGTGAGCCACCTTGCCTGGCGTCATTAATCTTTTATAAAAATTTTTTTTTAATTAAATGGAGACAAGGTCTTCTATGTTGGCCAGGTGGTCTTGAACTCTTGGCCTCAAGCAATCCTCCTGCCTCAGCCTCCTAAAATGCTAGGATTACAGGCATGAGCTGCCATGCTCAGCCTCATTTAATCTTATTTGTATTAATTCACAACAAATCTCAATACTCTAACAAGAGTAAAAACATTTTAAATAAAATTTTTAAAAAAAGCTTATTTCCCTAGCTAAATTTTCAAATAATTGTTAATTTAGGAATAAAACCCAGAATATCTTTTTTCCCCCTTGCTGAATATTCATATTATCTTTATTTTAAATAGACTCAATTTCAAGAGATAAATTATCCTCTGTATCTTTTTTTTTTCTTTTTTTCTTTTTTGAGATGGAGTCTTGCTCTGTCGCCAGGCTGGAGTGCAGTGGCGTGATCTCGGCTCACTGTAACCTCCACCTACCAGGTTCAAGCGATTCTCCTGTCTCAGCCTCCCAAGTAGCTGGGATTACAAGCGTGCACCACCATGCCCAGCTAATTTTTGGTGTTTTTTTTGAGACGGAGTTTCATTCTTGTTGCCCAGGCTGGAGTGCAATGGCACGATCTCGGCTCACTGCAACCTCCGCCTCCCAGGTTCAAAGGATTCTCCTGCCTCAGCCTCCCTAGTAGATGGGATTACAGGTGCCTGCCACCACGCCCAGCTAATTTTTTTGTATTTTTAGTAGAGACGGGGTTTCACCATGTTGGCCAAGCTGGTCTTGAACTCCTGACCTTAGGAGAGCCACCCTCCTCAGCCTCCCAAAGTGCTGGGATTACAGGCGTGGGCCACAATGCTCTGCCAAGACCGAGTCTTGCTGTCATCCAGGCTGGAGTGCAGTGGTACAATCTTGGCTCACTGCAGCCTCTGCCTCTCAGGTTCAAGTGATTCTCCTGCCTCTGTCTCCTGAGTAGCTGGGACTATAGGCGCGCGCCACCACGCCGGGCTTTTTGTATTTTTGGTAGAGACGGGGTTTCACCATGTTGGCCAGAATAGTCTGCATCTCCTGACCTCGTGATCTGCCTGCCTCGGCCTCCCAAAGTGCTGGGATTACAAGCGTGAGCCACCGCTCCCGGCCTTATCCCCTGTATCTTACACTTCTAGTCTGACTGGGGAGTTGAAAACATATGACTTCTCACAGATTAGTTTTTTATTTTTTATTGTAAGCATAAGTGTTTTCTTCAAAGCTGCTCTTCTTTTTCTGTCAAATGCATCTTTATATCACTAAAATGAATTTGGGTTTGGGGAAGCGCCGCCATTTTTAACTTTTTTTTTTTTTTTTTTTTTTTTTTTGAGACAGAGTTTAGCTCTTTTTGCCCAGACTGGAGTGCAATGGCGTGATCTCGGCTCACTACAACCTCCACCTCCCAGGTTCAAGTGATTCTCCTGCCTCAGCCTCCCGAGTAGCTAGGACTATAGGTGCACGCCACCACACCTGGCTAATTTTTGTATTTTTAGTAGAGATGGGGTTTCTCCACGTTGGTCAGGCTCCGGACCTCAGGTGATCCGCCCCCCTCAGCCTCCTAAAATGTTGGGATTACAGGCGTGAGCCACTGCATCTATCTGTCCTTTAACGTATTTTTAATTGAAATATTGACGAGATAAAAATAAACAACGTAAAAATCATACTGCTTAAGGGAACCTTTAAGGAGCCTTACCAACTGTGGTATAACTATTAATAGTTCAAAGAAATTACATTATCTAGGTTACTTGCAATGGAAGTTGAGTTACTCGCTTCACCTAAACAAGGAAGTTGGCATGTTTGCCTAGCAACAGTCGCTAAAACCTTCTGTTGTGGAAGGTTCCCTAGGAGTGAGAAGAAGGGAGGAGGAGGAAAAGCAGGAGGAGCAGATTAATCTGTTTTTCCTAGCAGGGTACAGAGGCCTGGTCTGAGAAGGGAAAGGCTTTAAGAGATCCCTTTAGATTGGCACATGCTAACCTAAATCCCCCTGTGGTAGCTAGAAATTCACTCTCTGTAGGACTGGGGTTACTATTTAGTAGGCTGAAAAGACGATTACAGATTAAACCCAGTTCAGAGGCAGCAAATTCCAATCAGTGGAAAGACAACAATAGGTCTTCTAAACAGAAGCTGAGATCTCAGTAGCAGGAGGGTGCTAACAACTAAAAAGAATTCTTCTCTGCCAAGAGTTTAGGAAGGTGTGTGATATTTCTTAAAAATAATACAAAAACACTATCTGTGATAGCGATTCCAATGTATCAAGTTAAAGGCAGAAGTGCTTCTCTTGGGGTACTGTGATGTAAACAGTGAAGAAAGGACAGAAAAACATAATCTCTGCTCTCTTGGTCAAATCCTGAAGCAAAAAAGGTGATAGCGCCGAGTAGAGGTATTAAATGGTTGTTTATTTGGGGACTCTCTCTCTCCTCTATTCTAGATGATTTATTTTGAAATTAGTACTGTATGGTGTTACAATAATCCCATTTCTTCCCCTTCTCAAAAGCGAGGGTTTGGCTAAAATGAATTGTCTGAAGGGACCTCCCATTCCCCAAAACCAAAACGGCACCTTTTCCACAAGGGACAAGAAACTTTTAAAGAGTCGCAAGGTTAGATTTCAGGAGCCCTTCTATGGGCCATATCTTTTCCTGTCGTCCCCAAATAGCTCTTATTGTTCACACAGCCCAGGAGAGACGTTTTGGAGTAGCGTGTCCGGGCCTTTTGGGCTGTTTCACAGCCTTAGGAGGCTGAACTCCCAGAGGGGTGACGAGGACAAAGCTGATGAGATCCAGAACCTGGATAATATGGAAGAAGAAAAATGGGGTGGGGGACAAGACGTGAAAAAGAAACAAGAGTTGGGGGACAACGGCTGAGAAAGCCGAAAGAGTAGACGTAGTGTGGGGTTCGATGGAAACGAAAGAAATTCCCCCAATTTACTCTCGCCATCTGGCCACTGGCCCGCTGAGCCCAAAGGCGCCGGTGCGGGAGGGCAGACCGGACCGAGGGACCGGTTCATCTGCTCAGGGCGTGTGAGACTTTCGGTCGCGGCGGAGAGCGTCGCCGGTCTCCCTCCGGGCGTTGGTGGCCGGTGACTCAGAGCTTTGCTCCCGCGCCCGCCCCTCCCCTCCGCCCGCCCCGCCTCCTGAGGGAGGATCCTCGCCCTCGTCTCCGCCCCAGTCTCCGGGGCGGGCCGGAGCCTGAGGAAGAGGAAGGGGACGAGGACAACGAGCGACTGGGCGGCGGAGGACGAGGAGGAGGAAGAGGAGGCCGAGCAACAAGATGGCCCCTGCTGCAGGAGCAGCCTCAGCAGCAGCAGGTGGGAGGCCGGAGGCGGTGCTGGCGGTGGCGGCGGCAGCCGTGGCCCGGCGGCCTGGGACAGAATCAGAGTCAACGGTGGCCTCGGCGGCGGCGGCGGCTGCCGCGGCGGTGGCGACGGCCGCGGGGACTCGGAGCTGAGAGGAGCTGCTGCTCGGACCAGCGCGGTGAGCGAGCGGCGGGCGGCGACTTGGGGAGCGGGGCTGCCGCGGCCGGGGCCTCAGTCGGGAACAATAGGCAGCTGTGGTCGGGAAGGGTTTGTCCTCGCCCGCCCTCTGCTCCTCCGCGGCAGCGGCAGCCCGGCCGGCCCCAGGCTCCTCAGGGCCCCCGCCGGCTGTTCTGGGGCTTGTCAGTGGCCGGCGTCCTTTAGGCCTCAGGCCTCTGCATGCCGCCTGTAGGGCCTGTCGGGGTAGGTAGGCCGAGAGGAGGACGAAGGGAGGCTCGGACGAGAGGGAGGGGGCGAAAGGGCTACCTGGCTCCTGTGGTACTCCCAGGGCCTGGGCCAGGCGGGGAATGCGCACGGGAACTGCTTTTTGGACCCCTAGTCTGTGGGGGTGGGGGAGGGCGAAGGCGTCTGTAAACAGGCGCCGCCTCGGCCTCCCAGCACCTCAGGGCTGCTTCCTCCCCCAGCCCCTGAAGCGCTCCCCTTCTTTGGCCAAGTGGATTTCACGGTGTCTGTTTCCCTGAAGTCCCTGGAGATCTAGCCTGGTAGTCTTCTCCCTGCTGGCGATGGGAAAATTGTGTGTGTGCAGGTGTCTTTAAAAAAAAAAAACAAAAAACTTAAATGCAACAAAAACATATAAAATGTGGTTATCGGTAAAGGATGGAGTGGTAAGGGATGCGCCTCTCTAAACATCTCTAAGTATCAGTTCTATAAACATCAGTTATGCCCGCATCCCAGGTGAGAGTGGATTGAAACAAGGGCTCTTTTGGAACAGTAATAACACAACTCTTGACATACCAGAATAGCCTATGAAACTGGAAACAAACACTGGCAACGCGGAGACAAACTGTAATGTTTAAAGAGGACTTTTATTCCAGCTAGGCGTTTTGAATTACTAACATGCAGTATAAGAAGCAACATTAACTAGCATAAAGTGGACCTCAGGAAGCACTTCGAAAGGAGACAGGTGGTTCATCTCCGGCCATAGAGCTTCTTGTGCCTTGTCTCGTGTTTCAGTAATTTTTCCTGAAATTGTTCAAGACCAGTCTTTTCTCTGAGTTTGAAATTTGATTTCGTTTTTGTTTTGTTTTGCGACGGAGTCTTGCTCTGTCACCCAGGCTGGATTGCAGTGGCACAATCTCGGCTCACTACAGCCTCCACCTCCCGGATTCAAGCGATTCTCCTGCCTCACCATCCGGAGTAGCTGGGATTACAGGCGCCCGCCACCATGCCCGGCTGATTTTTGTATTTTTAGTAGAGACGGGGTTTCACCATGTTGGCCAGGCTGGTCTGGAACTCCTGACCTCAAGTCATCTGCCCTCCTCCGCCTCCCAAAGTGCTTGGATTACAGGCGTGAGCCACCTCGCTCAGCCTTAAACTTAATTTTTCAAGGCTTCTACCACATTTTCTTACAAGTGAGGGAAAAGGTAGATTTATTTCTAAAGTACTTTCTACCTAGGTATGCAGAAATTTATATTAAAATCGCTTGGATACATCCAAGGAGATTGCTTTTCACTTGTTAACATTCAACTGCAAGGCCTAAGGGTTATAGGTTGTGTTCTTTTCAGCACTGACCTGTGCTGAAAAGATGCCAGTTAATATCTTTCACCTCTTCTAAGGGTAAATTTCTAAGTAGAATTGGTCCAAGTCTGTTCTAATTAAAAACATTATAAGCAGCACTAGTCTAGTTCTTAGTTCTTCCACAACAATTGACACTGAATAGATTAGCAATTGAATAAACATAAAGGTTGAATTTTCTTGTTTAGGATTTGAAGTATAGTGAATGAATATCAATACTGACCTTCATTTTATGCTTAGCATAAATAATGTTGGAGATGTTTTGATTTTTTGAATGATGGAGAAATAACAACTTTCTATGGCTCCTGATGTTGTGACTTTTTTGCAGATATTTCAGAAAGGACACCGTTTTTCAGGTGCTCAAATCTGTGATTTTTTTTTTTTTTCTGTGCTAATTTTGTTAGGTCAGCACAGATTCCAAGTAAAGTCTGTGTTATAATGATACTTAAATTTATGTATGGCCCTAAACCTATTAGAACAATTGTAGTAATTTATAGGTTGTAAGTTTTAAGTGGTTCATGTGCTGTGTTATGAAAACAATCTCACCGTGTTATGTCAAGGGCAGATTTACCTCATATTTAATATCATTTTCCTGAAAATAAATATTTTTAAGTGGTAAGGTTTTGTATTTCAGATTGGTTATTGACCCAGCAATTTATGGGCTTAGTCTGGGTCCGTATTTCTGTTCAATAGGAAAAAAATTTAGGGAATTGTTTTTATTTATTTTGTGTCAAAACAGTTTTAAGTTTTGACACAAACTCAACTGTCCCTTCTTCAGTATCAATACTTATTACTTAAGTTCACATTTTCTCAGGTAATAAAAATTTACTTCTAAGAAGTTTTGGAACCAGAGCTTAAGAATTAGATTTATATTTTCTTGGTAATATTAAAAGTTAATATATGCTTGATTTATTTGAAGAAATAAAAAAGGGTAATTTGTACACAACGCCTTTCAGAACATATTTGTTGAATGAATAAAAATATTTAAGCTTCCTCATTATGCTGCAGTATTAGTTCTGTTGTCCTCATTTTTTCATATGAAGAATGTGAAGCTAAGAGTAGCTATGTAACCAGCAAAAAGATCACATAATTAATAGGTAAAAGAGCTTACTCAGACTCAGATCTTGTGACACAAATTAGATTCTTTGCCACTACCACATGTGTCACAGTTAAACTTTGAAGCATCTTCTGTGTTGACAGATTCCTTTTTTTGCCTGTGAACTTACCCTATTATCATTATTTGTATCCTGTCAGATATCTACTTGTAAGACCAAGAAAGTATTTGTTCATGTGAATCACAAAAGAAACACTTAAATTTTTGTTTTTAGCATATCTGAATGCTATAAAATATAAAAACTCATACTGTTTACATAGGACAGATTTATCATACTGCTGTAATTGTTTTCATGGTTAATTTGTTACATAGGCAATTACTAAATTGTGCCTTTGAAATACTTTATAAATTTTTTTAAATAATTAAAGATATTCAATGATGTTAAAGTTGGGTCAGCTAATATTTGAAGTTCTTAATTTATAATTTTTTTTCTTTAAGCCATAGATAATTTAGAATTCTGCAGTATTTTTCATCTCCAGATCTTAGGGCTTGAAATGGATTCTGATGGGTCTAATCAGTCCACTCTTGCATATATCTTGAAAATGGTCAGCATCCAACAAAGTGAAGAATAAACTGATAAATGATCCCTGTTTGGTGAACACCTCAGATCAGGATGTTCCTTGGCAGGGTATTCTGACCTGGTTTAGCTTTGGCCCCGTCTGTGCTCAGGGTTCAGGTATTCTGCAGGATTGGGTTCAGAGGGATTAAAATTCTCAGATTGGCCTGTATCAAAACAGTCACAGATTTTGGTCAGCCTTTTCCCAGAACCGTCTCCAAGATTTTTTCTTTTGTGTAATTCTGGAATCTAGGCTGGATTTGGACTAGCTTTAGAGGTTATGATAAAAGATTAATTTTGTCAGGCATTTATACAAAGGAGGTTTTCTTACTACAGAGTTTCTTAAGGTAGATTCCTTCTATTTTTGAAGTGTGACATTTACCAATCTGAAGTAATGTTGCCCTACATCCCCCAGACACTTAACTTTAGCATATTTATTTCTGTCCATTTTTGGTCAGGATTGTGCCTGTTTACTTATATAATATTCTTGTTTACTTTTTGTTTATTAGATACTTCTTATTAGTTTATATTGTTTTCCTGATTGAGGCTTGGGGAAAGAATTTTCCTCAAATTTAAAGTCACCTTACTTATTTGCAGATGTATGTCAGAGCAATATTCTTTTGACAGTTATCAAGCATTTTAGCAATGCTGTATGTATATATTATGAATGAATGACAGAGTCACTCATGGTCTGTCACCCAGGCTGGAGTGCAGTGGCATTATCATAGCTCACTTCAGCCTCAAACTCCTTGGTTTAAGTGTTATTCCCGCCTTACCTGGCTACTTTTTTTAATTTTTATTATTTTTATAGAGATAGCATTTTGCTGTGTTGCCCAGGGTGGTCTCAAACTCCTGGGAGCAAGGTGATCCTCCCACTTCTGCCTCCCAAAGTGCTGAGATTACAGGCATAACAATGTTTTAAACTGACACTGGTATACCTTCACTGATTATTACTGTGCACATGTGGTAATAATTTAACTTATAAGTGCATTTTATCTAAAAAATTTCCAAGATCTAAATAGCATTTGAACATGGTAGCAGTTTTTTTTTTTTTTTTTTTTTTTTTTTGAGCAAGAAAAGAGTTCTAAAGGGGTCAGTTTTATCTACAGATTAACATAATTTTTTTTATTGAGGTTAAGTCACATAACATTAACCATTTTAAAGTAAACAGTTTAGGTGGCACTTTATACATTCACAATGTTGTTCAACCACCAGCTCTAATTCCAGAATGTGTTCATTACCCCAAAAGGAAACACTGTACCCATTAAGCAGTTACTCTGTATTCCCCTCTTCCCTAATCCCTAGCAAACGCCATTCTGCTTTCTGTCTCTAATTTGAGCCAACATCGAGGAAGAGTACTCTGTACAATTGAAATTGCAGAAAAAACTTTGGGATGTGATTGTTAGGAATAAAAAACCACCTAATTCTTTGCATGCTTCTCTAAGTACAGTAGACATGCTGCCAGGGACTCTTTATGGAAGAAAAGTTGAGACTCATAGAAGTTTGCAGTTTTGTTTTGATCACCCCAGAGGGTTTTGCTCAAACTCTTAGACTCATTTGTATTTCTTCATTGGGTTATAAGAACTAAAATTTAATGTTCTATACAAATGTGAACAACTAATACTTGGTCTCCTATCTAGAACTTGTTTGCCTTTTAGGTTTTCTTAATGTATAGAAGAAACTAGGAATATTCACAAAGGATTTATTTGAAGTTACACTGGGAAACGATTTTTAGAATTTGAAGCTCTTTGATCCCTGTGAATCTAACTTTATGACTATTTTATTCAGCTAATCTTTGAGAATATTTAGAGTTTTGATTTGCGTGGCACTCTGCTTTTAATCCCTTGTTGAATAAGTGTTAGAAACCTTGATCTTGGCCCTATACCTGATCACCTCTAAAAACATGAACAGTGTTACAAAGGCAGTTGTTTAGTAAGCTTTTTTGGATTGTTTTAATTGGCTGACTGAGGGAGACAAAATTAGTTTTTTTTTTTCTTTCTAGAATAAAGGGTAATAAACTTGGACTTTAGAGTTACTGCTAAGATTGACATTTCCATTTGGGGCTTTAGAAATATATTGTTATCTTAAATTCAAAATGGTACTTTATCTAATTGAATTGAAATCTTAAAATTTATGAGAAACAAAAGTCACTTTATGTTCTTAGTAAATATTTCTAATGGGGTTATAGGAGATCTAAGTACAAAAAAAATTTAAAATTTTGTTATTAATCTCCCCTCCTTAAGGAAAATTTTATTAATATACATAATTATAATTTAGTTATAAGAACAACTTAAGTTGAGTACAGTGGCTCAAGCCTGTAATCCTAGCACTTTAGGAGGCCAAGGCAGGAGGATCTCATGAAGCCAGGAGTTCCAGACCAGCCTGGGCAATAGAGTGAAACCCCACCTCAAAAAAAAAAAAAAAAAAAAGGAAACTTAAAAAATGATAAGGAAAAGGATTATGTCAGAATATTTAGAACTCTGCAGTAAAATTTCTGGTTTTCTGTAATTTTTTTCAGGAAAATGTCAACTTTTTGTAAATACATGTTTCTGTGTTTTTATATATGCCTCATTAATTTTTTAGACTAACATTTAGTGGAAAGCTAATGTACTCAATTAATACATTTAAATTATAAAAATAACTTTTTTTTTGAGACGGAGTCTTGCTCTGTCACCCAGGCTGGAGTGCAATGGCATGATCTCGGCTCACTACAACCTCTGCCTCCTGGGTTCAAGCAATTCTTGTGTCTCAGCCTCCCAAGTAGCTGGGATCACAGACTCATGCCACCATGCCCGGCCAAATTTTGTATTTTCAGTAGAGATGGGATTTCACCACGTTAGCCAGGCTGGTCTTGAACTCCTGATCTCAGGTGATCTACCTGCCACGGCCTTCCAGAGTGCTGGGATTACAGACATGAGCCACTGCACCCGGCCGAACTTTTATCTTGAAGTAGATAGTGTCAACAAATACAAAAATAAAAATAATGTCTTTAAATGAGGTGATGTTTAGAGCTATATCCATGAAAAATATGGGATAGGCTAGGAGGCGGTGACTCATACCTATAATCCCACCACTTTGGGAGGCCGAGGTGGCAGGATCACTTGAGGCCAAGAGTTCCAGACCAGCCTGGCTAACATAGTGAGACCCCATCTGTATTAAAACATATATATATATATATAAAATATGAGGCCAGGTGCAGTGGCTCACGCCTGTAATCCCAGAACTTCGGGAGGCTGAGGCGGGTAGGTCACAAGGTCAGGAGTCGAAGACCAGCCTGGCCAAGATGGTGAAACCCCATCTCTACTAAAAATACAAAAAAATTAGCCGGGCATGGTGGCAGGCACCTGTAATCCCAGCAACTCAGGAGGCTGAGGCAGAGAATTGCTTGAACCCAGGAGGCGGAGGAGGTTGCAGTGAGCTGAAATCATGCCACTGCACTCCAGCCTGGGCGACAGAGCGAGACTTGTCTCAAAAAAAAAAAAAGTGTAGTGGAAAACTTTTGAATGAAACAGAATCACTAAATTCTTAGCTTTATTATAGAACAGTATTTAATTTGTCCAGGTCTCAGTTTAGATTAAGAAGTAGGCCAAAAAAAAAAAAAAGGCCTATAATTATCAGAAAAATTAATGAACTAAATCATCTGCACTAACATATTGGTTTAGAAGTTCTCTTGCTTTGTACATAATTCAAGGAATTTGATTATCTATTTTCTCGTCCCACAGCAGATTAAAAGGTGCAAATTAGATGTTGGAGTAGAGCCATATAGGTAGGATGGAGGGCCAGCTGGGTGGCAGGAAAAAAGTCACATTAGCCTGAGGCTGTTTAAAATAGGGACAGCAGTTACCTATACAACACCTCATTAGACTCTGAGTATATCATTAACTGTTATATTGTGCTATATATAAAGTATTGCTCCTGATGGAAAATTCATTGTGGGAAAATTATGTTTGTAATTTTGGGAATCATAAACATATATACAGTAGAGTGGTGTATATTAGAATATAGACCTCGCTAAAAAAAATAGAACATACACTTTGGAGTCCAGTATATCTAGGTTCTCATCTTCTATGACTTAAGCATTATAATTCCTCATCTCTAAAAACAGAAATGGTAATACTTTTATCTAAAGGTTGTTTGGAAATGTAAATAATAATATCTTTAGTATAGTACCTGACACCTTTAATGAATGTTATTTTCCTCCTTAAATTCTGTTTAACAAAAATTAGAAAGATATTCATCCAGAATATTTTTGATCAAGTTCTACTGTAAAATGTTAATATAGAAGCTACATATAAAACCTTATATAGTTTAGGGTTAACTGTATGTGTACTTTTGGGAGTGGTAGTCAGAAATGAAGTAATTCTTCATATGCCATTCTCATTTTCTTCCCACATCAGTCTATTTATATGGGCCTATGCTGTTCAATACTGGCCACTAACTATATGTGGCTATGTAAATTTGAGTTTTTTGAAAGATTTTTTTTTTTAGAACAGTTTTGGATTTACAGAAAAATTGCTCAAAAAAATACACAGTTCCCATTTATACTGTCCCCCACGGTTTCCTCTGTTAGTATCTTGCATTAGTGTGGTGTGTTGGTTATCACTGAGGAACCAGTGTTGATACATTATTAACTAAAGTCCATAGTTCACATTAGGATTCACCCTTTGTGTTGGACAGTTCTATGGGTTTTGCCAAATGCATAACATTATACATCCACTATTCTAGAATCGTGCAGAATGGTTTCATTGACCTAAAAATGTCCCATGTTCCACTTACTCATCTCTGCCTCATCCCTCTGAACCTCTGGCTACCACTGATCTTTTTACAGTCATAGTTTTACCTTTCCAGAATGTCATGTGGTTGGAATCATAGTATATAGTCCTTTCAGACTGGCATCTTCACTTAACAATATGCATTTAGGTCTCTTCGTCAGTATCTTCTTCTTTTGTTTTTGTTTAAAATAGAGATTGGTCTTGAACTCCTGGGCTCAGGCAGTGCTCCTGCCTTGGCCTCCCAAAAGTGCTGGGATTATAGGCGTGAGCCACTGTGCCTGGCCCTCTTCATGTCTTTTCATGGCTTCACAGTTTATTTATTTTACTGCTTAATAATATTCCATTGTGGCTGAGCATGGTGGCTCACGCCTGTAATCCCAGCACTTTGGGAGGCCAAGGATCACGAGGTCAGGCGATCAAGACCATACTGGCCAACATGGTGAAACCCTGTCTCTACTAAAAATACAAAAATTAGCCACACGTGGTGGTGTGAACCTATAGTCCCAGCTGCTTGGGAGGCTGAGGCAGGAGAATCGCTTGAACCCAGGCGGCGGAGGTTGCAGTGAGCTGAGATCGCGCCACTACACTCCAGCCTGGCGACAGAGTGAGACCGTGTCTCAAAAAATATATATATATAATAATAATAATATTCCATTGTATGGATACATTTAAATTTTATTTAAAATTTAATTCCTCCGTCTCACCAGCACATTTCAAGGGCTCAATAGCCACATGTACCTAGTGGCTACCATATTGGAAAGCACTGATATATATGATTCCCCCAAGGTTCAATTCTCCACTTCCATTCACTCTCATGGAGAACTTTCCTGTTTATATGATCTCAGTTTTTCCTCAAGCCTACATTTTCAATGCATTATCTATTTTGTTTTGTTGCTTGTACTATCAGCAACCCTCAATTGGTTATTTAAAATCCTTTACTCCCCCAAAGAACCATTATTTTCAAATGTTGTCCATTATAGTATGGTTTCCTAGGTTTTCCATCACAGCATCATCTCTTTTTAGTCTGCTCTTCTTTTTTTTAATTTTCTAAAATTTTATTTTGTTTTTGATCCTTCTTTTTTTAAAGAATTTATGTTGCAGCATTCTATAATAGTCTGATCCTTTTTGTCCTTAAACTCTGGAATCATCTTTTTGTTTTTTATTTTCCTCTAAACCTTTTGAATATTTAGCAGAGGTGTGCAGATCTCAGCACTAATAAATGGCAGAGTTGGTATTAGAATCTAGATCTCCTTATTCTAGTTCTTTCTTTTCTTTTCTTTTCTTTTTTTTTTTTTGAGACAGAGTCTCACTCTTGTCGCCCAGGCTGGAGTGCAGTCGCGTGATCTTGGCTCACTGCAAGCTCTGCCTCCTGGGTCCACGCCATTCTCCTGCCTCAGCCTCCCGAGTAGCTGGGACTACAGGCGCCCGCCACCACACCCGGCTAATTTTTTTGTAGTTTTAGTAGAGACAGTGTTTCATCATGTTAGCCAGGATGGTCTCGATCTCCTGACCTCATGATCCGCCTGCCCCGGCCTCCCAAAGTGCTGGGATTACAGGTGTGAGCCACTGTGCCCGGCTCTAGTTCTTTCTTGGGATCACCACTATTTGGGGCTACTTTTAGAAGTTATTTTGAAGAGGGTATTGGAGACTGATTATGTATTATGTGATTTAAAATATCTTTATAAGTTAAATCTATAGAAGCTATAGCTATAGATTTCATAAACATATTATTTATAATTCTTTAAACAATTAGAAACTAAAATGAGGAAATTTATCCTAATCAGCTAAATAGCTGATTCTCTCGATGCAAAAATATTTGTCCCTTCATATGTTACCTATTTTTTTTTTTGAGACAGAGTCTCACTCTGTTGCCCAGGCTAGAGTGCAGTAGAGGGATCAGGGCTCACTGCAGCCTTGACCTCCCAGGCTCAAGTGATCCACTCACCTCAGGCCACCCCTGCCACCTCATCCCCACCTGGTAGCTGGGACTACAGGTGCGTGCCAGCACACCCTGCTAATTTTTGTATTTTTTGTAGAGACGGCGTCTTGCCGTGTTGCCCAGGCTGGTCTCGAACTTCTCGGCTCAAGCTATCTATCTGCCTCAGTCTCCCAAACTGCTGGGATTAGTCATGAGCCACCGTGCCTGGCTGTGACCCATTTTAGATGACAAAAACTAATTTTCAATGCTAATACGAATTGGTTGTTAAAGGTGAATATAATTAAACTGAACATTATTGGCATCCTAAATCCTTTATTGGCCATAATTTACCTTTGGATTCTATTCAAACTACACTTTGATCTGTAGAACCCAAATTGGTTACTATATGAACTTGCATCTTCCTAAACTCATCATGTTAAAAATTTTCACAGCTTGAAAAATGGAGGTCCTCATATCAGTCTCTTGATTTTCTTTTGAGGTAAGCTGTCCCTCTGTGCTTAGTCCTTGACTAAAAATAATCGTACTGCTTATGGTCTTGATTTGACTTTTCTGTATACTGGTTACACTGGCTCAAAAGTCCATTTTTGTGGAGACTCTTAAAAAGTAGTAGTCTTCCACATTCAAGTACTGTACTTGAAAAAAAAAAACCTGGATTTCAGCTTTCATTTAGAAATGCTTTCCCTGTAATTACTACTTTTAAAACCCATATTTTATATGTCAATTTTTACATTAATTACCCCATTGATAGCAGTTTTTGAATGGTTTTAGTTAAAACTGTCAATCTTCTTTGCTTGAATCTAGCCTCTCATTAAGTTTATCAAAAACTTTAAAAAGTAAATGTAAGACTCTTCATATAGTGTTTTTTTTTTAATTGAGTTATGGATTCTTTGGATTTATTCATTATCTGAGTTAGTTTTTTCAGAAATGTCTTCTTATTTTGTAGGTCTGTGGTTGATGAAAACCTGTTCATGAGGGCACAAAAGACTCTTCCAGTTTATTCTATCACTATAAAATAGAATTTGATGGATTTCGAAGTAAGAAAATTCTTAGAATAGAAAATAGGATGGTAAATCTTTAAATGCATATGAGTAATTAGAATATCATAAGGCTAGTACAGATAATATTCTTACAAAGGCATCCATAAATAGTGAAGTGGTAGCACCTATTCCCCCATGATTGACATTCATTAATTAATCCATTGTACCCAGAGTTTTAAGATGAAAAGCTTTAAGTACCTTCTTCCCCTCATGAGTAATCACTCCTCAGTGAACATACTATATGCTTATTGCCATTTGAATATCCTTTTCTGTTCAAGTGTATCATCCTTTTTAAAAATTGAGTTGTCATGGAAGAATTTGATGTAGGTAAGTGACTATCAGCTGTGAGGAAGGTAGAGGAAGGCAAGAACTATCCTGAGGACAGAGATCAGTTAAACCGTTGCTGTGTGGTCAGGTGTGATGGCTCACTGGGAGGCCGAGGCAGGAGGATCGCTTGAGTCTAGGAGTTTGCAACCAGCCTGGGCAATATTGTGAGACCTCGTCTATAAAAAAAATTAAAAAAACAGCCAGGCATGATGGCGCATGCCTGTAGTCCAGCTACTGGGGAGACTGAGGTGGGAGGATTGCTTGAGCCTGGGAGGTCGAGGCTGCAGTGAGCTCTGATCATGCTACTGCATTCTAGCCTGGGTGACAGAGTGAGACCTTGTCTCAAAAATTAAAAAAAGAAAAAAGGTTGCTTTGTGATCTAGGTGATAAGACTGTATTCTGTATGAGAGCAAGGACTTTATTTCATTCAGGACTATATCAGTTTCTGGGACACTGGCACGTAGTAGATGCTCAATAAGTAGTTTTTGAATGAATGACTAAGGGCCTCAATCAAGAAAGTGGAGATGAAAAGGAAATTATAGATACAAGAGGTAATTTATTATTATCATTTTACTTATTTTTAATTTTTGTGGGTACACAGTAGGTATGTATATTTATGGAAGATTTTTTTTTTAATGGAAGATAAAAGTGAGGACATCAGGCATGATTACCAGAAATGTGCATTGTCTAGTGGTATCACTAAAGAAAGATTACAGAAGGAATCACCAGCTCAAAAATAAGAATAAATTTAGTTGCCAAGTGACCATCATATTACCTAACATCTCTGTTACAGTGTTCTTGGCCCTAAAATTAATAATGAGACCAAATAGGCTCATTGCGAGGACGAAGTGTTTGCATGTGATCCGCATAAAAGACTTCCTGGCACATAGAGTGTACTCAAAAATAGTTAAAGATAGAAACAAAAATCTGTTTGTTTTTGAGACTGAGTCTTGCTCTGTGGCCCAGGCTATAGTGCAGTGGCACGATCTCGGCTCACTGCAACCTCTGCCTCCCGGGTTCAAGTGATTCTCGTGCCTCAGCCTTCCAAGTAGCTGAGACTACAGACGCGTGCCACCATACCCAGCTAATTTTTTGTGTTTTTGGTAGTGACGGGTTCACCATGTTGGCCGGGCTGGTCTTGAACTCCTAACCTCAAGTGATCTGCCCACCTTGGCCTCCCAAAATGCCGGGATTACAGACATGAGCCACCATGCCTGGCCCACTTTTAAGGAGCTAATATTTCAGTATCGATGGGTATACACTGTAACAAAATAAATATGAAACACAGATGTTGGATGAGAAGTATTATTGAGAAAAATTAATCAGGAAAGAGATGGGAAGCATGCAGTTTAACATGTGGTTGGATAGCAGAGGGCTGGGGAGGGATTGAGATTGGGGCATCTATTTGAAATAAGGTGATCAGGGAAGGCCTTCTCTGAAGGAATTCATATATTAATGCCTATACAGAAGTGGGGAGAAGGTTCAGGGTTGGAGGAAGAGTAGGACAAACTATGTTCTTAACCAGGGTCCCTGTTTTTACCAAGCAATAAATAGACTTATCTGTTTATTGTGCAATCCACAGTGGTTAGACTTATCTCAACCTTTCATTTCCTCTTCCCTATAACATGCACACTATACAAACCTAAGCGTGAATTTAATCCCTGAAAGATCATCATTACATATTTTGGAGGAAGTGTCATATTTGATTCTGATACAGCAGCAGCCAGTCAGTAGGTTCTCTAACATTAGCAGCTACTTGGGAATCAGCAAAACATCTCTTTTTTTTTTTTTTTTTTTTTTCAGACAAAGTCTCACTCTGTTGCCTAGGCTGGAGTGCAGTGGTACGATCTTGGCTCACTGCAACCTCCGCCTCCTGGGTTTGAGTGATTCTCCTGCCTCAGCCTCCCAAGTAGCTGGGATTACCGGTGCCCGCCACCACGCCTGGCTAATTTTTGTGTATTTAGTAGAGATGGCGTTTCGCCATGTTGGTCAGGCTGGTCTCAAACTCCTGACCTCAGGTGATCTGCTGGCCTTGGCCTCCCAGAGTGCTGGGATTACAGGTGTGAGTCACCACACCTGGCCAGAACATCCCCTTTTACAATTTAATTTCTGTTTCAAACCGCTTTATATAAAGATAAAATAATAATACAGTATAAACAAGATACATTGTGGCTATAGGATTCTGTGTTTGGAGTTCATGTAGCAATTTTTTCGTTCTTTTAAACCCTTCAAAATGGAATTTTGCTTGCAATAGTAGTTGAGAAATAATTCTAAAATGGAAAATGAATCAGCTCCTCCTCTTCCTCCTTCTCCCTCCTCCTCCCTTCCCCTCTTCTGCTTCTTCCTCTGCTGCTGCTTCTGCTTCCTTCTTTCTTCTTTTCTAAGCACTGTTTTTCAAGTATCTGCAATTAAAAGTCTCTGTGACATTGTTTTCTGGAAATAGTTTGAATTCTAGGAGGCATATTTCAAAACAAAACAAAGTAATGAAATGTCCTTAAGACCTAAGAGATTATGGGGAAATACATTTTAAAAATATTGATGTTATTGCTATTATTAAATATACTAGGTTTTTAATGCAAATAAAATTTCTAGGTCAGAATATATAATTAGATATGTACCTGTTGTGAATACATCTACATGTTTCTAGAATTAGTCAGAACATGATGGCAGCCACCAAATGCCACAAGGAAGTCTAAAGCACAGGATCATAGGGAAAAAGAAATAGAAGCAAGTAATAGGAGACTATTAGTGTGTGACACATATGCTGTGTGATGCATACACTGTTTTCTTGAGTAAAGAGGAGATTTTTGTCTACTTTTTTTATTGACACTCATTTTTGTTCCTTCCAGTTCAACATGAGAAATCTGCTGCATTCAAAATCTACAAGTCATCATTGCTCCAAAAATAAGTTCACAAAGGGTAGCTTCCTAACTGTGATCATTTTAACTGGAGTGCTTTGTAACAGTTTAAAATGTAGTAAATGCTGGGAAAAAAAATCTAACAAAAATAATGTTGTGTGGGCCGGACGCGGTGGCTCACACCTGACATCCTACTGATCTGGGAGGCTGAGGTAGGAGGATCACTTGAGGTCAGGAGTTTAAGACCAGCCTGGGCAATATAGCCCATGTCTACAAAAATTGTAAAAAGTTGCCCGGCATGGTGGCCCATGCTCATAGTCCCAGCTCCTCAGGAGGCTGAGGTGGGAGGGTCGTTTGAACCCAGGGGTTTGAGGCTGCAGTGAGCCATGATCATGCCACTGCACTCCAGCCTCGGTGATAAAGCAAGACCCTGACTCAAATAACAACAACAACAAAACATTGCATGAAAGAAGCCAAGTACAAAAGAATACATACTGATGATTCCGTTATATAGATTTTTTTTTTTTTTGAGATGGAGTCTCGCTCTGTCGCCCAGGCTGGAGTGCAGTGGAGTGATCTCGGCTCACTGCAAGCTCCGCCTCCCGGGTTCACGCCATTCTCCTGCCTCAGCCTCCCGAGTAGCTGGGACTACAGGCGCCCGCCACCACGCCCGGCTAATTTTTTTGTATTTTTAGTAGAGATGGTGTTTCCCCGTGTTAGCCAGGATGGTCTCAATTTCCTGACCTCGTGATCTGCCTGCCTTGGCCTCCCAAAGTGCTGGGATTACAGGCGTGAGCCACTGCGCCTGGCCTGTTATATAGAATTTTAAACCGGGCAAAACTAACCTATTGTGTTAGGAGTTGGGATAGTAGTGATATTTGGGGAAGAATAAAGGAGTAATCATTGGGAGGGATAGTGAGGGGGGGCCTTTTGAGATGCTGATAATGTATGTCTTAAGTATGCAGGTATGCTCACTTTGTGATAATTCGTTGAACTGAACACTCTTGATCTGTATGTATGTTATACTTCATCTTAAAATATCAGTAAGGCGTCTTAAGATATATGATTCATTTTATTTTAGTTCCCTTCTCATTTCTCAGTGAAATATTTTAATAAAATCTTCAAGACAGAGTTATCCTTTTGGTTCTGTTCAAAAGGAATACAGTAGTTGCTGCTACAACCTAATTTTTTCTTTTTAATAAACAAGTAGGTTTAAACAGTTCCAGAGTTCCTACTTAAAACCAGTCATGCTCAGATTAAACCCAAAACAGGCATCATTTAATTTATATCTTTAATTATGGCTGACTAATGATTATTAAAAAGTATAATAAAAAGTTACAAGTGCTCAAAGTTGGAAGGCATGGTGTTATAGTGGAAAAAATACAGGTTTTGGAGTCAGATAGATGTGGGTTCAAATTATGACTAAATCACTAAGTTAGCTGAGTAACTGAGTTTTCTTTCCTTCCTTCATCAGTAAAGTAGAGGTAATAATATCTATGTCAGAAGGTTGTTGGAAAGGTTAAATGAGATAGTGATTGGCAGTCAAACGCCCTTCTTTTCCTCCTACAGTTTCAAGATAGAGAAAATATTTGGGGAGTATATGAAGATAGTTGTAGGTAGGTAAAAAAGTATAACTTGCTGAAGATGACCAACCTTAGCTAATGATGGTAAAGAACAGTCTTTATTTATTTATTTACTTATTTATTTATTTTGAGATGGAGTTTCGCTCTTGTTCCCAGGCTGGAGTGCAGTGGCGTGATCTAAGGTCACTGCAACCTCCACCTCCTAGGTTCAAGCAATTCTCCTGCCTCAGCCTCCCAAGTAGCAGGGATTACAGGCACCCACTACCATGTCTGGCTAACTTACTGTATTTTTAGTAGAGACGGGGTTTTGTCATGTTGGCCAGGTTGGTCTTGAACTCCTGACCTCAGGTGATCCACCTGCCTTGGCCTTCCAAAGTGCTGGGATTACAGGCATGAGCCACCGCGCCCGGCCAGGAATGGTCTTCAGATTGTCACCAGTAAGGACTAACAACATCTAACTTGGAAACACATGAAACATTATCAGTATTAAGAGTTAGTAATGCTACTTTGGCTCATCAACATAGAGGACTGTTGCATGGATCACAGCTTAAGTATGTTGAGCTGGATTATGATACATTTTAGATAGGTTTAAATTAAGCACAAATGGTAAATATTTTTAAGTCAAGAGGGGTTCATTGCCCATGTTGTGCTTTGAAAATGTATCCTTTTGCTTTTCTGTTACTGATAATTTATGATGCAGGATTGAGGAGCCAAATTTAGGCATGTTGTGTTTGTGAAGGTCCGTCAGTATCTTTGTGATTTTTAGAGCCTAAAAAAAGATAAATATGTTCTGTCAAAAAGGTTATGATTCAATTGAGACAATCTTTCAAATTCCTACATCAATATTATATGTTTTCTCAAAAGACTATAATGAAATTTATATATGTAAAACTATCTTAATTATATAATCACCAGATAATCTATTATTAAATAACAAACCACTCTAAAATTTAGCTGCTTAAAACAACCGTTTTATTCGCTTACAATTCTGTGAGTCAGCAATTTGGACTGAGTTTAGTTTGGTAGTTCTGCTAGTCTCCCCTGAGGCCACTTGTGTAGCTACAATCATCTGACAGCTCAAATTAGGACTGGTTTTAGGGATCTGAGCTATTATAAAACAGCTCTTCTTTGTTTCATGTACTCTTGTCCTCAGACAAGCTAGTTCAAGCTTCCTGCAAAGTCTCTTGAGACCTAGGCTCTGAAACTCTCCCAGCATCACTTCTGTTGCATGCAACTGTTGAAAGTAAGTCAGGGCCACCCAGGTTGAAGGATGGGGGAAATAAACCCCATGTCACTATTTTCTCTATGGTTTTTAATACTTAGGAAGCTGTCCTATATATGTTAGCAAATCCATCAAGCTGGAGTATTCACGTATTCTCTAATAGAAAGTCAACTGACTCCTGTCCCCCTGCCCACCCCCCTCTAAAAAAAAGCTTTTGGGCTAGTGGGAAACTGTTGGGGAAGAAACCTAGGGCCTTTGCATGTTACTCTGAATGGTAAGACCCTATCTTCCCTGGCAGCTTCCCATTAGCCCGATAGACTTTTTTCTTTTCTCTCTTTTGTGATCTTGGCTCACTGCAACTTCCGCCTCCTGGGTTCAAGCAATTCTCCTGCCTCAGCCTCCCTAGTAGCTGGGATTACAGGCACCTGCCACTATGCCCAGCTAATTTTTTTTTTTTTTTTTGTATTTTTAGTAGAGATGGGGTTCCACCATGTTGGTCAGGCTGGTCTCGAACCCCTGACCTCAGGTGATCCACCTGCCTTGGCCTCCTGGAGTGCCTGGATTATAGGCATGAGCCACTGCCCCTGGCCCTGCCAAGTGACATTCTCTTAGAGAACACATAAATACTCCAGCTTGATTGATTTGCTAACCTATATAGGATAACATACGTATTTGTGTATTAAAACCATAGAGAAAATAGGGCCAGGCACAGTGGCTCACGCCTGTAACTTCAACAATTTTGGAGGCTGAGATGGGAGAACACTTGAGCCCAGGAGTTTGAGACTAGCCTGGGCAACATTGTGAGATCTCATTTCTACTAAAAATTTTTAAAAAACTAACCAGGTGTGTTGGTGCACACCTATAGTCCTGGCTACTTGGGAGGCTGAGGTAAGAGGATCACTTAAGCCCAGAAGGGTGAGACTTGAGGCTGTAGTGAGCAGTGATTGTGCTGCTGACTCCAGTCTGGATGACAGAGCAAGACCCTGTCTCAAAAAATAATAAAAATAAAAATAAATAATATATAATTAATAATATATAATTATATATGATATATAATAATATATCATATATATAAAATAATTTTAAAAGAAAGATTAAAAAAACTTCAGTGACTGAGTGACATACCAGTTACTGTGATAAAAGCATGGGGAATTGCCGGGCGCAGTGGCTTATGCCTGTAATCTCAGCACTTTGGGAGGCCGAGGTGGGCGGATCACAAGGTCAGGAGATCAAGACCATCCTGGCTAACACGGTGAAACCCCGTCTCTACTAAAAATACAAAAAATTAGTAGGGCGTGGTGGCGGGCGCCTGTAGACCCAGCTACTTGGGAGGCAGAGGCAGGAGAATGGCGTGAAACCCGCGAGGTGGAGCTTGCAGTGAGCTGAGATTGTGCCACTACACTCCAGCCTAGGGGACACAGAGAGACTCCGTCTCAAAAAAAAAAAAAAAATTCTCTGATTTTTCAGGAACTTACAGTCTAGTTATTATAGCCTAGCTTTGCTGTATTAGGGATGTTTGTTACCAGGGATACCAGTTAAGAAATTGTCACAGTGATCCAGGTCAGAGATGTTGGTATTGGGAATGGATAAGAAGGTTTTAAGAAACATTAAAGAAATAATATGTACATGGCGATTGATGAGTTGATGGGTAGGGGTGTGAGAAAAGAGAGTAGTCAAGGATGATTCCCCGTACGTGTGTGTGTGTGTGTGTGTGTGTGTGTGTGTGTGATAGGAGTCTTGCTCTTGTTGCCCAGGCTGGAGTGCAGTGGCTCAATCTCGGCTCACTGCAACTTCCACCTCCTGGGTTCAAGGAATTCTCCTGCCTCAGCTTCCTGAGTAGCTGGGATTACAAGCGCCCACCACCATGTCTGGCTAATTTTTGCATTTTTAGTAGAGACGGGGTTTCACCACGTTGGCCAGGCTGGTCTCGAACTCCTGACCTCAGGTAATCCTCCACTTCAGCCTCCCAAAGTGTTGGGATTACAGGCATAAGCCACCACGCCTGGCAGTTCCCCATGCTTTTATCACAGTAATTGGTATGTCACTCAGTCACTGACAAAGAGAACAAAAGGTTTGGTGGGGAGGAGATGAACATGGATGACTTAGTAGTCAACTGGTTATATGGCCCTGGCACTCAGAAGAGAAGTCTGAACTTGAGAGAGAGATTTGGAAGTCAGCAGGATCTAGTTGGTAGTTGAAAACATAAAAACAGATGAAATTACTCAGGGAAACTTTCTAGGGAAGAGAACTGGGGAAGGAATTCTAAGAACCAACACTATTCCAAGGATGAATAGAGAAGAAGAAGCCCTCAATAGATATGGGCAAGGAGTGGCTTGCCAATCATTGGACAGTATGTTGTATAGAACCTAGAAAAGGGCAGCTTTTGTAGGAGTAACTTTAATATTATTAAATGCTATATAGAAAGAAGTAAAATAAGAATTGAGATATGACTCTTGAATTTCATAAGGTTCTTAATGTGCTTGTTAAGAATTATTCCACAATAGTGGTGGATGGAAACAGGGACAAGGATTGAATGACTTTTTTAGATGAGACAAGTTGGAGACAAATTTCTTTCAGCTCCTGAACAAAGATTTAAGCATGCCAGTGGGGAAAGAACTAATAATGAAGGACAAGTTGAAGAAACAGAATATTAGTGCCACCCTCTAAAATGTCTTAATTTCATCATATTCCTGAGGATTCTATAGGATAGTATTTAACAACCTGAAACATAAATTTATCAGGCACAGGTTAGATTTTCTTTCCATTGTGATTATTTGTCCCTGCATCCCACATGATTATTTGCCAGTCAGATTTGTGTGTCTCAAAATAACTGGACAAGAGGAGTAAACTTCCTTTATAAAAATGAACCATTATTGCAGCAAGAGGACTGATTTCAAAAGATGACCTGGAAAACTGTTTAGTCTTGTTAAAATATTTGGCCTCATCTTCAAAATGTATACATGAATCTTTCATTTTGGGATTGAAATATCTTTCTGATTTAGAAAAGAAGCTTGATTAAGAAGGAGATGTCAACTTTTACCTCCCCCGCCCCCAACAAAAAAACAGTTTCAGAAATTTATGATTAATTTAAAAGCAGTTAAGATAATAAAGCAAACAATTTTGTAAAATTTTTTGAGGGTAATGAGTAAACTGGAATGCTCAATGTATACTAAAAATACTCCTGATCTTAGTAACCAGTTTTTATTACATCCTTAGTGTTTGTACTAACACTAAATTGGTGATTATAAATTTATTTACTTGATAGTATAGTATATGTAATATTCAACAGAGTGTTAATGCAAAAACTGAAAAAATTAAAACATTTTGCTTTTTTGCTTAATCGGTAAATTTTCCTTTCTACTACCTTTAAAGATGGTGCTTTTGGCTGGGCGTGGTGGCTCATGCCTATATAATCCCTGCACTTTGGGAGGCTGAGGCTGATCACTTGAGACCAGGAGTTTGAGACCTGGCCTACGTGGTGAAACCCCATCTCTACTAAAAATGCAAAAATTAGCCAGGCATGGTGTTGCACATCTGTAATCCCAGCTACTCTGCATGAGAATGGCTTGAACCTAGGAGGTGGAGGTTGCAGTGAGCCAAAATCGTGCCACTGTACTCCAGCCTGGGCAACAGAATGAGAATCTGTGTCAAAAACACAAAAACAAAAAAAGATGATGCCTTTGAGTCTGGTCACATCATTCTGCCACCTCTTTGATAATTAATGAGGGCTAATGCCCTCTTTAGTGTAGCACATTTGTATATAATGCATAACTTGAACCTGGAGATTCAAACTACATACGTAAAGTTAAAGACTGTCTTACTTTCTCAGGCACTCTGTTTCAAACTCAGGTCAGGCGGCTTCTCCATGAATGATTTTGTCCTTTCTTACTACTTCTCCTCAATCTGGTATTAGGTTGGAGATAGAAATTTTTCTTTTTGCCTCTGAACGCTGAAAAAGTAAGCAACCTGAATTAACCCCTTGAACTTTCCTCCACCTTTCTTTATCAAGTTCTATTTTTCAAGCTATTTTTTCCCTCTAACTCAGAAGCCCTTCTCTTTATGCCTGTCCCAAGTATTTATCCATTTGTACTAACATAATCATATTAAATTATTTACATCCAGGATTTTGTATATATAGGGTTACAATTCAGTCCATACATTTTGGGAAGATGTATTTTTACAATCAAAACTGGGTCTTTGTTCACAAGATATTATTGCTGGAAAAACCTTGAGCCTCAAATTTTAGACTCTATTTCCACTGTAAATTAGTTGATGCTCTGCTGAGGATTAAAAAATTAAGTGTTATAATAGGCCTTCATTAGTTTTCTTCTTTGTGTTTTTATCTCCTGCTTCTAGCTTCATTTTTCAAGGCAGTGAAACATTTTCTCTTCTCTGATGTGGCCCTACATGCTGGTTGCTATGGAAATGTTCCAGAGAAATGAAAAATTAAGTTAAGGTCAAGAATAATGAGTTAAAATCTCATCTCATCGGGCATAGTGGGAAGAGAGCCAAGATTTTCTTCTTACAGACAGTGTGGTTTTGTTTGATAAAAACATTTTTCACAGGCCAACTTATATTTCAGATATGTAAGACCTGGTGTTAATCCCAGCTCAACAGTTTATTGATTTGGGGCCGTTACTTAATGCCGCCAAACCTCAAGTTATCTTCTGTAAAATGGGCATAGTAATGCCTCAGAGGAGTGCCTGGCTCAGAGTAGATAGTTGAATTTTAATTTCCATTTTTCTCTCTCTAAATCAGGAACATATAAAATGAACCTATAATAAAGGAGATGGTAATAAATGTGTCATATGTTTAAATGAAATCTTCACAGCAATGTAATTTAGCTATTTAATAGGGCTATTGCTGTGCTCATAGAACAGATTCGAATAGTTTCTATGTTTCTACATTATTACTTAACATTTTTGAAAACTAAGACTATTAAAAAGCCCTTAATGACTATTTTAACAGCTTTATTGAAGTATAATTTACATACCATAGAATTCACTTATTTTAAATACACAAATGATTTTTAGTAAATTTACAGAGTTGTGCAACCATTACTACCATACAATTTTAAGGCATTTCTGTCACTCCCAAGAGCTCCCTTGCCATAATTACTATAAACTTTTATTCGTGTGGTGGCACAAATTATAGAGTTTCAAAGTACCAGCCTGGGAGTTTGGCTGTCCTGAGTTTGAGTCTTAGTCGTGCCACTTTCTAGCTTTGTGACTTGGGTACTTTGGTTTCCTTATCTTTAAAATGGGCATAATAACTACATTACAGTGTTACTGTGAACATTAATTAGATACTGTATATAGAGCACTGAAAGTATAATATCCTAGTTTTTGCTTCACAAATGTTGGTTATTGGTGGTAGTCCACATTGTGGATATTTAAATAAGAGAAACATCTGAAAACACCTAGCACAGTGACTGACACATGATTGATTTTCAGAAAACAAAGCTGTTCTACGTCTTTCCAGATGCATCATGTCATCACAATTTTGTCTGTAGTTGCTCATTGACAATGTTTTAATCATACTTAAACATCGATGCTCACAATATGTAGTTATTTGTTATTTTGCAGAGGCATACATTTGAATTTAACAGCTAAGGGAGCTGTAAGACTTGGAGTTTGGTATCTACAAACTAGTTACTTAGCTGGTGGACCCAAGCAAGTAGCCTTGTTGTTTATAATTCATATCTTTCTTTCTCTCTCTCTCTTTTTTTTTTTTTTGGTGGAGTTTTGCTCTCATTGCCCAGGCTGGAGTGCAATGGCACGATCTCGGCTCACCGCAACCTCTGCCTCCCAGGTTCAAGTGATTCTCCTGCCTTGGCCTCGCGAGTAGCTGGGATTACAGGCATGTGCCTGCTAATTTTTGTATTTTTAGTAGAGACAGGGTTTCTCTATGTTGGTCAAGCTGGTCTCAAACTCCTGACCTCAGGTGATCTGCCAACCTCAGCCTCCCAAAGTCCTGGGATTACAGGTGTGAGCCACCACGCCCAACAGTTTTTTTTTTTAGAGATGGGGTTTCTCTGTGTTGCCCAGGCTGCAGTGCAGTGGTGTGGTCATAGCTCACTGAAACCTTGAACTCCTGGGATCAAGCATACCTCCCACCTCAGCCTCCTGAGTAGCTGGGACTACAAGTACGTGCCACCACACTCTGCTCATTTTTTATTTTGCTTATAGAGACAAGGTCTTGCCTTTTTGGCCAGGTTGATCTCAAACTCCTGGTCTCAAGTGATCCTCCCACCTCAGCCACCCAAAAGTGCTGAGATTGCAGGCGTGAACCACAGCACCTAGCTGAAATAATTTTTTTATTTTGATAATAAGATCTTTATTTCTTTGTTAAGAAAAAAAACCTGAGTAAAGTCAAATGGTAATATTAGTGATAAAAGTTTAGAGATTTAAGAAAGTGGTGGTTCTTAACCAGAATTTAGACATTGGGATAAATTAATAGTGAAATGTCAGATGTGATATTCTGTACTGTAGCTTCAGTCAATGCCATGAACAAGGCATATAACTGAATAAAGCAGTCTTTTCAGTGTTTTCTGTGAGCACTCTTTAGTGGTGTAAAAATGTGTATATATAATTGGGGAAATTATATGGTATTTTTGAACTTGGGTCTTAGGTCAGACCCTTGAACTGATTGCTATTTAATTATCATGTATATTCTGTATTAGCAATTATCAACAGTAAAATCTCGTCATTTTTGTAGGAGAGGTGTCCTTATTTAAACTGGTGGGGAAACTAATCATTGCTTTCATACTTGAGCAGCAGTGTCACTCTTTTGAATCTTTTTGGAAATAAAGAGGGCTCATCATTTGTCTTCTGTTTCAATTGGAAGGTTCCAATAGAAATACTCCTAATGAACTAGATTTGGCCTGACCCCCAACAGTTTATCTGCAGGCCTTGAATGCATGTGCTTTGATTAGTAGAATTATTTACAGCTGTTTTTGTTTTGTGGCCCTTTTTTAGTTTGCTGACATACCTTTTTCTGAGGAAGTTCAAAAAATCTGGATGTTGGTATATTAATAATTTTATTTCATATGTTTACTTTTGACTGAAAGAATGCTTATTGTATTTAGTAAATCATGTCTTTTGTGGTTTAGATACATGTTGTGGTTGAAGAGTATATAAACTGTCTTTGAGAAGCTTGGAGAATGTTTGGAAGAATGCGTTTAGAGAAAGATACTTAAAGAATGAGGAAATGGAAATTCTTCTTAGATCTATGATCTACAATTAACTGACACTTTGAGTCTCAAAAAAATCTTTGCCTTGTGATTTTTTAAGTCCTGAAATAGGGTCATCTAAGAGTGACTTTCTGTTATTAATCATCAAATTTCCCAGAAAAAGTCAAGGTTTAATATTATTTTCCCCTTGGTCTCTCAAACCTGTATTTATGGTCAAAATAATGCTTTTATTTTTAATGAAGAACTGATTGCTGATTTTTGTATTTTTATTCTATCAAGTTGTTTATAGTTGTGTCAAAGAACTATTTTACTAGAAAATTTAAGAGATTAACAACTACATACCTTACTTTACAAAGTTAATAGAGATGGAGGTGATAAACAAAATTAATAAAGGAATGCTAATTCTTTGAAGGGATAAGTTACAAACTATTTTAAGGTTCTTAAATTTTGAAAAGAACTAATAAGTTTTGATATTTGGCTATCTAAATGTGTAAAAGAAGATTAATAATATTAGGACAAATGTTTTGAATCGTTTTAGAGTGATTATCTTAAGAAGCTTAAATTGTACTCTAAGTGTACTCTAGCTTTGTGTTACTCTTTCAATTTATTTGTACTTATATAAGTAATTCATGATTACATACTTTTGTAAGTTGCCCAACTGTGTAACTGCCATTAAGTTTTTTTGTCTTGTTTTGTTTTAGACAGGTCTCGCTCCGTTGCCCAGGCTGGAGTGCAGTGGAGCAAACATGACTCACTACAGCTCCGACCTCCTGGGCTCAGGCAATCCTCTTGCCTCAGCCTCCCATATAGCTGGGACTACAGGTGCCCATGTCCAGCTAAATTTTTTATATTTCTGTAGAGACGGGGTCTCACTTGATTGCTCAGGCTGGTCTCAAACTCCTGGGCTCAAGAGATCCACCTGTCTCCACCTCCCAGAGTGCTGGGGTTACAGGCGTGAACCACCATGCCTGGCAGTGCCGTTAAGTTTTGTTACCCAAAAAAAAAACAGAATTCCTTTGCCTTTCAAGTAAAAAATGACTCCACAAGAACACAGATTTTGATCAATGGAAGTTTTATTACTTGTCACAAGTAAGGAGAGCACTGGGAGTATTCTCCAAAGCAGTGGGTCTCTGAGGGAAAGTGAGAGGAGGGTTTTATGGGGCGATGGAGAGGGAAGAGAGGGTATGTCACTGCATGTAGAGGAGGGGTCCCAGTGGTGCACATATAGTGAGTCTTTATGCCCGGACGTAGGTCACATGCTATGGTAGTGAAGCTATAGCTTCTCCCAGGATGGAGACTTTAGCATGGTAACGAGGAAAGTTCACTCAGGTTTATCTGTGAGTGGCCAGGGTCTGTGAGGAACTGGTTCCAGCTGTCTAGGTGACTGCATTCTACACAGGGTTTAGGCAAAAATAGGCTGCAAGGCAGGAGGCTATAAAACAGGCTGATTGTTCAAGTTGATTAATTCCTATAGTCCATGAAGACCTTGCTGTCTGCTTACAGCTTGTTGAGTGTCTTTTCAGACCTTTTTCTTCCATTCATTTACATATATTAATACGTAGACTAATATGTAAGGGTTCTTTTCCCTCAGCACAAATGATGTCATATATATTGGTCTTCAAGGCTTTTTTTTTTACTTAATGTATTTTGAGTCTCTTTCCATACATTTTCATAGCACTGGTATGTCTCTGTTTATCTAGAGTGCAACGGCGTGATTTCGGCTCACTGCAACCTCCCCCTCCCGGGTTCAAGCAGTCCAACTGCCTCAGCCTCCCGAGTAGCTGGGATTACAGGCGCCCATCACCACACCTGGCTAATTTTTGTAATTTTAGTAGAGATAGGGTTTCACCATGTTGGCCAGGCTGGTCTCAAACTCCTGACCTCAGGTGATTTGCCCAACTCGACCTCCCAAAGTGCTGGGATTACAGGCGTGAGCCGCCACACCCAGCCCAATTTTTTCAATTGCATCGATTTCTGGTCTTTTAAATCTTATTATAAATACCTTGGTAAAGTTTATTATCTTTCTGTAATATGGACAATCACTGTAATCAATCTGTTTTCCATATTTTTACATATCAGGTTTTCTTAAAGTAAGCATCATGCTGGTGTAGCAGCATATGAGTGCTTTAGGGCCCAAGAGTGAGAAAAGACATATAGTTGTTACTCTTCCTAGTTGAGCCTTGAAGGAGATCATAGTGGACTGTGTGTGATTGGTGAGAATAATATCACAGGAGAACATTGAAAACAATAAAGTGAGTCACCTCCTGCCCCTTCAGTGGCTTTACACTACTCTTCATATAGTAACCAAATACCATCATATAAGTTAGAAGATCCTGTGTTCTTTGGTCCTTGCTAATTCTTTTTTTCTTTTTCTTTTTTTTTTTTTTTGAGATGGAGTCTTGCTCTGTCACCCAGGCTGGAATGCAGTGGCACAATCTTGGCTCACTTCAAGTTCTGCCTCCCAGGTTCACACCATTCTCCTGCCTCAGCCTCCCAAGTAGCTGAGATTACATGCATTGTGCCCCCATGCCTGGCTAATTTTGTGTTTTTAGTAGAGACGGGGTTTCTCCATGTTGGTCAGGCTGGTCTCAAACTCCTGACCTCAGGTGATCCACCTGTCTCGTCCTCCCAAAGTGCTGGGATTACAGGTGTGGGCCACCATGCCTGGCCTCATCTCTACTATATTCTATCTAGTCTCAGAATCTATGGTTATGCTGTTTCTTTACCTAGAATCTATACCACACATATTAAACATTATTCTTCCCTTAACTTTCGTTCAGCAGTCATCTTTAAAATCTTACCATAAATATCACTTACCTGTACATCAGCTCCACCCTAATTTGGTCAGGTTGCCTCTGTTATATATGCTTGTATCTCCCTGTACTTTACCTACATATCACTTACCATAACTTGCAATTATATATTTAGTTATGTGATTGCTGTTTATATGTTTAGTGAAAGAAACAGTGCAAGCTCCATGTGGACTTAGAATGACTTATCTTTTTTTTATCGTTAGTACTGAACACATAGTAAAGACCAATAAAACATTTTTTTGTCATTTAACTAAATTAAATTTTTCCTGGGAATGGAATAAGGTTTCTTTTTTCTTTTTTTTTTTTTTTTTTGAGATGGGGTCTTGCTCTGTCACCCAGGCTGGAGTGCAGTCACATGTTCGTAGCTCACTGCAGCCTCAAACTCCTGGGCTCAAGCGATCCTCCTACCTTAGCCCTTAGCTTCCTGGGTTGCTGGGACCACAGGTGCATGCCACCACGCCTGGCTAATTTTTGTAGAGACAGGGTCTCCCTATGTTACCTAGGCTGGTCTCAAACTCCTGGGCTCAAGCAGTCTTCCCATCTCAGCCTCTGAAAGTGCTGGAATTATAGGCATGAGCCATCACACCCAGCCTGAAAAATTTGTATGAGTCTGTCAAGATTGTGGTATAAATACAGAGGAAACATATGTTTATATAAATTGTTTCTACTTTTAAAATATTCTTATGTTGTCAAAAGTTTTGTTTGTTTGTTTGTTTTGAGATGGAGTCTCACTGTGTCGCCCAGGCAGGAGTACAGTGGCGGATCTCGGCTCACCGCAACCTCCACCTCCTGGGTTCAAGCAATTCTCCTTACTCAGCTTCCCGAGTTCCTGGGATTACAGCCATGCACCACCACACCTGGCTAATTTTTTATATTTTTGGTAGAGACGGGGTTTCACCATGTTGGCCAGTCTGGTCTTGAACTCCCAACCTCAAGTGACCCACCCGCCTCAGCCTCCCAAAGCGCTGGGATTACAAACCTGAGACACCGCGCCTGGCTGTCAAAAGTTATTTATGTCTTGTTCAGTAATTCTTCCCTCCCTCTACCCCCTTCCCCAACAAAGCTTTTTTTTTTTTTTTTTTTTTTCTGAGATGGAGTTTCACTCTTGTTCCCCAGAGTGGAGTGCAATGGCGCGATCTTGGCTCACCACAACCTCCGCCTCCCGGGTTTAAGCGATTCTCCCGCCTCAGCCTCCTGAGTAGCTGGGGTTACAGGCGCCTGCCACCACGCCTGGCTAATTTTTGTATTTTTAGTGGACATGGGGTTTCACCATGTTGGCCAGGCTGGTCTCGAACTCCTGACCTCAAGGAATCTGCCTGCCTTGGCCTCCCAAATTGCTGGGATTACAGGCGTGAGCCACCATACCCAGCCAAGATTATTTTTTAGATATATTTATTTTTTAAAAATTAGAGATTTAGCTGGGCATGGTGGCTCACACCTGTAATCCCAGCACTTTGGGATGCCAAGGCGGGAGGATCATCTGAGGTCAGGAGTTCAAGACCAGCCTGACCAACATGGAGAAATCCCGTCTCTACTAAAAATACAAAATTAGTCAGGTGTGGTGGTGCATGCCTGTAATCTCAGCTACTTGGGAAGCTGAGGCAGGACAATCGCTTGAACCCAGGAGACGGAGGTTGCACCATTGCACTCCAGCCTGGGCAACAGGAGCGAAATTCCGTCTCAAAAAAAAAAAAAAGACTTAGATAAACTTAAGAGACTAGGGTCCTGGATGGAACTTTATTATTAACTTCAAGTTTCCTCTTAGGCAGGGGACTACTTCCCATCTCTAAAATGAGGGAATGGAAATAGATGTTCTATCATGGCTCTAATTCTGTAAAAGTGTAAAAAGATGGATTACAGTGATACAAATGTGGTATAAAAAGTTGTGGAATAAGACTGGACTTGTGGTTCTTTTTCAACAGTTTAATTGAAAAGAAAGACACTCAATTTTTTTCCTTTTTCTTTATTTTCAGGTTATATTTCACACTATGTGCTGACTGTATCTACAGAAGATATTTAAAAAAAAAAAAGATAAACTTTTTTTCAAAGATTTTGATTCCAGTGGAATCTTTGCTTTAGATTTGTGTGTGTGTTTGTGTTCGTGAATTGTAACTCCAGAAGCAATGCCTGTACAAGCTCCACAATGGACGGATTTCCTCTCCTGCCCAATTTGCACTCAGACTTTCGACGAAACAATTCGAAAGCCCATCAGTTTGGGTTGTGGCCATACTGTCTGCAAGATGTGCCTGAATAAACTCCACCGCAAGGCTTGCCCATTTGACCAGACCACTATCAATACAGACATTGAGCTCCTCCCTGTGAACTCAGCATTGCTGCAGCTCGTGGGTGCTCAGGTAGGATGGGTGACTTAATACTTTTAAATTTCTCCCTCTCTCTCTCTCTCTCTCTGTGTGTGTGTGTGTGTGTGTGTGTGTGTGTTGTGCGTGTTTTTCTCCTGAGAGAAACCTGTTGAATTAAAATTGGGTAACATTGCCTTCTATTTAAATAGGTATAATTCTGTTTGGTACTGTAAATCCTTTATTTCAGCATGTTAGATTTATTGTGGTAGTCCAGTGCTTTTTAGTCATAGTACAGTAACATCCATTTAATCTTGTCAGATATTCAATAAACCTAGCTATGCAGATCGCTAGAGAAACCTAAGGCCGGGTGTGGTGGCTCATGCCTGTAATCCCAGCACTTTGGGAGGGCCAAGGCGGGTGGATCATTTGAGGTCAGGTGTTTGAGACCGGCCTGGCCAACATGGTGAAATCCTGTCTCTACTACAAATACAAAAAAATGAGCTGGGTGTGGTGGTGTGTGCCTGTAATCCCAGCTACTTGGGAGGCTGAGACACGAGAATTGCTTGAACCTAGGAGGCAGAGGTTGCAGTGAGCCGAGATCGTGCTGCACTCCAGCCTGGGTGACAGAGTGAGACCCTGTCTCAAAAAAAGAAAAGAAACCTAAGAGGTAAGTCATAAGGACCTTTTTTAACATTGAGAAAACTATTGTTCATAAAACCACTGCACTTTACTCAGTAGAGAAGGTGCAGCTGCTTCAGGCAGTTTTACTCAGTAGACATTAACTGAAATGAAAGATGAGAAAGGTGACAAAAACTATAGCACAACATTTGGGAACCATTAGAACACACTTAATGCTTTATAAACCTAAAAATGGTTGGGATGGTAAATTTTGTGTTATGTATATATTATCACAATAAAAAAAATAAAATTTTCCCAAATTTTCCTTTCATCTAAAAGGAAAAAGAAAAAATAAATTAGACTTTAAAATATATAATCACCAATTTCTCCTAGGAATGTAAGTTTGACTTAACATCTGCAAATCAATTAATGTAATTCACTATATCAGTAAAAGTTGCAAAATTGCACACATATGATCATCTCAATAGACACAGAAAAAGCATTTGGCAAAATCCAATACCTTTTCATAATAAAAGCACTGAAACAACTAGGAGAAAAACTTCTTCAACCCAAAGGACATGGATGAAAAACCCACAGCTAACATACTGAATGGTGAAAGACTAGATGCTTTTTCTGTAAGATCAGGAACAAGTCAAGGATCTCCACTCTTAACTATTTCTGTTCAACATCATACAGGACCTTCTAGCTAGGGCAATTAGGCAAGTAAATGAAACCGGTGACATTCAGATAAGAAGTAAAAAATAAAAACAATCTCATTCACAGATGACATGGTCTTATATATAGAAAATGTTAAGGAATCTGCAAAGGAAAAGCTATTAGAAACAAAAAACTAGGCAGAGTTGCAGGATATAAGATGAGTATATAAGTATCAGTTGTCTGAAAAAGCAAAAGTCTTTCTAAGGTGTAAAAATGTGTTTACAGTGTTTCATAATTTCTTTCTTTCTTTTTTTCTTGCTCTGTCACCCAGGCTGGAGTACAGTGGTGTGATCTTGGCTCACTGCAATCTCTGCCTCTCAAGTTCAAGTGATTCTCATGCCTTAGCCTCCCAAGTAGCTGGGATTACAGGTGTGCACTACCATACCCAGCTAATTTTTGTATTTTTAGTCGAGACAGGGTTTCGCCATGTTGGCTATGCTGGTCTCAAGCTCCTGACCTCAAGTGATCCACCTGTCTCGACCTCCCAGAGTACTGGGAATACAGGCATGAGCCACCGTACCCAGCTAGTGTTGCATACTTTCATCCACAGTATGTTAATAACAGTTTTCTTAGGCCAGGCACAGTGGTTCACGCCTGTAATCCCAGCACTTTGGGAGGCCGAGGCGGGTGGATCACGAGGTCAGGAGATCAAGACCATCCCGGCTAACACAGTGAAACCCTGTCTCTACTAAAAATACAAAAAGTTAGCTGGGCGTGGTTGCAGGCGCCTGTAGTCCCAGCTACTTGGGAGGCCGAGGCAGGAGTCCCAGCTACTTGGGAGGCCGAGGCAGGAGAATGGTGTGAACCCGGGAGGCGGAGCTTGCAGTGAGCCGAGATCGCACCACTGCACTCCAGCCTGGGCAACAGAGTGACACTCTGTCTCAAAAAAAAAAAATAAATAATAATAATAATACTTTTCTTACACACGTAAGAAAGACTGTCTGGTACATAGGCCCTTAATAAAGACTGTTAAATAAGTAATATATATGTTGTATTTCTATACGCTGGCAATGGACAATCTGAAAATAGATCAATTTCATCTACAAGAGCATAAAAAAAATTAAGAATATATTTAACAAAAGAAATGTAAAATTAGACCGGGTGCAGTGGCTCATGCCTATAATCCCAATAGTTTGGGAGGCCGAGGCTAGCAGATCTCTTGAGGCCAGGAGTTCCAAGACCAGCCTGGCCAACATGGTGAAACCCCGTCTCTACCAAAAAAATAGAAAAATTAGCCAGGTGTGAAGGTGCCCACCTGTAATCCCAGCTACTCGGGGCTGAGGCATGAGACTCGCTTGAACCCAGGAGAGGGAGGTTGCAGTGAGCTAAAATCACACCACTGCACTCCAACCTGGGTGACAGAGCGACTCTGTCAAAAAAAAAAAAAATGTAAAACTATATTTTGAAGACTACAAATCGTTGTTTAAAAGTAGCTTAAAACTTGAATAGGCCGGGCGCGGTGGCTCACGCCTGTAATCCCAGCACTTTGGGAGGCCGAGGCGGGTGGATCACGAGGTCAGGAGATCGAGACCATCCTGGCTAACAAGGTGAAACCCCGTCTCTACTAAAAATACAAAAAATTAGCCGGGCGCGGTGGCGGGCGCCTGTAGTCCCAGCTACTCGGGAGGCTGAGGCAGGAGAATGGCGTGAACCCGGGAAGCGGAGCTTGCAGTGAGCCGAGATTGCGCCACTGCAGTCCGCAATCCGGCCTGGGCGACAGAGCGAGACTCCGTCTCAAAAAAAAAAAAAAAAAAAAAAAAAAACTTGAATAAACATTTACTCTATTAACTCAAAATGGATCAAAGGCTAAATATAAGAACTAAAACTACAAAACTCTTAGAAGAAAATATAGACATAAGTCTTTCTGACCATGGAGTAGGCAGTGGGTTTTTTTCAAGATGTGACACCAAAAAGCACAAGGAACAAAAGAAAAAGATAAGTTGAACATCAAAATTAAAAACTATATTTCAAAGATACGAACAATTGGCTGTTCACAGTGGCTCACGTCTGTAATCCCAGCACTGTGGGAGGCCAAGATGGATGGATCATTTGAGACCAGCCTAGGCAACATGGCAAAACCCCATCTCTACAGAAAATACAAAAAAAAATTTTTTGCTGGGTGTGGTGGCACATGCTTGTAGTCCCACCTGTCTGTGAGGCTGAGGTGGGAGCATCACCTGAGCCCAGGAGGCCAAGATGGATGGATCATTTGAGACCAGCCTAAGCAACATGGCAAAACCCCATCTCTACAGAAAATAACAACAACAACAAAAAATTGCTGGGTGTGATGGCACATGCCTGTATTCCCACCTATCTGTGAGGCTGAGGTGGCAGCATCATCTGAGCCTGATCACCTGATGGAGGCTGCAGTGAGCCTCGATCGCAGCACTACGCTGTAGCTTGGGCAACAGAATGAGACCCTATCTCAAAAACAATAGCAACAACAAAAAACAAAGATACCAACAAGAAAGCAAAAAGAACAACCTACAGAATGTGAGAAAACAATTGTAAAATCCTATTTCTGATAAAGACTTATATGTAGAATATATAAGGAACTCTTACAACTCAGTGATAAAAAGACAACCCAGTTTTTAAAATGGACAAAGAGCTGAACAATCACCTCGTCAAGTAGATTATACAGTTGGAAAATTGGCAAAATGAAAAGTAGCTCAGCAGTTTGTCTTTAAGTAATTGCAAATTAAAACAAGTGAGATACCACTACACACAAATTAAAATGGCCAAAATCCAAAACATTAGCAACACCAAATGCTGGTGAGGATATGGAGCAACAAAAACTCTCATCTTTTTGGAAATGAAAAATGGTATAGCTACTTTGGAAGACAGTTTGGCAGTTTCTTTATAAGCTTAACATAGTAGGTATTTACCCAGTTAACTTGAAAATTTATGTCTACACAGAAACCCTCACATGACTATTTATAACAGCTTTATTCATGATTGCCAAAAAATGGAAGCAGTTGAGATATCTTTTAATAGGTGAATGGATAAACAGTGGTATATCCATACAATGGCACATTGTATAAAATGAAATAATGAAAAGACATAGCTGTCAAGTCACAAAAAGACATAGATATATCTCAATGTATACCATTGCTAAGTGAAAGATACCAGTATGAAAAGGCCACATACTGTATGATTCCAATTATGTGATATCTGTAAAAGGTAAAACCATAGCAACAATAAAAGTATCAGTGGTTGCCATGGATTCAGGAGTAGGGAGGGAGGATAGAATTGGTGAAACAGTATTTCTTAGGGCAGTAAAACAGTTCTTTATGATTCTGTAATTGTGGCTATATGACACTCTGAATTTGTCAAAAACTGTAGAACTTTACAAAGATTATGGAAGACAATCTGAAGTATATGAAACAATTTCACTAAAGGGGTGTAGGAGAAAGGTAGATTGTGTAAGATTAAAGATAGAGAAAGATATTATCTATAAGCAGTGTACTCTAGTCTTTTCCCATGGGGGTACGAATTAATTCTGATACTGCTGTATGTATAATACATATTAGAATTGAACAGTTAAGTAAGTGAATGGGAAATGATTGGAGCCAGTTAACAGATAAACAAGGAGGAAGAGGTTAGAGTGATTCATGTGATAATGGATTGGAGTTGGAGGCATCAGTATGAACTCATTTTTAGCTTGATATGGATACAGATGGTTATATACAGAAATAGATATACGAGATATCTCGTGTGTATCTCGGGTTATTACAATGTATATCTCGGGTTATTACAGTGACATATTTCCTTGGTCTGTCATCTAAGATGGCCTAGAAGGAACAACACCCCAATAGTAATGTGCATACATAGCATTCATATCTTGGTTTCTAATACCATTCTCCAATAAAAGGAACCAGAGTTCCTTGGAGAAATGGCTAATTCTAAGACTGGGACAGGAAATACACGAAATGAGTCTGGAGTAGCTTGTAGCACTGGAAAGTATAGAGAAGTATTCAAAACACACACAGACACATACACAGAGTAATGGGGGCTATATCAAAGGCACACAGGAGCCAACTGAAAGAGCTCTCAATGGCCAAAGCTAAAACAGTTTGAACAACAAAATAAATGGAATTGGATCATAACCCAGGTATAAGATAAATATCCTTGAGTCTACACGATACAATTAAATGATTGAATAAATAGATGGAAGAAAGAAACAAATCTCCCGTGCAGAATTCCAAATTAATTACATAGATATTCTGCTCTCAAGGATGTAGAATGTGTGTGGGCTACGCATAGTGACTCCTTCCAAAAAGTACAGTTTGTGGAGATTATGTAACTTTATAGTGGAGAAACCTGGTAAACACTGACTAAACCAGCTGTTCAAATTTAACATCAGCAATAATAAGTTGTGTTGGTGGTGTGTAGCTTTGATATGATGTGATAAAAAATGGCACTTTTCCCCTATGATCTTCCAAAAATCCATAACCCCAATATACTCATGAGAAAAATGACAGATCCTAGATCCCAGTTTAGGGGCATTCTACAACATACCAGACCAGTGCTCCTCAAAACTGTCAAGGTCATTAAAACAAGGAAAGTCTGAGAAAGTGTCCAAGCCAAGAGGAGCTTAAAGAGATATTGAAGGGCTAGCGCAGTGGCTCACACCTGTAATCCCAGCGCTTTGAGAGGCCAAGGCAGGCAGATCACTTGAGGCCAGGAGTTGGAGACCAGCCTGGCCAACACAGTGAAATCCTGTCTCTACTAAAAATACACAGAATCAGCCAGGCGTGGTGGCGCATGCCTGTAATCCCAGCTACTCAGGAGGCTGAGGCATGAGAATCTCTTGAACCTGGGAGGTGGAAGTTGCAGTGAGCCGAGATTGTGCCACTGTACTCCAATCTGGGCGACAGAGTGAGACTTTGTCTCAACTTTGAAAAAAAAAAGAGGGAGAGACATGGAGGGAGAGAGGGAGGCCAAGGTGGGTGGATGGCTTGAGCCCAGGAATTCGAGGCCAGTCTGGGCAATGTAGTGGGACCTCCATCTCTACAATAAAATACAAAATTAGCTGGGTGTGGTGGCGTGAGCCCAGATGCTGCCACGGCACTCCAGCCTGAGTGACAGAGCGAGACTCTTTCTCTGAAGACTAAGTGTAATATGGTATCCTGGATGGGATCCTGAAACTGAGAAAGAACATTAGGTGAAAACTAATATCTGATTAACATGGATTTTAGTTGTTAATTATGAATATGTTGATATTGGCTCATTAATTTTAACAAATGTACCATACCAGTGTAAGATGTTAATAATAGGGGAAATTGTTAGTCGAGTGTGGTGGCTTGCTCCTGTAGTCCCAGCTACTTGGGAGGCTGAGGCAGAAGAATCGCTGGAACCCAGGAGGCGGAGGTTGCAGTGAGCCGAGATGGTGCCACTGCACTCCAGCCTGGGTGACAGAGGGAGACTCCGTCTCAAAAATAATAATAATAATAATAGGGGAAACTGAATACAGGATAATGAGAATTCTGTGTACTATCTTTGCCATTTTTCTGTAAATCTAAAACTGTTCTACAAAATAAAGTTTACTAGGCAAAATGGGCAAAGGATCTGAATAGATATTCTTCCAGAGAAGATATACAAATGGATAATAAGCATATGAAAGGATGGTCAACATCATTAGCTATCAGGGAAATACAAATCAAAACCACAGGGAAGTGGGAGGAAGGTAGATGGGAAGAAGAGATAATTATCAAAGAATACAAAGCTTCAGTTAGACTGGAGGAATGCCTTTAGTGATCTATTGCACAGAACAGTGACTATAAATAGTAATACATTGTATGTTTCAAAATTGCTAAAAGAGTAGATTTTATTTAAAATCTACAAAAAAAAAGTGAGGTGATGGATTTGTTAATTAACCTGATTTAGTCATCTCACATCGTCACATTGTACCCCATAAGTATATGCAATTATTATTAATTTAAAATAAAATTTAGACAAACCACAATGAATTACTACTTTTCACCCAACAGGATAGCTATAATAAAAAAAGATAATGAGTAGAAGAATTATCTTTCTACATAAAATGTAGAAGAATTGGAACCCTTATACACTCCTGGTAGATATATAAAATGCTACTCTGCTTTTGGAAAATAGTTTGGCAGTTTTTCAAAAGGTTAAATACAGACTCCTAGGTATATACCAAAGAGAAACAAAAACTTTTGTCTACACAAAAACTTGTACACAGATGTTCATAGCAGCATTATTCGTAGTAGTCAAAAATAGAAACAACCTATATGTCTGTCAATGATGATTGTGTAAATAAAGTGTGATATATTTATACAATGGAATTTTATTCAGTGATGAAAATGAATGAAGTACTGATACAACCTGGAAGACCCTTGAACACATTGTTAAGTGAAAGAAGTAAGTCAGAAAAGACTATTTATTGTATTGATTTTGCTTATATGAAATGTCCAGAATAGGCAAATCCATAGAAAATAGATTCGTCTTTCCAAAGGTTGGTGGATGGTTGGGAAGAAATAAGGGGTAATTGTTAAAAGGGTACTGTGTTTCTTTTTGGGGTAATGAAAAGGTTCTAAAGTTGATTGTGGTTATGTTTGGACAACTGTGAATATACTGAAAACCAGGGAATTGTATGTACTTTAAACCAGTCAGTTGTATGGTATGTCGATTATATCTTAATTAGGCTGTTAGAGAAACAAAACAAAGGAATGCAAAGATACATGTTAATAGGAAAGATCTTTTGAAAGAATTCAGTAAATTTAGTGGGCGTTTTGATGTTACCAGTGTCAGCATTATGAGTGCATAAACTATACTAAATAAAACAATTAATGAATTGAGCACTCATACAGATCTTTTCTTTTGGCCTCCAGGTCCCTGAGCAGCAGCCTATTACTTTGTGTAGTGGGGTTGAAGACACAAAGCATTATGAGGAAGCCAAGAAATGTGTAGAAGAATTAGCATTGTACTTAAAACCGCTCAGCAGTGCTAGAGGTAAGTTTGTTTTTGTTTCTTATTTAAAGAGTAAAACTGCTTTTTTAAATACTCAGTACATAATCCTATATAAGTCCTGAGGAATTCCCAAAAAACCTAACTAGAGGTAAATTTGATGCAATTATCCATACTAAGTAAATGTCTACTAAAGAGACTTGTTACCATAAAAATTGTGAGCTATTAAGCAAATGTTAATGAAATTTATCTATTGTAAACTAAACTCATTTTGTGCTAAATATCATGACACAAACCACATCAAATAAAATAGTGAATTTTTAGTTTATGTGATGATGGAAACATTATTCGAATGATGATAATAGCAAATATAACTACTTACTTCAGCAGTGCTTTCCATCATTTGACAATTCTGAATGGTTTGCCTTCTATCCAGTTTTATATGCTATGCTATAGGCGGTATAATGAATACGGAAGTTGCCATTACTGCACAGAAAGGGCTTGCTATTTAATTAGGAAAATAAGGTTAACCACTGTCAAATAATATACCAGAACTCTTAGGACTTCAAGATTTACATTATAAACTAATTATCAATGTTGTCTAGTCCTTTTTTCTTTCTTCCTCTATGATTAAAATGAGTAATGGTATATTTAATGTCATAATGAATGCTAAGTGCACATGAGATAACTCATGTATACATTTGTATACTTTAAAAATGTATACTTAAGTAAGCTTTACATGTGTGGTTTTATTTGTTGCTTATTTTAAATACTCTAGTAGTCCCAGAACTAGTCACATACCCACAAGTTAACCCAACAGAAGAATTGCTCCTGGACTGTAAAATTGCATTGTGAACCTAGGAATAACTTCTTTACTCTTTTAAAGGAGTGGGTCTGAACAGCACTACTCAGAGTGTTCTGAGTCGCCCAATGCAGAGGAAGCTTGTGACTCTAGTCCACTGTCAACTAGTAGAAGAAGAAGGCAGGATTCGTGCCATGAGGGCAGCTCGATCTTTAGGTGAACGAACAGTTACAGAGCTCATTCTCCAGCACCAGAATCCTCAGCAACTCTCTTCCAATCTTTGGGCAGCAGTAAGGGCTAGGGGATGCCAGTTCCTTGGACCAGGTACATAATTAACTTTAGGTATTTATTCTGCTGGTAATTCTAAAAGTATGATGTAGGAATTATAAGTGATGTACAAAGCCTAGTTCTTTGCAGTATTTTATTGTTACCAACTAATATCTTGTTTGATGTTCATGGCTTGGGCAATTCCATGTAACTTAGTGGACTTACTAGGTGAACTTAGTGAACTTAAAACTTTTCTCTTAATGCCAAAAGTTGTTTCTTTTTTTAATTTTTTGATTTTTCCTTTTTTTCACACCTGTAGCAGGAAGTTCATTCATTTTGATAGAAGTTTTTCTTAAATTTATTAATCACTTTATCTGTTTTCTTTATAAAATATATAGAATGTAATACAAAATTGCTCACAAAAATGGTGTAAAAGTGTGTTGCTGGTTAATCTTAACTGTATTGCCAGTTAATTGAATAGCTGCAGAAATGATTAAATATTCCCCTTCTAATAAATGGATTTATCTTATCTATGTACTTGATAAATTTTGGTTTTGCCCAACTTTCCCTAGCAATGCAGGAGGAAGCTTTAAAGTTGGTTCTGCTGGCCTTAGAAGATGGTTCTGCTTTGTCAAGAAAAGTATTGGTTCTGTTTGTGGTGCAAAGATTGGAGCCACGGTTTCCTCAAGCCTCTAAAACTAGCATTGGGCATGTTGTTCAGCTCCTTTATAGAGCCTCCTGTTTCAAGGTATGAACCTACATTAAAGCTCAGCTTGAAAGGAAATATTGTTCTTTCCCCAAAGTTAAGTAGTAAAACTTTGAGTTTAATAAAGTTGCCTGTATCTTTTCAGAAAATCTCAGCAATTTTTCTTTATTCTTTTAAAGAATGTAGATGGGGTCTTATTATAGTTAAATACTATTATATTGAATTTTTGTATGTTCAATATTGAACAACATAGATCAAGTCAAGGTTTATAGATTTTTGTATTTGAAGAGACTAAGAAACTATATCAATTTCTTACCAAGACTGTGCAGAATTGGTCTGAAGAGAGAGTTATTGAAGCACAAATAAATTTTATTTATTTATTTTTATTTTTTTGAGACAAAGTCTTGCTGTCGCCCAGGCTGGAGTGCAGTGCATGATCTCGGCTCACTGCAACCTCCACCTCCTGCGTTCAAGCGATTCTCCTGTCTCAGCCTCCCGAGTAGCTGGGATTATAGGCAGGGCCACTGCACCTGGCTACTTTTTGTATTTTTGGTAGAGACGGGGTTTCGCCATGTTGGCCAGGCTGGTCTCGAACTCCTGACCTCAGGTGATCTGCCCGCCTCAGCCTCCCAAAGTGCTGGGATTACAAGCGTGAGCCACCGCGCCCAGCCAAATAAATTTTATTCAGAGATTTTCTCCTAGTGTAATTCCACATATACAATAATGAAGTTCCATTTGCCATTTCAGTTTATATGGTAATGCTGGACATAGTCTCTTATCCCAAATTGAATAAGCACCGCCTCAAACATTGCTACTCACTATGTATCATTTATTGTACATCCAGTATTATTTTTCTGACTTTTTTTTTTGAGATGCAGTCTTGCTCTGTCGCCCAGGCTGGAGTGCAGTGGTGTAGTCTTGGCTCACTGCATCCTCTGCCTTCTGGGTCAAGCAATTCTCCTGCCTCCAGCCTTCTAATCATAATCATTATGATTATTCTAGTCTAGCATCTCACACTTTACACTTTCTGGTAGTAGCCCATCCCACAAAACTCCATGAAGAATTAAGCCAAGTACAAATTAAATCATTTTTAGAATTACACCAGCATCTGAAGCTCTACAGTCATCAGTCCCACCTAGCTCATTGTCAGGCAATCCCAAGAGTCATAATCCACATTTATGGAGAAGAAACATATTGTTTTTCAGAATATAGAATTGTATTAGTATTTTTTTCTTTTCAAAAATACATATACACACACATACACCTTAAACTGAATGTATATGTTAAAGTATGTCAAATCTTTGGATTTCATTCCAGCACATACAGATTGACTATACAAAAATCCAAAATCCAAAACTTTTTGAACACCAACATGATGCTCACATGCTCATTGGGGCATTTCAGATTTTCAGAGTAAGGATGCTCAAGTGGTTTAATGCAGATATTCTAAAATTTGAAAAAATCTGAAATCTGATAACACTTCTGGCCCAAGCATTTTGGGTAAGAGATTCTCAGCCTGTATTTATTCTTTCTGAAAGACCTATCCAGAAAATGTTGGCCTAAATCCAACTTGACTCAGAATGGGATGATAGCAATATACCTACCTCAACAAGTTAAGGAGAAAATATTTTGCAGGCAAATGGTATATTCATTTAATCTTGCTGTTGATGCTAAATTTGTTACATTAAAAATTATATGTTCATATAAAGCATAAACTCATTTTTTTGACTTCATTATGAGATTATTTGTGTCTTATTAGGTCACCAAACGTGATGAAGACTCTTCTTTGATGCAGCTGAAAGAAGAATTTAGAACCTATGAAGCTCTGCGGCGAGAACATGACTCCCAGATAGTGCAGATTGCTATGGAAGCAGGCTTACGAATTGCACCGGACCAGTGGTCCTCTTTGCTTTATGGAGACCAGTCTCACAAATCTCATATGCAGTCCATTATTGACAAGGTAGGACCTTTTTTGTTCCTTACTTCTTAGACTAATCTTGGCATTTTGGTAATTCATTTAACAAATGTATATTAAAGTGAATACTGTATAGCTTTTGTAAATTGTATTTATAGCCAGTGTCATGTCATAACCAATCACGTTATAATACCACTTTGTTCATTTAAAGATTTGATTAGTTTATATTTTTTATTTTACTTATTTTATATTTTATTGTATTTTTACTAGAATCACAGAGATGAAGGCCAACTCTAGAGACCACTCTACATTTAATTTAGAGAAATAGAGTCAAATAGTAAGAGTAACCTAAAAAAAAAATAATGAACATTTACTAAAATCTTAATATGTATCTAGTGGTTTTAAATAATTCATTTAATCCTCTCAACAGCCCTGTATTATCCATTTTAGACAAAGACAAAGGGAAGTTAATATGTTTTTCCAGCATCACATAGATAATAAATGACAGAAGTGGATTTGAACTTGACCATTCTCAGTGTAGAGTACACTAACCTTTTACCAGACTATTCCCCCCCACCTTTTTTTTTTTTTTTTTTTTCCTATTTCTAAAGATAGAATTCCTTGAATGGGTAATACAGTGAGAATTGGGAAATATGTTTTTTAAATGCTTGGTGTAGGGTGGGCACAGTGGCTGATGCCTGTAATCTCAGCACTTTGAGAGGCCAAGGTGGGGGGATTGCTTGAGGCCAGGAGTTCAGTCACAGCCTGGGAAACATTGGGACACTCATCTCTACCAAAAAAAAAAAAAAATAGCCAGGTGTGGTGGTAGGCGCCTATAGTCTCAGCTACCTGGGAGGCTATGGTGGGAGAATCCCTTGAGCTCAGGAGTTTGAGGGTGCAGTGAGCTATGTTAGCACCTCGGCAACAGAGTGAGACCCTGTCTCTTTAGGGGGGATAAAAAGGCGGTACATAATTTTCAGTTACAATGTAGGTTGTTTGCTCTGCTCTATAAGTCTTCCCTGGATACCTTTAACCAGACTTTACCTGCAACTCTTAGGTTTGGACAGGAGCTTGTATCGGAAGTTTTGCAACTCATTTATAATTTACGGAAACGCTTAACGCTTAGTAATGATCTATTAGAGGAGTACCTTTCTACCTCTGAAGAGAAACTTGGCTTTTTTTGTTTGTTTGTTTGTTTGAGACAGAGTCTCACCCTGTCACCCAGGCTGGAGTGCAATGGCACTATCTCGGCTCACTGCAATCTCTGTCTCCCAGGTTCAAGCGATTCTCCTGCCTCAGCCTCCCAAGTAGCTGGGATTACAGGCACGCACTACCACACCCTGTACCACGCCCAAATTTTTTGTATCTTTAGTAGAGACGGGGTTTCACCATGTTGGCCAGGCTGGTTTCGAACTCCTGACATCGTCATCTGCCCACCACAGCCTCCCAAAGTGCTAGGATTACAGGCGTGAGCCACTGTGCCTGGCCTGGCTTGGCTTGTCTTTTATAAAGATTCTACAAGGTGGTTAATCTTGTCTGAACTGAACTGTGTAACTAGGTGTATATCCTACAGTAATTTTCTCATATCACACGCAGTGCTTTAAATTTAATATCCAGAGACCTTTGCACAACAAACTGGTAAACTTTGCAGTGTGTGTGATATTTTATAGAGCAATAGAACTTTCTGTAATCATGAAAATGTTCTGTGTATGCACTGTCCAATATGGTGATCACTAGTCACACACGGCCATTAAGCATTTGAAATGTGACTTTTGCAACGGATGAACTGAAATTTTTATTTCATTTAATTAACTTAAATTTAAATAGCCACATATTGCCAAGGTCACCATATTGGATAATAGAAAAGAGAATTTATTAAAAGCGATGAGGAAAGCACTAATTCTAGTAAATTAATGGGGAGAGAAACAGGAATTAACAATTCACAAAGAAGACTCATCAGTATATCTAATTGATGGTAGGCTGAATTGAGAGAGGTCTCACATTTGAAGAATGTGACAGCAGAGGCAATACAGTACACAATGTGCCAAGCTCTGGATGCAGAGAAGTACAGAATTTATTTGGGTAGCAAGTAATCTACTCTGGCCAAAGTGTAGGGTATATGGGAAGATAAAAATTAAATTTAATAAATCGCAAAAATGATTGTGATATAAATAATCTTTATATTTAAAGGATTATCTGACCTTTGGGAAAGTTAACATTTATCTTTTTTAAGTTGCAGACTCCAGCCTCTTTTGCACAGAGTGTTCAGGAACTAACAATTGCTCTCCAGCGAACTGGAGACCCAGCAAACTTGAACCGACTAAGACCCCATTTGGAGCTGTTAGCAAACATTGACCCTAGTCCAGGTAAACCCACGGGAAATTAATGGACTATCTTATATGTGCCTTTCGTGCTGCTCAATGATTCTTTAATTATCTTTTGTTGTTCCTCTAGGGTTTCCCAAAGTAGTTACTCCAGATCTTTTTTACAGTATTTTAAGTTTCCATTTTAAATCTTTTCCCTCTTTATCTCAGGTTAGTTCACTTTAATATTTATTTAATACTTTTTATACTGTTGCTCATTTCATCAGGAAAATAGATTTCTCTGGGCTTCTTTATGTTTCTTCTTTCTCCCGTCACAAAATTGTGTTGTATTTTACCATTCTTACCTCTTCCAAATCTCGTTTTTCTCATTTTTTTCTGTATTATGTATCCTTAGTTGCATTTCCTTGATCCTGTTTTTGCCCTCTCCATGATATCTTGTTCCTTCAAGTATCCTGTCTTGTATATCTTTACTTAGGCTTTTTCTGCTCCTTCTCCGTAACCTGAAAATATACCCAACCTTCATTTTTCAACTTGCACTTACATCTAAGTTATTTTAGCTTCTCTGTGTTTATTCCTACTACTGATCTGAAGCTCTCTTAATATTCACTAGTAGATTCCCAGTCTCTGATTCCAAAAGCTTTGTCTTAGTCTTTAAATCACTCCCATTTGTTTTCAGCATTTCGATAATGTTGTTGAGCACTTTTTTGATATCTTTCTGTGATCTCATAGTTCTCTTCTGACCTGAGTGCTACTTCTGTCTTATTTGTACCATGCCTTCCCCTCCTGCCCACTAAAGAGTAGGCAGGTTATGCTCTTGGAATTTTGTTTTCTCTACATGCTCTGATGGTGGTTATTCATTCTTAGCATCAGGTATTACCTTAGTGTAGAATACAGACTCCCAAATATCTCTATCACTATTATCTCTGCATCACTCCAGATACATCTCCCAGTGCTTGCTGAGATTCCCCATCGTGTCCTCTGAGTGCTTCAAAGCAAGCTCATCATTTCTTGATACTTGCTCTTCCTTTAATGTTTCCTCTTTCTGATAATGACCTCATTCTCTGAGGTATGTAAGTTTAAAACCTTAATGTTTTGTCTTGTCTCATCTTTTCCTTTCACTTGTTCTACATACTGTTTCATACAATGGGATTTATCTGTTCTTCTTTCACAATACCCCTATATCCCCTGCTTATAATTAATTCCTTTGAGAGCCTCCTTTTTCCTGAGACTGAATGTCTTCCAAGTTCCTCTACTATGAGTTCCTCCAATCCAGTCTACTTACTGCTGTAAAAGAAATCACATCCCTGGCCTGACACAGTGGCTTACGCCTGTAATCCCAGCACTTTGGGAGGCCGAGGCGGGCGGATCACGAGGTCAGGAGATCGAGACCATCCTGGCCAGCACGATGAAACCCCGTCTCTACTAAAAATACAAAAAAAATTAGCTGGGCATGGTGGCGGGCGCCTGTAGTCCCAGCTACTCGGGAGGCTGAGGCAGGAGAGTGGTGTGAACCCGGGCGGCAGAGTTTGCAGTGAGCCGAGACTGCACCACTGCACTCCAGCCTGGGCAACAGAGCGAGACTCCGTCTCAAAAAAAAAAAAAAAAAGAAATCACATCCCTGATCTTCCTTCCACACTCATAAACTTTCATTGTTTGTAGAATTGCTTACGGAATAAGGTTTGACACTCTTGACTATGGCATTCAGAGCCCTCTTAGTTTTTTATCAGCCTACTTTTATAGATTTGCTCCCAAAATTGCTTAGTAAACCAGATCAATGTTACTAGAATATATAGTGATTTTTTTCCCTGACTGCTGTCCTTTGATCATCCTGAGCAGTCAAAAGAGAACTTTCACAAGTTCCTAAACCATTTTTGACCCCATTTCTCATCTACCTACCACTTCATTTCTTTTTTTGGCACACTCTTGAACTCAACTCCAGTCAGGCATTTATCTCCACTGCTCTATCCAAACTTATTTTGTCAAGGTCATAAATTACTTCCATGTAGCTAATTCCAAAAGTCAGTTCTCAGTTCTTACTGTACTTGATTTAGCAGCATTTAACTTTTTTTTTTTTTTTGGAGATACAGTTTCACTCTGTCCCCCAGGCTGGAGGCAATGGCAAGATCTCGGTTCACTGCAACCTCTGCCTGGTTCAAGCAATTCTTGTCCCGAGTAGCTAGGATTACAGGCTTGTACCACCACATCCAGCTAATTTATTATTCTTATTATTCTTATTATTTATTTTTAGTATCTTTAGTAGAAACAGGGTTTCACCATCTTGGCCAGGCTGTTCTCAAACTCCTGAACTCAGGTGACCCGCCTGCCTCAGCCTCCCAAAGTGCTAGGATTACAGGCATGAGCCACCATGCCTGGCCATTGTTCTGTACTCTCTCTTCCTTGAAATGCTTTTTTCTTGGCTTCTAGGCTACTAATTCTCTTCTTTATTGGACTCTCCTCAGCATCCTCTGCTTTCTCATCTTCATATCCTGTACTCTTTGGAGTGTTCTCAGAGTTTAATCCTATATCTGTTTCCTAGATAATCTTATCTATCCCATAGCTTCAAATATAATTTATGTAACTCACAAATTTACTGTATTTTTTTTTTTTTTTTTTTTTTTTTTTTTTTTTTTTTGAGACGGAGTCTCGCTCTGTCGCCCAGGCTGGAGTGCAGTGGCGGGATCTCGGCTCACTGCAAGCTCCGCCTCCCGGGTTCACGCCATTCTCCTGCCTCAGCCTCCCAAGTAGCTGGGACTACAGGCGCCCGCCACTACGCCCGGCTAATTTTTTGTATTTTTAGTAGAGACGGGGTTTCACCTTGTTAGCCAGGATGGTCTCGATCTCCTGACCTCGTGATCCGCCCGCCTCGGCCTCCCAAAGTGCTGGGATTACAGGCGTGAGCCACCGCGCCCGGCCAAATTTACTGTATTTTTATCAGTTCTGAGGTTCATAATTATTTCAGATCTTAGCATTTCTGAAATTGGAATGCATTTGTATGAAGACATATTATAATTAACAACCTTTTTTTTCTTTGTTGGCACATAAAGTAGTACGTATTACAATTGATAGTCTTTTAGAATTTGAAATATATATCCAGCCCATGCCTTTTTCCTGAACTTGTATATAAAACTGCTTTCTCGGCCGGGTGCAGTGGCTCACGCCTGTAATCCCAGCACTTTGGGAGGCCAAGGCGGGCGGATCACAAGGTCAAGAGATCAAGACCATCCTGGCCAACATGGTGAAACCCCGTCTCTACTAAAAATACAAAAACTAGCTGGGCGTGGTGGCAGGCACCTGTAGTCCCAGCTACTTGGGAGGCTGAGACAGGAGAATTGCTTGAACCCGGAAGATGGAGGTTGCAGTGAGCAGAGATCATGCCACTGCACTCCAGCCTGATGACAGAGCGAGACTCCATCAAAAAAACAAAACAAAACTGCTTTCTCAGCATCTATCATCTTATATCTGATAAGCATTTCAAACTGAATCTATCTAAAAATGAGCTCTCCCCTGCCATCCTGTTTGTGGCAACTCTGTCATTCCAGTTGCTTAGTCCAAAAACCTCTTCTTTCTCTCATAATGTATATCTGATCCATTAGCAAATTCTGTAGGCCCTACCTTTAAAATCCATCCAGAATCCATTTACCTTCACTGCTACCATCCCCATCTCTCAGGGGATTATGGAATAGCCTCCTGTTGTCTGTCTGATTTTAACAAAAGAGCCGGAGCGACCCTGTCACCCTCTGCTCATAAATTCTCCTGTGGCTTTCTATCAACTCAGAGTAAAACCCAGTATCCTTCCCATGATCTATAGGGCCTCATGTGATCTGGTCTTCTACTACCTCTCTCAAACCTCATTTCCTACCCTTTTTTTCCACTTAATTCCCTCCTCTCTGATTCCACCTCCATGCAACATGCCAGGCACACTTCTTACATCAAGGACTTTGCACTTATTCTTCCCTCTAACTTGGATGTTTTTCCCTTGGTATATTATTCTGCATGTCAAGAAGAATTAGTTACAGAATATTCTTTGATTATAGGGCCTTTTGTAGTTTTTGTGGTGTGTTGTATGGAAACATACATATAGCTGTATTGAACATTGTACAAAACAAATATTAGAAGATAATTTATATATTTGAAAGTCTCCAGTAGGCACACTTAAACCCTTCTTTCAGGTCTTTAATCAAATGTAACCTTCTCAAGGAGGACTTTTCTGGCCTCTGTCTAAATTTTTTTTTTTTTTTTTTTTTTTTTTTTTGAGACAGTCTCCCTCTATTGACCAGGCTGGAGTGCAGTGGTGCAATCTCAGCTCACTGCAACCTCCGCCTCCCAGGTTGAAGTGATTCTCCTACCTTGGCTTCCGGAGTAGCTGGGACTACAGGCGTGTGCCACCATGCCCAGCTAATTTTTTTGTATTTTTAGTAGAGCGCAGTGGCTCATGCCTGTAATCCCAGCACTTTGGAAGGCCAAGATGGGTGGATTGCCTCTGTCTAAAATTTTACACATTGGCCCCACTTCTCTTCTTAGCTCTATTTTTTGAATTCAACATTATCTAAATACTACTGTATATTTTGCTTATTTGTCTTGGTTATTATCTGGCTCTTCTCCTTGAATATAATGGGGATTTTTGTTTTAATCACTATTGCTTACCCAACAACTAGAACAATAACTCAGATTTAGCAAGTGTTCCAAAAACTACTTTTTTGAATACTTGTTTTCTTCACCTTTTTTCCTTTTCAGATTCCATGTGTCCTTCAAAGCCCAGTTCAAATGCCATCCCCTAGAATTCTTTCAGGGTGTCTGAGCAAGAAGTTATCTCTACATCTCTCTTCTTGTTTCATTTTACATATTTCTTTTAAAGAATATATTTAGCCTTATAGTTAATTTTTCTTTTATAAATCATAGTGCTGGCACTGGGCAAATACCTACTAAATGAAGAAAACATGTAGCAGAGTTACTTTATATGATAGTTCTTCTATTAAACTTTTTTTTTTTTTTTTTGAGATGGAGTTTCTCTCTGTCACCAGGATGGAGTGCAGTGGTGCAATCTCGGCTCACTGCAACCTCCGCCTCCCGGGTTCAAGCGATTCTCCTGCCTCAGCCTCCTAAGTTGCTGGGACTATAGGCGCGTGCCACCATGCCTGGGTAATTTTTGTATTTTTAGTGGAGACGGGGTTTCACAATGCTGGCCAGGATGGTCTCCATCTCTTGATCTTGTGATCTGCCCACCTCGGCCTGCGAAAGTGCTGAGATTACAGGCCTGAGCCACTGTGCCCGGCTTATTAAACTTTTTAAGCTTTTTGTTTACCAAAACTTTATTTATATAAAAGTTCAAAATAAACATGCAAATTGACTAACTGTAGACAGTCCTCAGTTTTGTTTAATCCACACAGTGTTGGTCTGAGCAATGGTCTAAATTTCTTAGATGCCAATATTTTAAAACTGGGAAATTTTTACTTAAAAATCTCAAGTTTCAGGTTTCCCTGGGAAACAGTGAATGTATCTGGCAGTGCCAGCCTTGCATCATCACATAACAACAATCATCTAAAGCTGAGTTATAACCATACTCTTAGATGAGGGACATGCTCCCCAGTTCAGCAGTCCCTGTCACTCGTTGTTGTCTCCTCAACACTGAGAGTCTAATGACAGTTACCACTATTGTGTGGCCTATTTACCTCTTTCATGTTACCTTTCTTGTTCCTATGGTTATTTCAGTTTGCAACCCCAGCTTTGAAAGAATATGTCCATTCCTTTAAAATGATGGTTAGGTGAATAAGCTATTATCTAAAAAGCTAAGGTGTGAAGCTTGATTTCACTGAAATGTTTTCAAGTAACTCTTTTATTAATTTGATATTAGGGAAAATTTTGAGTAACATTAGAGTTTAAAACATTATCATTGGTTGTATAGATGCTCCTCCTCCTACTTGGGAACAGCTGGAAAATGGGCTGGTTGCTGTGCGTACAGTGGTACATGGGCTGGTTGATTATATCCAGAACCACAGCAAAAAAGGAGCAGATCAGCAGCAGGTAAGGAAGCTGTTTAAAACTTAGAGTTAACCCACTGTGGATATGCCTTAAAACTATAGGTAAACCACTGTGGGTATACCTACAGATACAAAGCCAAAAAGATAACATGAACATTTTGAGACTCTGAGTATAGAAACTGTAAATTACCTTGGCATGGTTAACAGTTTACTGCATTAGGCTGATAACTTTATCTGACAATATTGACATTAAATAATCCTTATTGATCTGATGTCATGCTGGGGTCAGTCTTCACATTGGATATGGCAGCATTTGATGGAGAAAATGGATTCAGTGCTGAAGTTTATTCCATTTATATAAGATTATTATTCTCTTTAGTTTGTTTAACATTTTGGTTTGACAATAAGTATCACTTTTTAGTGCTAATACTGTGTCTTTCCAATACTGTTCAAATTTCTATAGATTTTCTTATTAATATTTTAAGATTTTTTTCATTCATAATGTCTTATGCCATTGGGCCAAATCTCCCTCAAAGTTTTTAGATGAAAATACGATGGTAGAATATAATAACTTCTTATAGCTAGAGTTTTAAATTTTATTCCCAGTAATTTTATTTTGCTCTCAGGATTTATATTAGGTTCATTAGATCTTTTATTTTGCAGTAGTAAGCCTGTGAACGTAAAACTCTTAATTTACCTGGTTCAGGTAAATATAAATAGGTTACTCAGTATTCCTTTTTGCTTAAGAGGCAAGAAATATAAAAATTATCCTGCTAAGTAAAATAATCTGGATATGATTTTCCTAACCTATCTAACACAGGTCAAAGCTTTATTTATGAATAGGCATAAAAGAAAGGAGAACCTACAGTTTTTAACTCTCTGTTTCATTAGACATCTTGAAGAAAATAACAAGAGTAATGAGACTAACCTTTAAAGTCTGCCATATAGTGATAAAATACACTAAATTTTGTCCAGTTTAGTGTTGTGTCTCATATTTCATTAACTTTCAAATCCATCCTCCTGCCTTATCCTTGAGTTATAAATAATAAGTGTCATTTGTACTTTTGGAACTATTTTAAGTTCTTCATATATTATTCTGCATGTCAAGAAGAATTAGTTACAGAATATTCTTTGATTATAGGGCCTTTTGTAGTTTTTGTGGTATGTTGTATGGAAACATACATATAGCTATATTGAACATTGTACAAAACAAATATTAGAAGATAATTTATATATTTGAAAGTCTTAAACTACAGTGGTTTGTTTTTTCATTATAAAATGTGGAAATGGGCTGGGCACAGTGGCTCACACCTGTAATCCCAAGCACTTTGGGAGGCTGAGGCAGGCGGATCATTTGAGGTCAGGAGTTTGAGACCAGCCTGGCTAACATGATGAAACCCTGTCTCTACTAAAAATACAAAAATTAGCCAGGTGCGGTGGTGGACACCTGTAATCCCAGCTACTCAGGAGGCTGAGGCAGGAGAATCGCTTGAGCCGGGGAGGTGGAAGTTGCAGTGAGCCAAGATTGCGCCGCTGCCCTCCAGCCCGGGCAACAGAGTAAGACTCCTTCTCAAAAAAAAAAAAAAAAAAAGTGGAAATGAGATCATAGTGTCCCCATGAGCTTTTTCTTTTTCCATATAATACAAGTATAAGAATGCCCATGAGATTTATTCAAGAATTTATATTATGCTACTTGTTTGAGAATTAATATCAACATATCAGAAAAATTAGGACTACCTTCTTTGTTTTTGCTTTATTTATATTTGGACTTTGAAACTTCAGACAGAATGACTTTCCAGCACTTTTGCTCTTGGTAATCTAAATAAATATGTGAATTACTTATCTAGATTATCAAGATCCTAAAATGACAACACAAAATTTATGTTTTTTTGTGGGGGGTTATTACACATCTAATGTTTTGATTTTGGTTTTAGCCTCCACAGCATAGCAAATACAAAACATACATGTGTCGAGATATGAAGCAGAGAGGAGGATGCCCTCGTGGGGCCAGCTGTACATTTGCACACTCACAGGAGGAACTGGAAAAGTAAGTGTGAAAGTCAGGAGACTTTGGAATAAGGTGTAAGTGGAATAATTCGCTGACATACAGAAATACAGAAAGAGTAGCTGCTTTATCTTAAATGAATAGGACATTTTTAGAATGTAACACAGCTTGAACATTCCTATTCTGAAAATCTGAAATGCTTCAAAATCCAAAAATGCTTGAAAGCCAACTTGACACCACAAGTTGAAAATTCCACACTTGACCTTGTGATGGATAGCAGTCAAAACTTCATGCACAAAATTATTTAAAATAATGTATAAAATTACTTTCAGACTATGTGTAAAAGATGTATATGAAATATAAATGAATTTCATGTTATATATTTGGGTCTTATCCCCAAGACATCTCCTTATGTATATGCAAATATTCCAAAATCCAAGACAAATCCAAATCTTGAAACACTTCTGGTCTCAAGCATTTCGGGTAAGAGATATTCAACCTGTACATAATTTTTAAAAATGAAAAGCAGTTTCTTCAGCTTTTATTGCATCATGCCTATAGATAGGAAACTATTTTATGATTAGCTAAATCTAAAAGTGGGTCATTTTCACTACAAAAAAAATTAAAATTATAATAATTTTAATCAATTTTAACTTAATTTAACTAATTGCATGATGTATTTCCAGTGGAAAATTTTGCCCTTGGCTCAGTTTAACAGATTCTTTTAAACTTCAAGGACAAGATAATTTCAGGGATGTTAAATTTTTCAGCTCATTGAAGAAAGAAAGGAAAAACCTCTTAATTTTTTTTATTTTTATTTTATTTTATTTTATTTTTTAAAAATAGAGACAGGGTCTCCCTATGTTGCCCAGGCTGGTCTCAAACTCCTGGGCTTAAGGGAGCCTCCTGCCTTGGCCTCCCAAAGTGCTAGGATTACAGGCAGGAGCCACCACACCCACCGCCTCTTAATTTATTTATAAATCCAATGTAACACTTTCATTAAATTTGACAAAGATAACACAATTAAAACTGCAAATCTACTGCAAGTATTAATATTAAAAATCTCAAAAATTTAAATATAATTCAGTAATACATTACAATAGATGCCATGTCTAAGGGCATAACACCCTGAATCCACCTGAGCTCATCTGATCTCGGAAGCTAAGCATGGTCAGGCCCAGTTAGTACTTGGATGGGAGACTACCTGGGAATATTGGGTGCTGTAGGTTTTTTTTTTTAATATAAATAATATAATTTTTTTTTAAAGAAAAGAAAATAGATGCCATGACTCTGCAAAAGTAGTACAATATAATTATCACAACTTAGAAAATAACATGATAATATCCAAAAAATGCCAAAGGCCTTTGAATAAAATTGAATGTCAATTAAAAATCAAATTCCAGCCAGGCGCCGGTGGCTCCCAGCACTTTGGGAGGCTGAAGCGGGCGGATCACAAGGTCAAGAGATTGAGACCATCCTGGCCAACATTGTGAAACCCCGTCTCTACTAAAAACACAAAAATTAGCTGGGTGTGGTGGCATGCGCCTGTAGACCAAGCTACTCGGGAGGCTGAGGCAGGAGAATCGCTTGAACCCGGGAGGTGGAGGTTGCAGTGAGCCGAGATTGCACCGTAGCACTCCAGCCTGAACGACAGTGCGAGACTCTGTCTCCAAAAAAAAAAAAAAAAAAATCAAAATTCCTTAATACAACAGAAATGCCATACTTTCTCAGCATGGTAATAAATTATATTATAAATCAGAAGCCAACATAATAGTATGATGCTTAATTAGTAAAATATTCGATTCACTCTCATTAAAGTCAAGGATAAAGCAAAATTTTCTGCTAGTAATTAGTAGTAAAATTTTCTACCACTGTTATTTAACATTGTGGAAGTAGTAGCTAATGTATGTAAGAAAGAATAACATAGCCATAAAATTATTGGGAAAAACTTTAGTACTAGAAACAAAAGAAATGAGAATTTAGTAAGATGGCAAATTTTAAAAATCACAAACATGAATTGCCCTCGTGTAAACTAAAAAGAGAAACATAACCAGTTTAAAAATAAGTTAAAATTAAGGATCTCTTCCAGGGTGTATATAAATTGAACCAATAAATTACCTAGGAACATAAGAGAAATATTGAGTAAATATACTGTGTTCTTGGATAAGGTTTGATGCTATAAAAGTTTCATTTTCCCATAAACAACAAATTCCAAGAAATCCGAATTTAAATCTCACCATGATGATGTTAAGATCCTATCAAAAATTCATTTGTAAAGAATAAATAGGTACAAATAGCAAGGAAAATTCTGAAAATTCTGGAAGTTTTAGACAGGAACTAGACTAATAACTATTTACCTGTATTATGGACTACAGTGAATAAAAGACTTTAGTCTTTTGCGTAGGAATAGATAGATTAATGAAATGCAATAGAGAATCTAGGAGGAGTTTGAGATGCATATAGGAGCTTAGCATATGTGCTAAAGGTGGCATTTCACATCAGTGACCAAATGAATGATGGAAAATAACTGTCACCTATTTGAAAAATAGAGCTGGATTCTTACCACAATCTTTATACTAAAATGAACTCTAGATGTATAAGAGATTTAAATATTTAGGAAGGCAAGAAACCACAGAGTAGTTAAGAGGATTTTTGTTTGTTTGTTTTTAGTTGTTAAATAAGGAAAGAAGGAAAAGATTTTTTTAAGAACTGCAACCCAGCATCCATAAAGGAAAAGATTGATAAATTTGATTACATAAAAATTATAAAACTAAGATATGGTACAAATACAGTTTTTTATAAAAAGCTTGGTGAGGAAATGACACACAGAGGGCTGATATCCTAACATAAAATGAGCTCTTACAAGTCTGTAGGAAGGAGAGGAACCAATAGATTTATGGATCATAAACATAGTTTACGGAAGAAATACTAATGGCCAATTATCCTGTGAAACTATGTTCAATCTCACTAGTTGTTAAAGAAATGCAAATTAAAGCAACTTAGTATTTTTGGACTACCAAATTAACAAGACCAGTGCTACCCAGTATTTGATGAGGTTTTGAAAGACGTTTTTCTTCATGATCAGTAGGACTTAAAATAGTTTTAGAGAGCAGTATGACATAAAAATTTCTAATTTGCGTGCTCTTTGACCTCATTCTGCCTTTGCTTATTTGGTTATTCACACAGGGTGCAAGTACATGTTCATAATTATCTGTTACTTTTTTTTTGAGACAGGGTCTTACTCTGTCTCCCAGGCTGGAGTGCAGTGATGCAATCATGGCCCACTGCAGCCTCGACTTCCAGGCTCCAATGATCCTCTCACCTCAGCCTCCCGAGAAGCTGGGACCACAGGTGCATGCCACCATGCCCAGCTAATTTTTGTATTTTTGGTAGAGACAGTTTTCCCATGTTTCCCAGGCTGTTCTTGAATACCTGAGCTCAAGTGAATCCACCCACCTCAGCCTCCCAAAGTGCTGGGATTACAGGCGTGAGCCATTGTGCCCAGCACATTATTTTAATAGCCAAAAAAAACCCAACCAGCCTAAAATGAACTGACATAAAGGGATGTCTAAGATTATTAAGTGGAGGGAAAAATTAGCAGTAATATATGACTCAACTGCTGCAAATAATAATCTTATATGAATATAAAGCTAATGTATAAAGGAACAATTCCATATAATGATACACTAGACTTTCAACAATAATTACCCCTGAGGGGTAGTTTTCTCCCCAACCTCAGAAATTTGTCAGTTTTGGGAAACGTGGAAAAATAGCATTATTACTCTGATGGGGTTTTATTTATTTTTTTATTTACTTTTTTTTTTTGTTTTTTGAGACAGGGTCTCGCTCTGTCGCCCAGGCTGGAGTGCAGTGGCACAATCTCGGCTCACTGCAACCTCCGCCTCCCGGGCTCAAGCAATTCTCCTGTCTCAGCCTCCTGAGTAGCTGGGACTACAGGTGCCTGCCACCACACCCAGCTAATTTTTGTATTTTTAGTAGAGATGGGGTTTCACCATATTGGTCAGGCTGGTCTTGACTCCTGACCTCAGGTGATCTGCCCGCCTCGGCCTCCCAAAGTGCTGGGATTACAGGTATGAGCCACCGCGCCAAGCCGAGGTTTTATTTTTCAAAATAAAAATGCATTAGCAGTTGTAAATGGACTTGCTTTCATTGTTGAGGAACAAAGATCCTGGAGTCTGATGGCTTATATTTTTTCCTTTGGTTAGATTTCAGAATCGATGTGCTTGTTGTACCACAGCATCTCTTTAAACCCAGGCAATTATTCTGTATTGGTTCCATTAACCTACTTTTAAAATAACTTTAATTTTGTATTGGCATACATAACATCAGCATCTCTGAAGCAGTTCTAATAAAAGTCACTATCCTTAATTGCTTAAATTTTTTTTTGAAACAGGGTCTCACTGTGTTGCCCAGGCTGGAGTACAGTGGTGCAATCTTGGCTCACTGCAACCTCTGCCTCAGGCTCAAGTGATCCTCCCGCCTCAACCTCCCGAGTAGCTGGGACCACAGGCATGCACCACCACACCCGGTTAAGTTTTTATATTTTTGGTAAAGACAAGGTTTCACCATGTTGCTCAGGCTAGTCTCAAACTCCTGAGCTCAAGTGATTCGCCCGCTTCAGCCTCCCAGAGTGCTGGGATTACTGGTGTGAGCCACAGTGCCTGGCTGCTTAAATTTTTTAACAGAGTAAATGACAAATGTTTCACAGTGCATACTGGCTTTGTTTTTCTTTTATTCCTAATTTTTTAACATTGGCTCATTGTATCCCAAGGCATTTGAGGGAGAGCTGAAGTAAAATATTTCAGAAACTATCTTCTAAAGATTTTTCTACTAGCTTCTCCAATAAGTTTTAGAAATACAAATGTCCACAGAAATATATTATAGCAAAAATATTAATAGCATAATTTATAATATGACAAATGTTACTCTTTTTTTTGAGACAGAATCTCGCTCTGTCGCCAGGCTGGAGTTCAGTGGTGTGATCTCGGCTCACTGCAACCGCTGTCTCCCAGGCTCAAGTGATTCTCCTGCCTTAGTCTCCCTAGTAGTTGGGACCACAGGCACACGCCACCACACCCAGCTAATTTTTGTATTTTTATTAGAGACGGAGCTTCACCATGTTGGCCAGACTGGTCTCGATCTTAACCTCGTGATCCGCCTGCCTCGGCCTCCCAAAGTGCTGGGATTACAGGCATGAGCCACAGCACCCGGCCTATGTTACACATTTTTATGAGGAATTTTATACTTAATATGTCTTGCTGCTAGAGATTTTATGCAAAATATACACACTGATAGAGTTAATGTTTCAAGAGAGAATATTTCTAGAAAATAATATTAAGTACATTTTAGTTCTTGGTTTTGCTTTTATATTTGCTTTTTGATATGTGCCTATGCTTTTTATATAGATTTCGTAAAATGAATAAGCGCCTGGTTCCGAGAAGACCCTTGAGTGCCTCTTTGGGTCAACTTAATGAGGTGGGCCTGCCTTCAGCAGCTATCCTTCCAGATGAAGGTGCAGTGGATCTCCCTAGCAGAAAACCTCCTGCTCTGCCAAATGGAATTGTATCAACAGGGAATACAGTAACACAGCTTATTCCGCGAGGGACAGACCCCAGCTATGATTCTAGTCTGAAACCAGGAAAAATAGATCATCTGAGCAGTAGTGCTCCTGGATCCCCTCCTGACCTGTACGTCATTTTTCTAACTCTTATTTCAAAATTTCTTCTTCATAAAGTCGAAGGAAGATAGAATAATTAATGTTTGGGATTTAAAAAAAAAAAACCCTGATTATTTTTTTTGGCCTTTATTTTGTTGCTTTTTTATTTCCCATGCTAGTGTTTTTTAAGAAACAATTAGCATAGCCAGGCATGGTGGCACATGCCTATAATCCCAGCACTTTGGGAGGCTGAGGTGGACGGGTCACTTGAGGCCAGAAGTTCGAGACCAGCCTGGCCAACATGATGAAACCCATTTCTACTAAAAATACAAAAATTAGCCAGGCATGGTGGCACATGCCTGTAATCCCAGCTACTTGGGAGGCTGAAGCATGAGAATCGCTTGAACCCAGGAGGCGGAGGTTGCAGTAAGCCGAGATTGCACCACTGCACTCCAGCCTGGGTGACAGAGCGACAGAGCAACAGAGCGAGACTCTGTCTCAAAAAAAAAAGAAAAGAAACAATTAACATAGGGGAAATAAGATTTAAAAATTGCAAATTTTGTAGAAGGGAGGACTATTAGAATAAGTGAGTTTCCCAAATTGTAGCAATCTTTTTTACTTGTAACAATTTATGCACATGAGAAGTATTTTTTAAACAACTTCCATAATATTATTCCCTTAGGCTAGAATCTGTTCCTAAGAGTATTTCTGCCTTACCTGTGAATCCACATTCTATACCTCCAAGGGGGCCAGCAGATCTGCCTCCAATGCCTGTTACCAAACCACTTCAGATGGTACCTCGAGGTTCTCAGTTATATCCAGCACAACAGACGGATGTTTATTATCAGGATCCTCGAGGAGCAGCTCCGCCATTTGAACCAGCACCTTATCAGCAGGGTAACGATTTTAAATTTATATTGCTAACTTTTCTTAGGAATTATCAGAACTGTTCTTCAGGTCAGAGTGATCATTTACACAGTAGCCTCTTTAAGATAAGTAAATGTATAAATGCATTTTTTAATACTTTGGAAAAATTGAGATTTTATGATTAACTAAATACTATGAAATAAATGAAACAAAGTAATAAAAATCAAACCGCCATATCTACTAAAAGCAGTTGCATAATACATGTGTTCATATATAATATTTATGGAAATAACAAGTTACACAAGTAGGCAATGGAAATTTGCTGAGTAAGGCAGCATATATTCTCCTGACCAAAATTTTCTTCAAGCATGAAAAAAGAATTAATATTATAGTGTGTGTAAATTAAACACCCACAGTACATTTTTCTTCTTTTAATTATTATTTTTCTGGGCCCTGTAATATATATGAAAAAATGCAGCATACACACCTTTAGAGAGTTTACAGAATAGAATAAATAATGGTAAAGAATAGAAAACTATATGCATGAGTAGTAGATGCATGTGTGTGGTGTTTATGTATGTGTTAAAAATTAAGTGATCTGTTGTGGTTAATATTAGCTTGATAGAGATTGACTGAAAGACTCAAGGGAGATCATTGAGAACTTGAGGAATCAAAAAGACTTAATGGAAGAAATGCCCTAGAGGTATTTGGAATAGAAAAAAAAAAGTTATGAATGGATTGGAAAAATGAGAGTTGAGTTAGGAGGCTGTTAATCCTGGTGTGAGTACTGACGAATTAGTGTGGTGGGAAAGGAGAAGAAGGGATTTCAAAAATAGACAAATTTGAAAATTAGCCAGCTTTAATGATAATACCAGGTATGGAGAATGAAGGAAAGAAAATAAACTAACGTTTTACATATATAGTTTATATGTAAAATAAACACTGAATGATTTTAAGTGTTGGATCTCTCTGTCAGAAGCAGTATAGTACTATAATTTTTAAAATGGGAATAGATTAAAAGTGCTGTCTTCTTTTTCCGAGTCTGTCATTTAATTTTGAATCATGTTGTCTTCTCTACATTCATTCATGAGAATGTTTTTTAATTGATATGGCATTACTAATTCATGCAAAATATGATAAAACGTGATTTGTATCTTCCTTTGACCATCCATTATAGGAAAAAATGCAACTCTTTTTGTAGCCTGTTTTCAATTTTAGGTAAATTATTTTAGCTATATTAAGCAGAAAGAGATTTAGTGCAGGAGTTAGGTGCCTGCCATATTGGTGGAGGTACTAAAGAAGCAAACAGTGCTCCAGAGTTAGCTGCCAAGAGAACTTGTTACAATGAAGAAGCAGTAGAAGTAGAAACTTCTGTCCTAACTGCTTAATTCCAAGATCACGTCATTTGAGGCAAAAGTTGGAAAACTGAGAAACTATTGCCACAACTGTTGTCTCAAGAACTGTAGAGCCAAGCAGTAGCTACTAATCTGCGCCAGCAAAATTGGCCTTTTGTGTTCCATGTCTCCTCCCAGTTATTTCAGTTTCAAATTCAAAACTCATGCAAGTGATTGATTTGTGGAACCTGACTTCAAGGATATCTGGGAAATGTAGTTTTTTTGTTTTCCAGTGTCTTCATTGCATTAAGACACACCAGAAAGAGGGTCAAACAATGAGAGCCAATCTACTATTATAGATTATAAGTAGGGTAGTTTTTTCAATGACTTTTACAGATAATTTTTGCTTATTTTTTAAAAAGCTAACCTGATTATATAAGCAGATGGAAAACTCGTAAAGAAATAAGTAGATTATCAATACTTTAGTGTTTCAGTATTTTAAAAGGTAAAATCTTACATAGAAAACTAAATTGGCTCATTATTTGCTTTTGGGTCCTCTTTTGTATTGTGCAGGTATGTATTATACTCCACCACCACAATGTGTGTCCCGCTTTGTCCGACCTCCACCATCTGCTCCTGAACCTGCTCCTCCCTACTTGGATCATTATCCACCCTACCTCCAAGAACGTGTTGTAAACTCTCAGTATGGCACACAGCCACAGCAGTACCCACCTATATACCCATCTCACTATGATGGCCGTCGAGTGTACCCTGCTCCGTCTTACACAAGAGAAGAGATATTCCGAGAAAGCCCTATACCCATTGAGATTCCACCTGCAGCAGTACCATCGTATGTACCAGAATCCAGAGAAAGATACCAACAGATCGAGAGTTACTATCCAGTGGCTCCTCATCCAACTCAGATCAGACCTTCGTACCTCAGAGTATGCTGTATTTTTTTTTATTACATAGACTTAATTTGACTGTTGCTTGCTGTGATTCCTTACTTTTTATGCAATGACAATAACCCTTTGATGAATTCTTTTTTATAAGAGAGCTTCTTTTTTTTTTAAATCTTTTCATAATTTGGGTATTTTTTTTTTTTAAACTATATAATGAGAAAAAAATCTGCCTCCTCCCCACAATTAACCTTTCTTAGTTTCTGAACTTTAGATGGTTTAATTAACAATTCTAGATCTACTTGGTAATTATGACCAAATAAAAGAAACCTAAATTTAGCTATTTGGAAGATCTTGAGAGTTTGGGGGGTTTTGTTTTACTTTGTTCTGTTAAGTGTTGGTGTTTCCAAATGTTAAGAAGGGTATACAAGCTGTTTCATAACTTAAAATATACGCTGAGTATATTAAATGAATTAATCTGTCCTGAAATTCTCTTTCAATTTTAACTAATCTTTCTATTTTTAGGAACCTCCTTATAGCCGGCTTCCTCCTCCTCCCCAGCCTCATCCTAGTCTAGATGAACTACATCGCCGACGAAAGGAAATAATGGCCCAGCTAGAGGAAAGAAAGGTTATCTCTCCACCTCCTTTTGCACCTTCACCAACCTTGCCTCCTACCTTTCATCCGGAAGAAGTAAGCAAATCATTTTTAGTCTCATTTATCCGTGTTTTTTTGTGTGTGTCCGGTTTAAGTCATCTTTGCCTATTCCCAATGGTGTGAAGATTTTTTTTCCTGTTTTCCTCTGAAAGGTTTTTTATCATTTAACTCTACAATCCATCTAGAACTGATTTTTGTATGTATGTAATGTAATGCATTAGGAGTCAAGATCTTTTTTTTTGTTCCTGTAAGGCACTGACTCGGCACAATTTAATGAAATCAGCATGCTTTCCCTGGTGTCCTGCTTTATCATAATCAGGTGACCACACATGTGTTTCCTGACCCTATTCTTTTCCGTCAGTCTATTTCTATCCTTGAACCGATGCCACATTCTCTTCGTATAGTTTTATAATAAGTCTCAATATGTGGTGGTTATATTTTCTAGTATTGTTATTTTTCAAGAATCAGCACGTTGATTTCCACAAAAATATCTGCTTCAATTTTGATTAGGATTACATCAGATCTGTAAATCTGTGCTGTCCAGTATGGTAGCCACTAGCCACATGTGGCTGTTGAACATGTAATATGTGGCCAGTTTAAGTTCAGATGTACTATAGTCATCAAATACACACTGAATTCAAGGATTTCATACCAAAAATGTAAAATTCATTAATATTTTTGATACATTGGATTAAATAAAATTATTAAAATTAATTTCACCTGTTTTTGTTGTTAATGTGGCCACCAAAATGTTTTAATTTTATATGTGGATCACATATTTCTATTAGACAGTGTTGCTTTATTTTTATTTATTTATTTTTTTGAGACAGAGTCTCACTCTGTCACCCAGGCTGGAGTGCAATGGCGCATTTTTGGTTCACTGCAGCCTCTGCTTCCCAGGTTCAAGCAATTCTCATGCCTCAGCCTCCCAAGTAGCTGGGACTGCAGGTGCACACCACCATTCCTAGCTAATTTTTGTATCTTTTTTTTTTTTTTTTTTTTTTTGAGTCGGAGTCTCATTCTGTTGCCCAGGCCAGAGTACAGTGGTGCAATCTCAACTCACTGCAACCTCCACCTCCTGGGTTCAAATGATTCTCCTGCCCCAGCCTCCTGAGTAACTGAGATTACAGGCACGCACCACCACGCCCGACTATAATTTTTGTATTTTTAGTAGAGACACGGTTTCACCATGTTGGCCAGGCTGGTCTCAAACTGCTAACCTCAGGTGATCCTCCCACCTCAGCTTCCCAAAGTGTTGGGATTACAGGCATGAGACACCACGCCGGGCCTAGACAGTGTTGTCTTAGATCAATATGATGAGAAGTGACAGCTTTCTTTTTTCTGAGACAGAGTGTTGCTCTTTCGCCAGGCTGGAGTGCAGTGGTGCGATCTCAGCTCACTGCAACCACCGCCTCCTGGGTTCAAGTGATTCTCCTATCTCAGCCTCCCAAGTAGCTGGGACTACAGGCATGAGCCACCATGCCCGGCTAATTTTTTGTATTTTAGTAGAGACGGGGTTTCACCATGTTGGCCAAGATGGTCTTGATCTCTTGACCTCAGGTGATCTGCCCGTCTTGGCCTCCCAAAGTGCTGGGATTACAGGCATGAGCCACCGCGCCTGGCTGAGAAGTGACATCTTTCTAATATCAAGTCTCTATGAACATGATATACCCCTTCATTTATTTGGATTTTCTTTATACTTCATACTTCAGTGTCTTGCGCGTCTTACATTGAATTTTATTCCTCGATAACCAATGTTTTTTGAAACTATTTTAAATAGAATTGTTTGGAAATTTTTATTTTCTATTATTAATATAGAGAAATTAAATAGATTTTTATGTATTGACCCTTCTATTCAGCAGGCTTGCTAAATTTCTTTATTAATCATAATAATGTTAGTAGATTCTTTTGAATTTTCTGTGCACACAATTATGTCCTCTGAATAATCTTTTTCCCCTTTTTAATCCTTTTGTTTTGTCTTTGTCTTATTATTTTGGACTCCAGCATAATACTGAATAGAAGTGATGATAACACATATTCTTGACTCCTTTCTAATCTTTGAGTAAATGGAGCTTTTAATAATAATTTACCATTATCATGTTTGCTGTAGGCTTCTTGGTAGAAAATCTTTATCATATTTATGAAGGTTTTCTCTAATCCTAGTTTCAGATTTATTTTAAATAAGAAAGAATATCAAAGATTTATTTAACTCAGTAATGAGGAAACCAGCCAGAAAAGTTGGTTTAATGAATAGGAAAAAACAGGTAAATATAGATAGTGAAAATCAGAAAAAAAAAACAGTCAAATAAGATTGCTCAAAAAAAAAACTGGTTAATGTATCACAGGGCAATAACCATAATTTGGGGAGTCAACTTCTTTGTATTTCTGTATGACAATGCTAGTAGTTATAGTGAATAAGTGTTGTCTTATTATCTTAATGTCTAGATGGTCTACAGTGATGTTCGTTTTTCTATTTCTATATTGGTAATTTTTTTTTGTCAGTCCTGCTAGGGATTTATCAATTTTATTTGTCTTTCAAAAAGCCAACTTTTTTTTTTTTGTTTTGTGAGACAGAGTCTTGCTCTGTCGCCCAGGCTGGAGTGCAGTGGTGCGATCTCGGCTCACTGCAACCTCTGCCTTCTGGGTTCAAGCGATTCTCCTGCCTCAGCCTCCCCCAGTAACTGGTATTATAGGCATGTGCCACCACACCCAGCTAATTTTTTTGTATTTTTAGTAAAGATGGGGTTTCACCATGTTGGCCAGGCTGGTCTCAAACTCCTGACCTCAAATGATCTGCCCGTCTTGGCCTTCCAAAGTGCTGGGATTACAGGCGTGAGCTACTGTGCCCTGCCCAAAAAATCCAACTTTAAAGTAATCGTATTTGTTTTGTTGATTGTACATACTGCTTTAGCTTATAGTTTGTATTTTTTTTTTTAATAATCAAGTAAGGTTTCTCAGGATTACAGTTGATACTATGTAAGGAACTTGTCTTGCATCCTTTATGTATAGAATTATGATTCTAAACATTGCTAACTGACAAATCATGAATAATAAATGAAAATTGAGAAGTACATCACACATAGTAAATAGTATCTTGTTGGGTATATGAAGGAAGTCTACTAAATAGAAGTTGTTCACAATATCTAGTTTTCTCATCTAAACACTTTGGATGAGTTTTCCACAAAAATGTAGGTTATTAGTAAAGTCACAACATCTTCTATTAATGTAGTTTTATTTGTAAAGTAAAAACAGCCAGGTGTGCATTAGCTCACACCTGTAATCCCACACTTTGGGAGGCTGAGGTGGGAAGATTGCTTGAGCCCAGGAGTTCAAGACCAGTCTGAGCAACATAGTGAGACCCCATCCCTACAGATTTAAAAATAAAAATGAGCTAGGTGTGGTGGGACACGCCTACAGTCCCAGCTACTTGGGAGGCTGAGGTGGGAAGATCGAGAGGATCGCTTGAACCTGGGAGGTCCGTGCTATAGTGAGCTATGATTGTGCTACTGCACTCCAGCCTGGGTAACAAAGACCCTGTCTCAGAAAAATTAGAGGGGGGGAAGAAAACAGGTGTGATATTTTTTCAAAAATTCTTTATTAGAGTACACCCTGGAACTTTGTTATGCCATATTGTTTTATAAGAAATATGGAAAACAATATGACATTGTAAAAACTGAGCAGTTTTTGGTATCAAACATTCTAAACTTTGAGGTTCAGTTGTGTCCTTCACTGTGTGATCTTTTTAAAATTACTTAGCCTCCCTGAATCCTGAGGTGCACGTTTCTTCATTTATAAATCAAACATAATAAAGCCTACCTCATAGTGGTGTGGTGAAGATGAAACATAAGGCATCTGGTATGTAGCAGGCATTCAGTAAATAATTCATATTTATTATTGTTATTTTTACTCCTAATAAAAATTATAATAATGTCTGAGTATTAAGGAACATTATCTAGAATCATTTTAGTTACTGAGATGCAAAGACATATATTTAAACCTCAGTTCTGATTATAAACAACCTGAATACAAAAATTAGCCGGGCATGATGGTGGGCGCCTGTAATCCCAGCTACTCGGGAGACTGAGGCAGGAGAATTGCTTGAACCCAGCAGGCGGAGGTTGCAGTGAGCCGAGATCGCACCACTGCACTCCAGCCTGGATGACAGAACAAGACTCGTTCTCAACAAAAATTTAAAAATAAATAAATAAAACAACCTGTGTATAGTTGTACTAAATTCATACATTATAGAAATACATGATATAGAAAGAGAAGTTTCTCGAAAATCTCATTTTCTATAACCATTTATTATGTATTTAAACTTCTTATATATATTTCACCTTCTTTCTGTGCATGAACTAACATCTTTTTAGTAGACACATTATAATTGTACAAGTTTATGGGATACAGAGTGATATTTCTTTCTTTCTTTTTTTTTTTTTTTTTTTAATTTTTTGAGGTGGAGTTTCACTCTTGTTGCCCGGGCTGGAGTGCAATGGCGCGATCTCGGCTCACCGCAAACTCCGCCTCCTGGGTTCAAGTGATTCTTCTGCCTCAGCCACCCGAGGAGCTGGGATTATAGGCATGCACCACCACGCCCAGCTAATTTTGTATTTTTAGTAGAGATGGGGTTTCTCCATGTTGATCAGGCTGGTCTCAAACTCCCGACCTCAGGTGATCCGCCTGCCTTGGCCTCCCAAAGTGATATTTCAATACATATATACAATATGCAATGATGAAAGCAGGGTAATTAGCATATCATCTCAAACATTTATCTTTTATTTATTTTGGGAACATTCAAAATCCTCTCTTCCTTGGACAATTGTGTATGTGATACTCACTGCTGGAAGGTCAAGGTTACAGAAATGCAGGATGCTTCCAGAGAGTTTCAGGTCACCCTTTGACTGGTAGGTAGGTAGCATTTAAGTCATTCAGAACAGTCATCCAAATTTTCTTTTCTTTTTTTTTTCTTTTTTTTTTTTTTTGAGACAGACTCTTGCTCTGTTGCCCAGGCTAGAGTGCAGTGGCACGATCTCGGCTCACTGCAACCTCCACCTCCCAGGTTCAAGTGATTCTCCTGCTTCAGCCTCCTGAGTAGCTGGGATTACAGGCATGCACCACCATGCCAGGCTAATTTTTGTATTTTTAGTAGAGGCAGGGTTTCACCATGTTGGCCAGGCTGGTCTTGATCTCCTAACCTCAGATGATCTAGCCACCTCGGCCTCCCAAAGTGTTGCGATTATAGGCATGAGCCACTGCGCCTGGCCAGTCATCCAACTTTTCTTTGAAGAAGAGAGCAGTGTTACATTTAATTGTAAATTTTTGTATTATGTAACATTGTAGGAATAACATTCTTCCTGTGGGCTAAATAAATATCTCCTTATGATTTTCAGATTTTATTTCAAGGAAAAATGCTGGGTAGATCTACTGTTGTCCTTGCTTTTTGTATCTACAACATTGTTGACATAGTGTTTATCTCAAGATTCCTTTATAAATTGGCCGGGCGCGGTGGCTCACACCTGTAATCCCAGCACTTTGGGAGGCTACAGTGGGCAGATCATGAGGTCAGGAGATCAAGACCATCCTGGCTAACAGTGAAACCCTGTCTCTACGAAAAATACGAAAACAAAACTAGCCGGGCGTGGTGGTGGGCATCTGCGGTCCCAGCTCCTCGGGAGGCTGAGGTGAGAGAATGACGTGAACCTGGGAGGCAGAGCTTGCAGTGAGCCGAGATCGCGCCACTGCACTCCAACCTAGGTGACAGAGCAAGACTCCTTCTCAAAAAAAAAAAAAAAAGCCAACATCTCTTACTGCAAACGTGATGTTGTTGTTGTTGTTGTTGTTGTTGTTGTATGAAGATTGTGGTTTCTCTTTTTTTTTTTTTTTTTTTGTGACAGAGTTTCACACTGTCGTCTGGGCTGGAGTGCAATGGCGTGATCTCGGCTCACTGCAACCTCCGCCTCCCAGGTTCAAGCGATTCTCCCGCCTCAGCCTCCCGAGTAGCTGGGATTACAGGCGCCCGCCACCACGCTTGGCTAATTTTTTGTATTTTTAGTAGGAACAGGGTTTCACCGTGTTAGCCAGGATGGTCTCGATCTCCTGACCTCGTGATCTGCCCGCCTCAGCCTCCCAAAGTGCTGGGATTATAGGTGTGAGCCACCACACCCAGCCTAAGATTGTGGTTTCTTTCTTCCTCAAATCGAAAATCATTTTGTTGATATTCCTTTCTTTTGTCAATCTATCCTAGATACTTTCCATTTTATTTTGACTTTCAAGATCCTAAGTAGAAAATTTTAAATGTTTCTGTTTTCTTAAAAAAGAGACAGGGTCTTGCTGTGTTGCCCAGGCTGGTGGTCTCAAACTCGTGGGCTCAAGCAATCCACCCACCATGCCCCGTCCAAATTTTTTATGTCATTTGTAAATAAGTAAATAAACCTGGATGGAATTGGTCTATAGAAATAATGGATAAAATTGTATATAAAGATCAGTTTATGATGTTAAAAGTTTTCTTCAAAAAAACATAATTTTTTCAAATCAGGAAAAACAATCCTCTCTTCTAGTTTTTAGAAAATATATAGTAAATTATTAACTGTACTCACCCTGCAGTGCTATAGAATGCTAGAAGTAATTCCTCCTGTGTAGCTATAATTTTGTATCTGTTAACCAAGCTCTCTCCCCTTCCCTCCCCCCATTCCCTTTCTAGTCTCTCATAACCACAGTTCCACTCTCTACTTCTGTGACTCAACTTTTTAGCTCCCACATTGAGTGAGAACATGAAATATTTGTCTTTCTGTGCCTGACCAATTTCACTTAATGTGATGTCCTCTAGGCTCATCTATGTTGCTGCAAATGACAGGATTTATTTTTTTATGTCTGAATAGTATTTCATTGTATATATACCACATTTTCTTTATCAATTCATCTGTTGCTGGATACCTAGGTTGATTCCATATCTTGGCTATTGGGAATAAAACATGAGAGTGCAGATATCCCTTCATATACTGATTTCTTTTCCTTTGAATGAATGCCCAGTAGTGGGATTGTTGGATCTCTGTATTATTATTATTATTATTATTTGAGATGGAGTCTCACTCTGTTGCCCAGGCTGGAGTGCAGTGGCATGAACTTGGCTCCCTGCAACCTCCGCCTCCCAGGTTCAAGCAATTTTCCTGCCTCAACCTCTCGAGTAGCTGGGACTACAGTCATGCACCAACACGCCCAGCTAATTTTTGTATTTTTAGTAGAGATAGGGTTTCACCACCTTGGCCAGGCTGGTCTTGAACTCCCGACCTCAGGTGGTCTGCCCGCCTCGACCTCCCAAAGTGCTGGGATTGCAGGCGTGAGCCACCTTGCCCAGCCTCATTATTATTTTTTAATAGGATCATTTAGTAAATACATCTTGGTTTTATGTCTGTCTTGCCTTTGTTTTTGTTTTTACCTAATCCATTCTCCTGGCCGTCTTTGTATGTCAGTATATAAATTTATCTCATTCATTTAAATAGCTACATATAATACACTACAGAGATTTAAAAAAGGAGCACTCTTGGCCAGGCATGGTAGCTCACGCCAGTAATCCCAGCACTTTGGGAGGCTGAGGTGGGTGGATCACCTGAGGTCAGGTGTTCCAGACCAGCCTGGCCAACATGGTGAAACCCCTTCTCTACTAAAAATACAAAATTAGCTGGGTGTAGAGGTATGCACCTGTAATCCCAGATACCTGGGAGGCTGAGTCAGGAGAATGGCTTGAACCTGGGAGGCAGAGGTTGCGTGAGCAGAGATCATGCCACTGCACTTCAGCCTGGGTGACAGAGCGAGACACCATCTCAAAAAAAAGGAGCACTGTAATTGGTAGGTCATGTGGTTTAAAAGTTGGCTGTTCTATCTAAAGTTAGTAAGTAGAAGAAAAATAAAAAAGGATAAAAATTTTTTAAATAGTAGTAGGACAAAGAAAAGGGAAGAGGTTATGAATAATAGAGACAGAAGAGTGATTGACAATGAGTGATATTAGTGAGCAGCAGACCCTATGTCAATGCAGAAGGCCAATAATGATGACTCAGAAAAGAGATGTTTTTAGTATAGCGGGAGGCATAGATCCACTTAAATGAACCAATACAAATGAACACTGATACCCCTAGATATCAGTGTATGTATGTCTTGTGATAAAATGAAAGAAACATTAAAGTTATAGTCCTAGCACTGCCCTATACTGGTATAGCCTTGGTCATATCATCTGTGTTGTCTATCATGGATTTAGGAGCTTATTAGGTAGTATACATGAAAACACTTTGAAAATGTAAAACATTTTATAAATGTGAATGTTGCAATTTTAGTGAAAATACATTAGCCTTAGAATAGCTATTCTGTTATTAGACTGGAGAACTTACCTTGAGAAGATAAAAATTAGACATCCTTTTCATCTCATTGAATCAACCTAAGGAACAGAATTTATTCAAGATATGAATTATTGCTATTAAAGAGATTTCAGTAAAAAGTTACTACATCATCATGTACTATAAAAATCAAAATTTTTAATGTTCTTGTTTACCTTGATTTTATTGAAAGAAACGTTGAGGAGGGTCTAGCAAAACTATGGCTTGGTACATATATGCTTAAATGTTTACTGATCTAATGAAGAAAAGGATGAGCAAACCCATAAAATCCTAGTTTGATTCCTGGAAGGATATTGAAATACCTTTTTTTTTTTTTTTTTTTTACCTTCTGCTAAGGTAAAAAAAAAAAACAAAAAAAAAAAACCTGAAAGCTAAAAATCACTCTTCACTTATTTTATATTTTTCATAGTAGTTTACAAAAATCTTCTATTGTGGCACTTAAAAATCAAATAATCATCATTATGTTGCTTCAGCACGATGTTCTAAGAAATTCCCTGCTTTCTCTGTCTTGTTACTCATAGACCCATTTCCTGTTTTGTTTCTTTCTCTTTTTTTTTTTTTTGTTTTTTTTCTTTCTCCATCTGTAGTTTTTGGATGAAGACTTGAAGGTAGCTGGGAAATACAAAGGAAATGATTATAGCCAATACTCTCCCTGGTCATGTGACACCATCGGCTCCTACATTGGAACCAAAGATGCAAAACCCAAAGATGTTGTGGCAGCAGGGAGTGTGGAAATGATGGTATGTGTAATAGCTAAGCAATAATTAATACAAATTAAGATAAACCAAATAAATTTTTACCCATTACCATTTAGGCACAAATAATTCAGCTTTGCTTAAGAGTTTCAGACCATATTCTATACTCTGCAGTTGAGTTATCTTTAAACAGTATAGGTTTTTGATTCATTTAGGTGTAAATAAAAATATTTTAATACTTACCGAGACAGAGCATTTATTATATTTCTGTGCAAATAGCAATTTCTCAACAATTGTTTATAACCCAGATTAAATTATTTTACATAATTAATTAAGATCTTGGACTTCTTCACCAAATAAGTTAAAATTCTTTGTCACGGAGAATGGCATGAACCCGGGAGGCCAGAGCGTGCAGTGAGCCAAGATCGTGCCACTGCACTCCAGCCTGGGTGACAAAGCGAGACTCCGTCTCAAAAAAAAAAAATTTTTTTTTCACAGCTCTGAAGTTTAAATAACAAAGTTGAATCTAGTGAACAAAAGTAGTATTTGAGTCAGAATTATAGCTGCTCAGCTTCAAGTGAATGCTGAGATACTGAAATTTAATACTTGGGTTATTTTATTCTTTAGTGAAAAATCATGTAACACCAGTGTTTCTAATAACCAAGTTGAAAATATTATCAAAATCTTATCTCTTTTTTTGGGGGGGGGATGGAGTTTCACTCTTGTTGCCCAGGCTGGAGTTCAATGGCGCGATCTCGGCTCACCACAACCTCCACTTCCCAGGTTCAAGTGATACTCCTGCCTCAGCCTCCCGAGTAGCTGGGATTAGAGGCATGCGCCACCACGGCCAGCTAATTTTATATTTTTTAGTAGAGATGGGGTTTCTCCATGTTGGTCAGGCTGGTCTTGAACTCCCGACCTCAAGTGATCCACCCGCCTCGGCCTTCCAAAGTGCTGGGATTACAGGCGTGAGCCACCGTGCCTGGCTTCATCTTATCTCTTTTTATAGAGATAGGATCGATCTTTGTCACCCAGGGTGTAGTGCAGTAACATGATTATGGTTCACTGTAACCTCAAACTCCTGAACTCAGGTGATCCTCCTGAGTACCTAAGACTACAGGTGCTTGCTACCACACCCAGCTAATTTTTTTAAAAAAATGTTGTAGAGATGGGGTCTTGCTATGTTTCCAGACTGATCTTAAACTCCTGGCCTCAAGTGATCCTCCCGCCTCTCCCTCCCAAAATGCTGGGATTACAGGCATGAGCTACCCTACCTGGATAGTATCTTAATTCCCTTTTTATTTTTTAAAGAAATAAAATTTTCAAGAAGTAGTTATATCCCCCTGTATAAATCCCCCAAGTCTCATTTTTCTCCCTGTTTCATTCCCTCTAAGTAATCTCTATCCTGAGTTTAGTATTTATCATTTTCATGGATAATTTTATTTCCCCTAAGACAGGATCTCCCTCATGCTGGAGTACAGTGTCACAATCACAGCTCACTGCAGCCTCACACTCCTGGACTCAAGTGATCCTCCCACCTCACCCTCCCAAGTAGCTGGGACACAGATGTGTGATACTATGCTCAGCTCTTTTTTTTTTTTTTTTTTTTTGGTAGAGATGAGGTCTTGCTATGTTGCCTGGGTAGGACAGGCTGGTCCTGAACTCCTGGGCTCAAGCGATTCTCCTGCTTCTGAAAGTGCTGTAGTTACAGATGTGTGCCAGTATGCCTGGCCATGGATAATTTTATACTATTCCTAAACAATATTGTTTTATATGTTTATAGACCTTATGTAAATTGTACACTTCAGCTTGCATTTTCATGTTTTCACTTAGCATTGCTTTTAAGATGTGTACTTTTTTTTTGAGACGGAGTTCCACTCTGTACCCAGGCTGGAGTGCAGTGGCATGATCTCAGCTCACTACAACCTCTGCATTCTGGGTTCAAGTGATTCTCCTGCCTCAGCCTCCCGAGGAGCTGGGACTACAGGCACATACCACCATGCCCGGCTAATTTTTTTGTATTTTTAGTAGAGATGGAGTTTCACCATATTGGTCAGGCTCGTCTCGAACTCCTGACTTCAGGTGCTCTGCCCTCCTCGGCCTCCCAAAGTGCTGGGATTACAGGTGTGAGCCACCACGCCCAGTCTGTATTTATATCTGTAGCTCAGGATTATTGATTTTAGCTGCTTTTACGAGATATTCTGTGTAACTGATACCATACAATGATTATTTTTTGTATTGGTGGACATTTAGGCTATTTCTGATCTTTCACTGTTAGGTATGGTACTCCAACAAACATTCTTCAAACATTCTTATGTATGTCTTCACGTGTGTGAAAGTTACACTTAGAAATGGTATTGCTGGCTGGGTACTGTGGCTCATACCTATAATCCCAGCACTTTCAGAGGCCAAGGCAGGCGGATCACTTGAGGTCAGGAGTTTGAGACCAGCCTGGGCAACATGGCGAAACCTCATCTCTACTAAATACACAAAAATTAGCTGGGCATGGTAGCAGGAGCCTGTAATCCCAGGTACTTGGGAGGTTGAGGCAGGAGAATTGCTTGAACCTGGGAGGCAGAGGTTGCAGTGAACCGAGATTGCGCCACTGCACTCCAGCCTAGACAACAGAGTGAGACTCCATCTCAGAAAAAAAAAAAAAGAAATGGTATTGCTGAAAGGTATGCCTTCACTATTATTCTTAACCCATTTGTCCTTATTAACTCTAACAGAGGTTTCCTAGGTTATTATATAGATTTTCATAGATAAATACTTTTCCAGGTGGTTAAGAAAAGACCAATATTTGCAATAAAAAAAGATTTGGATGCTGATAACCACTGTAAATGAGTGAAGTGATATCTAATAGCATAAATACAATTATATGCCAGCCCCACCCCCCCCCCCAAAAAAATAGAGAGTTTTAGAGGAAGAAAAAGCAAAATAAAATTTTTTTTTTTGCAGTAGAATTACAGAAGCATTGTTTTTAGGCTGTAGTAAGGCTCTTATTGGAACGAAATGAGGGGAAATTAGGCAGGAATCTTTGCCTTGTACTTGGCTTTCAAAAGGAAAGGGTTATTATATTAAAGTAACACGAGTATTAGCAAAATAAAACTCATTTTCTTAAATCAGTAAAGAATTAAAAAGTTTGGGCCAGGCATGGTGACTCAAACCTGTAACCCCAGCACTTTGGGAGGCCAAGGTGGGAGGATTGTTTGAGCCCAGGAGTTCAAGACCAGCCTGGGCAACATAGCAAGACCCCATCTCTTCAAAAATTTTTTTAATTAGCCAGGTGTGGTGGTGCACGCCGGTCCCAGCTACTTGAGAAGCTGAGGCAGGAGGATCGCTTGAGCCCAGGAGGTTGAGGCTCACACATCACTGCAGTCCAACCTGGTGACAGCAGAACCCTGTCTCAAAAACAAACAAACAAAAAGTTGCAATCCAATCTAGAGGTAATTGAAAACCTCCCAAATAGGTGAAAGAAGTCTAACCTAGTATTTCTCAAATGTTAATGTGCATACAAACTATATATTTGTGTGTCTATATATATGTGTAACATTATATAGGGATAAATATATATTTGTATGCATATATATATACTAGGTCATTATATATATATATATATTTCTTCAAGATTGAATTGGCTTTTATTAGTGATTGATTAATCAGGAAGCATTTCATCTGTGAAATAGAAAGATGCTCTAATGAGCTAAACAGAGAAAAGGAACAAAACTCAGATTAGTTGTTTCAAAGTTATTTTCCTTATAGGACTAAAGCAGAAGGGACTTACCAGTTCAAATTGAGTGGTCCTCTTATGATTGATTGCTGTGAATCTCCTGTTTTTTGGAAAACTGGCCCATTTTCAAGTTCAGTTTGATTTTGTGGCATCTAGCATAAGTGATTACATTCTGCTTTGATCTGGTGTCTTGGGGCTTAGTGCGGGAGCTTAGTCCAAAACAGTGGCCTCCCATAAATTTTAAAAATATATTTCTTAGGCCAGGTGCAGTGGCTTATACCTGTAATCCCAGCACTTTGGGAGGCTGAGCTTGAGGCAAGCTAAGCCCAGGAGTTTGAGACCAGCCTGGTCAACATAGGGAGACCTCATCTCTATAAATAATCAAAAAAAATTAGCTGGGTGTGCTGGTACATGCCTGTAGTCCCAGCTACCTAGGAGGCTGAGGTGGGAGGATCACTGGAGCCCAGGAGGTTGAGGATGCAGTGAGCCATGAGAGTGCCCCTACGTTCCAGCCTGGGCCACGGTGTGAGACCCTGTCGCCCCTCACCTCAGAGGTTTAAAAACCAGTGTTACATAAAAACAACCAAAGGTAACTAATGATTTTAGTCTTACCAGTAAGAGTGCTGTACTCTTCTTTAACCTTATTACAGATCTAGAAAAAATTAGGTTACAGAGCGATCTGAGTGTGGGGTAATTTCTCATTTTGCTTTTTTATCAGAATGTGGAGAGTAAAGGAATGAGGGACCAGCGATTAGATCTTCAGAGAAGAGCAGCAGAAACCAGTGATGATGACCTCATCCCATTTGGAGACCGACCAACAGTGTCTCGGTTTGGTGCCATCTCACGAACTTCCAAAACTATATATCAGGGTGCTGGTCCAATGCAGGCTATGGCACCTCAGGGAGCTCCTACAAAATCTATTAACATTTCAGGTAAGAATCTCAGAGGTAAGCTGACCTAAAGGGTTCATAATCTTGACTTTCAGCATTACCCCTGCTCTCCATTTACTATCAGTGTTTTTAGTAATCTTGCAAGGCAGTAATTTTCAAACTTTCCATGGAATCATCCCTGTAAGAAAGGTAATATAACCCAGAGAATTTTAGGTATATAAACTGAAATTAAATGTCTATATGTGAAGCTTTCCTAATGTTTCTTCCCCACTCCACCCCCACCCCAAATAGCTTAATTGTTATTTGGGGGAATAACATTCTCATTATACAGTAATTTGGAAGAAAAACTACAAAGACTGAAAGTTCATTGGGGAAGAAACAAACATATATCAGCACCCAGCATCATGCTGCCTGATATTTAGAAAAACAAAGTTAAAGAATTTTAAAAATCTGGACATTTAGGGTAGATACCAGATACCTGTGTATGCAATACGCTGATGTCTTTCAGATTATGAATACCTTAAAAGAAGAATCAAATCTGTGAATTATACCATAATAAATCATTCTCTTACAGATTATAGTCCATATGGAACCCACGGTGGCTGGGGAGCTTCTCCATATTCACCTCATCAAAACATACCTTCTCAGGGACACTTCAGTGAGAGGTATGAGTCATTCTTTTTACTTGAACAAACATGTAGAAACCTTTAAAATTAGGCAACTTCTTTTTGTTTTTCTGGTCAGTAATATGTTAACAAAATGAAATGTTAAAATTTGATTCACACTTTCTTTCTAACCAAAGGGAGAGAATATCTATGTCAGAAGTGGCCAGTCATGGAAAACCCCTTCCATCTGCTGAGAGAGAACAGCTACGACTAGAATTGCAGCAATTGAACCATCAGATTAGCCAGCAGACCCAGCTACGTGGACTAGAGGTACCAGCCTAGAGAGCCATTTTATTCCAATTTTTGAAGGGTTCTCAGAGATTTTAAATAGGAACTTTTGAGGCACTGTGAACAAAAAACTTTAAGGTCTATTTCTTAGGAGTTAGTATAGGTTTCTATTCTTCAAAGAATTCAATACTGGATTTAGCTCTGGGACAACAGAAAACGTAAAATTTCTGCTACCTAAAAATAGAAAACAGATTACGTAAAATTTCCCAACAGGAGCTTATATTCCCTGATGGCACATTTAAGGTTTTTTTTGTTTGTTTGTTTGTTTGTTTGTTTTGGTTTTCTTTTTTTGAGACAGTATTGCTCTGTTGCCCAGGCTGGAGTGAGGTGGCGTGATCTCAACTCACTGCAACCTCCACCTCCTGGGTTCATGCAATTCTCCTGCCTCAGCCTCCTGAGTGGTTGGGGTTATAGATGTACACCACCATACTCAGCGAATTTTTTGTATTTTTAGTAGAGATAGGGTTTCACCCCTGTAATCCCAGCACTTTGGGAGGCCGAGGCAAGTGGATCACAAGATCAGGAGTTTGAGAACAGTCTGGCCAACATAGTGAAACCCCGTGTCTACTAAAAATACAAAAAATTAGCCGGGCATGGTGGTGTGCACCTGTAATCCCAGCTAATCAGGAGGCTGAGGCAGGAGAATCGTGTGAACCCAGGAAGCAGAGGTTGCAGTGAGCCAAGATTGCGCCATTGCACTCCAGCCCAGGCTACAGTGTGAGACTCCGTCTCAAAAAAAAAAACAGAACTTTGACTTAAAAAGTAAAACATAGTTCCGGTGTAATAAGAATAATAACACTTTTCATTTACGTAGTTCTGTACCATTTAAAAATCACTACCACTTATCTTATTTGACCCTTAGAATATCCCTGATATTTTAGGCAGGTGGTATTGTCCTCCTTTTTTGATTGAAGTATATGAGTTTCTCAGAAGTTGAAACACGAACCCAAGTCTTCATACTCCAGATTCAGTGTTCTTTCCATCATGCTGCCTGACACTTAGAAAAACAAAACTAAAGAATTTTTAAAATCTGGCTGGACGTGGTGGTTCATGCTTGTAATCCCAGCACTTTGGGAGGCCAGAGCAGATGGATTGCTTGAGCTCAGGAGTTTGAGACCAGCCTGGGCAACATGGCAAAATCCCTTCACTACAAAAAGTGCAAAAATTGGCCAGGCATGGTAGTGCACGCCTGTAGTCTCAGCTACTCAGGAGGCTGAAGGCAGGAGGATCACCTGAGCCCAGGGAGGTTGAGGCTGCAGTGAGCCCTGATGGTGCCACTGCACTCCAGCCTGAGTGACAGAGTGAGACTCTGTCTCAAAAAAAAAAAAAAAAGGAATTTTTAAAATCTTTTAAGTGCCACATAAGGAAGACTAGGTTTTGTTTATACATCATCCTTTACGTTGGAACATATTCTTTGAATATGGAAAACTGAAGACATTCTAATGATAAATATATTGTCCTTTCTGGAGGAAAAAATGGTACTGTTAGAACATTAGTCTGTCTTTCTACCATAATCTTTAATAATAAGTAAGCCATCACTTTAGGGGGGAAAAAAAGTTATAAGACAGACTTTCTTAGTAGACTTTCTTTTTAGGAAGACCAGTAGGAGATTGTTTTTGGAACATATAGCTGGCTTGTGCCCCTATGTACGCAATTAGATTTAGGAATTTTAAAAATCTATGTAATACTTAGATTTTGTCTGCTTTCGCCATTGCTTATTTACATTGATTCAGAACGTCTTGCCGATTCCTGTCATAGAAACAGAATGCCATGTTTGCTTATGGCAATCTTTCGTTCATTAACTTTTTAAAGATTCAGACCTTCAACCCAATAAGGCATTACTCCATATCTTCAAATGCATGGTTTTTTGTTTGTTTGTTTGTTTGTTTTATATACTTTAAGTTCTAGGGTACATGTGCACAACGTGCAGGTTTGTTACATGTGGTATACATGTGCCATGTTGGTGTGCTGCACCCATTAACTCGTCATTTACATTAGGTATATCTCCTAATGCTATCCCTCCGCTTTCCCCCCACCACATGCATGATTTTTTGTTTTAAAGTTTCCAGGAGCATTTTCTGTCCAAAAAGACTATCAGTATTATTTAGAAACTTGCCACATATTTAACTCAGTACAGTTAAAAGTCCTTGCCATTACTGAGGTTTCATTGAAATAAGTTATAGGATTTACTTCAGAGAAAATTACCATTAAAAACAGAGGGGGAAAGATGCACATCTGTAGTTGACTTGTTTTTCTTCCATTTCCTTTTTTTTTTTTTTTTTTGAGAGACAAAGTCTCACTCTGTTGCCCAGGCTGGAGTGCATGGAGTGCAGTGGCATGATCATAGCAGCTCGCTGTAATCTTAAACTCCTGGGCTCAAGTGATCCTCCCTAGTAGCTAGGACTACGGGCCCACACCACCATCCCAGGCTAATTTTTTGGTTTTTTTATTTTTTATTTTTTGTAGAGGCGAGGTCTTGATATATTGCCCAGGTGGATCTCAAATTCCTGGCCTCAAGTGATCCTCCCACCTCAGCTTCCCAAAGTGCTAGAATTAAAGGCACAAGCCACCATGCGTAGCCAACTTCTCTTTCAAATCAGAAAATACAAGGAGCAATTTATACATAAGATGAAATTACTGTTTACTAAATTTAAATGTCCCTATTTTGTTATTTTTTTGTTTGAATGGTACTCAAAGAGAACAGCACCTTACAGTTGCATTATTTTGTTGCAAATGGCTGGGTGATAAGCTACTCAAGGCTGTGGTCTGGAATTGAGCCTGGTTATTCTGTGCATGGTGTGAAGTGTGTTGAGTTTTCTGTGTGCTTGGCTTTATGCACTAGGCTGTTAGTAACAGGCTGGTGTTGCAGAGGGAGGCAAACACCCTGGCAGGCCAGTCACAGCCCCCACCACCGCCACCTCCAAAATGGCCTGGGATGATCTCAAGTGAGCAGTTGAGCTTGGAACTGCACCAGGTGGAAAGGGAAATCGGGAAGAGAACACGGGAACTGAGTATGGTGAGTGTTATGGTGGGGAAAGAGAGGGAAGGTGAAATGAAATCTTTCATGTGGCTCTAGAATTATCTAGAGGCACAGAATCATCACTTCAAGGCACTCTGATGAGTGGTTAATATTTAAAATAATTCTCATGCAGGTGGGCTACCTTCCGATTTTATCATTCCCTTCCTCATTCTCTTGGTTTGGGTGTGTTCTTTGTCTTATAATTCTTCGTTAACTTTTAGGGAAAACAAGGTTTTAATGCTTCTGTAATTTAAGAACTTAATGGAAGTCTTAAATTTCTGTTTAGCATACTGATTAGGGAAGCAAATAGGATGGTGTTTACTATTTTGCAATGACAACATGTTATATAAAGATGTATTCACCAAATAACATTCTAGTTTCATAGCCTTTATAATGATGACCTATTTTTGCTATGAGTGATATGCAATCTGCACATTGTTTCCTGTATCCATTATGTATGCTTAGGAAAAACTATATCCATTAATATGCTTAGGATTTGCTTCATAGTGCACAGACATTCATTTTAGTAAATTTTGAATCTTAGGGGCTTCCTCAGGTTGCATGATATGATTTTTTTTGTTGCTTAGTTTTCATAATCTTTCTTTTTTTTTTTGAGGCGGAGTCTCTGTCGCCCAGGCTGGAGTGCAGTGGTGCGATCTCGGCTCATTGCAAGCTCTGCCTCCCGGGTTCACGCCATTCTCCTACCTCAGCCTCCCAAGTAGCTGGGACTAGGCGCCTGCCACCTCGCCTGGCTAATTTTTTGTATTTTTAGTAGAGACGGGGTTTCACCGTGTTAGCCAGGATGGTCTCGATCTCCTGACCTCGTGATCCGCCCGCCTCAGCCTCCCAAAGTGCTGGGATTACAGGTGTGAGCCACCACGCCCAGCCAGTTTTCATAATCTTTCTAAGCAAATAAATTGAGCATGCAGGTTTTTTTTGCTTTCAGTAAGTATGTTAAAGATATTTATTGTACTTTGGTTTTCTTTTCTTTTTTTTTTTTTTTTTTTTTTGAGACTGAGTCTCTGTCACCCAGGGTGGAGGGCAGTGGCCCAACCTCAGCTCACTGCAACCTCCGCCTCCCATGTTCCAGTGATTCTCCTGCCTCAGTCTCCCGAGTAGCTGGGATTACAGGTGCCTGCCACCACACCAGGGTAGTTTTTGTTTTGTATTTTATTTTTTTTTTAGTTTTTTTTTTTTGAGGCGGAGTCTCGCACTATTGCCCAGGCTGGTGTGCAGTGGCACGATCTCAGCTCGCTGCAACCTCTGCCTCCTGGGTTCAAGTGATTCTTCTGCCTCAGCCTCCCAAGTAGCCAGGATTACAGGCACCTGCCACCACACCCAGCCAATTTTTTTTATATTTTTAGTAGAGACGGGGTTTCGCCTTGTTGGCCAGGCTGATCTCAAACTCCTGACCTCGGGTGATACGCCCACCTCAGCCTCCCAAAGTGCTGGGATTACTGGTGTGAGCCACCATGCCTAGCCTTTTTTTTTTTTTTTTCCTTTTTTTGAGAGGGAGTCTCACTCTGTCACCCAGGTGGGGAGTGCAGTGGTGCAATCTCAGCTCACTGCAACCTCCGTCTTCTGGGTTCAAGTGATTCTCCCCCTCAGCCTCTTGAGTAGCTGGGATTACAGGCGTGTGCCACCACGCCCAGCTGATTTTTGTATTTTTAGTAGAGACGGGGTTTCGCCATGTTGGCCAGGCTGGTCTCAAACTGACCTCAGCAGTCCACCTGCCTCAGCCCCCTAAACTGCTGGTATTACAGGCGTGAGCCGCCATGCCTGGCCGCCTTTCTAGGTCATTGTTTTTTTCTGAGAAATTTTTTTTCATGTTAGCTTGAGGCATTGTCTGTCTTATTGTCCAGCTTGGTTAGTGAGCAAGTGGATTGTATTCTGTTATGTTTTTATGTATGTCACTCTTTTAGTCTGCCAGTTTCTTTGGTTATTTTACAAAATTGAATATGATTTCTGGATCATCACTTTGTATTATCTGTAATTTGGTCTCTCCCATTAACACCATTAAATAGATGATAACTGATTTTATTTCCTTCTCTTTCAAAGGAAAACCAGTGTTCTCTGGACATGAAAAGCAAACTGAATACAAGTAAACAAGCAGAAAATGGACAACCAGAACCACAAAACAAGGTTCCGGCTGAGGACCTTACATTGACATTCAGGTAAAGAAAAGGAGATTGTCGTAGCCATATTAAATTACACACAAAAGAGAAACTAATATATTATCCAGTCATATCAGAAATACCCTCATAAATATAATTTGATTCTTAAAATATCATTATTCTGTGTACATAAAGAATATTTTTGCGGCCGGGCGCAGTGGCTCACGCCTGTAATCCAGCATTTTGGGAAGCCGAGGTGGGCAGATCACGAGGTCAAGAGATGGAGACCATCCTGGCCAGCATGGTGAAACCCCGTCTCTACTAAAAATACAAAGATTAGTTTGGTGTGGTGGCATGTGCCTGTAGTCCCAGCTACTCGGGAGGCTGAGGCAGGAGGATCACTTGAACCTGGGAGGAGGAGGTTGCAGTGAGCCAAGATCGTGCCACTGTACTCCAGCCTGGCAGCAGAGTGAGACACGGTCTCAAAAAAAAAAAAAGAATATTTTTGCATAAATCTGGAGTTACAAAACTTAGATCCAAGGTTGAATTATCTGTTAATACCTAACAAAGGAAAATTTCTGGTTATGTTTCCATCTTCCCCTTGTTTTTAAATTTATTTCGAATACAGCCTTATATCTTTACATTATAAAAATACTATATGCTCAATGTAAAAAAAAAGAAAAAACAAAAAATAAAGTCACTCCCCCATCTTAAATATATTATAAAAAATTAGCTTTAGGAAATGGAAAATTTTAGAAAAGGGCAAATTTTAAAATTGCCTGTAATTCCAATATTCAGAGATAACTCTTGTTAACATTTTGGTGTATTATATTATCTTTCCAGTTTTTTTTTTGAGACGGAGCTTCACTCTTGTTGCCCAGGCTGGAGTGCAATGGCACGATCTCGGCTCACGGCAACCTCCGCCTCCTGGGTTCAAGCGATTCTCCTGCCTTAGCCTCTCGAGTAGCTGGGATTATAGGCATGCACCACCATGCCTGGCTAATTTTGTATTTTTAGTAGAGACAGGGTTTCTCCATGTTGGTCAGGCTGGTCTGAAACTCCCGACCTCAGGTGATCCACCTGCCTCGGCCTCCCAAAGTGCTGGGATTACAGGTATGAGCCACCGCACCCGGCTCTTTCCAGTCTTTTTAAAGTGTGTGGGCATTTAGCCTCTTGCTAGTTTTACAAACCCAGCACTCCATCTCCCTGGTTTTTAATTCAGTCTATCCTATATCATCCAGTATTATTCTGTAGATACGGAAAGATACATATCAACTACCATGAACAACCCTACAATAAACAGTATTACAATTAATGCTTTGTTTGCATATCTTAAATTATTTTCTAAGGCTATTTTGAGGCTTTTGAATGCATAGTCCTAAGTTGCCCCCCTGATGATATATAACAAAAATTTCTAATGCTTTCAGACTTGGATTTTGACTGTTTTTTTAATTCATGCACTATCTTGGATTCTTTTTTATTTTTTTTTTGAGATGGAGTCTCACTCCGTCACCCAGGCTGGAGTGCAATGGCATGATCTCGGCTCACTGCAACTTCCGCCTCCTGGATTTAAGTGATTCTCCTGCCTCAGCCTCCCGAGTAGCTGGGACTACAGGCGCGTGCCACCACACCCGGCTAGTTTTTGCATTTTTAATAGAGACGGGGTTTCAGTGTCTTAGCCAGGCTGGTTTCAAACTCCTGACCTCATGATCCACCCGCCTCGGCCTCCCAAAGTGCTGGGATTACAGGCATGAGCCACCATGCCTGGCTTTTTTTTTTTTTTTTTTTTTTTTTTTGATAAAATCTCATTCTGTCACCCAGGCTGGAGTGTAGTGGTGCGATCTTGGCTCAGTGAAACCTCTGCCTCTCAGGTTCAAGTGATTCTTGTGCCTCTGCCTCCCTAGTAGGTTTTTACAGGCACACACCACCAGGCTAATTTTTGTATTTTTAGTAGAGACAGGGTTTCACCATGTTGGCCAGGCTGATCTCCAACTCCTGAGCTCAAGTGATCCACCTGCCTTGGCCTCCGAAAGTGCTGGGATTATAGGCATGAGCTCAAAATTATTTCTTGTAGTAGCAAACCTGCTAAATCAGGGATAAGTACTCTTCTTAAAGGCCAGGTAGTAAGTATTTTAAGATACGGGCCTTACAGTTTTTGTCGCAATTCTCAACTCTGCTCTGTGGTTTGAAAGCAGTGGATAATACGTTAAACAAATGACCAGGCTATATTCCAATAAAACTTTAGTTACAAAAATATGCACCTGAAAAAAAAAATACGCACCTGGCTAGCTTTAGTTTGCCAACTGTGTGCTAAAACATGGATAAGGGGCTGTAGATTAAAATGTGGAAGCCATTTATATATTTTCAATCATGCTAAATTATATCCCCTGTTGATTTTATTGTAGTAATCATTTTTCTCTCTCTCCTTTTTCAAAATTTTAAAATGTCAGCAGTGATGTACCAAATGGATCAGCCTTGACACAAGAGAATATCAGCCTCCTATCAAACAAGACCAGCTCTCTGAACCTGTCAGAGGACCCTGAGGGAGGAGGGGATAATAATGACTCCCAGAGATCAGGAGTTACTCCCAGTTCTGCTCCTTAAAATATGAGGAGTCCTACTTTTATCTTCTGCTCCTAATCAGTTTGTCGGGCATAGGGGTAGGAGAACGCATAACTTCTAAACTTTTTCTCTTAAGAGCGGTCAGAGAAATCCAGGAAATTCACCAGAGGCAATGTGCACAAACACCACTACTAAAAACAAACCCTGCACATAGTTCACATTAATGCATTTTTTTAATTTAAAGAAAAAGAAAATTAGCAGTATCTGCAAGCAATTCAGATTAAATTTGTTTTTGTTCTGTGAATGAACTTTATTTTAATAACTTTGGACGCCTTGGATCCAGGGCTTTAAAAAAAAAAGATATTATATATACACTCTGTTTGATTAATTGTATGATCTTAATGAAGTAGGTTTTCTTGTATTTTGGTATTACATACCCAGTGTATAATTTGTATAATTCCTCACCCCCAATCCTTATCAATTCTCACCACCCCATAAACTTAAAACAGACCAAAAATGTCAGCTTTCAGAGAATTCTGTGGTGCTTGAGAAACAGACAGTACTAGACTGAGTTATTAGAAAATGTGCAGCAAACCAACTTTTCCCAGAGCTGTTATTTGGAATTCTTTATCCCTTTCTAGATCACTAGCTTCATTGGATACGTATATTTTTCTTGACATTGAAGCTTTTTGTTTGTTTGGGAGGGTTTTATTTCTTGTTTTTATTTTCAACTTTTCAAATAGAATTACCAATTTTGAAGTCCTCATTTTCATATTAAGGATCATTTGCATTCTCTTAATATAATCAGAAAGCTGATTCAGTGTTTAATTAGATTTAAATGTTGATCAAGAATTAACTGTAACTTACTAGCACTGAAAATACATGTTTGGTGTTTCGCCTGCGTTCAGCTCATGGTTGGAAATTTGAAGCAGTGCTTTTCAAATTAAACTTTTGCTGACATCATAGGATGCTAAAAAACAAGGACAATCAACTATGTTTTAAAACTGCAACATTTGATTTGAACTTAAAATGAATAGAGCCACATTATTTTAATGGATGTTTTGTTTTACTTGTGAACTGATTGAGTCTTAAGGATAGTTTATGAATTGATCACTTGTTGCTCAGAATCATTAGTATAAGTAGGTAGGAAATAGTTTGAAGTCATTTTTCATAGACTTAACTGTCCAATGTTGCAAATGTTTCTTCATGAAAATATTGAAAAGAGTAAGGTTTTTTTTTTTTTTAATTCTGCTGCACATATTCTGATGCCATGTGTCTGTGCTTAATTAACTAAGACCCTATAAAACGTGTTTAGTGGGGACTGTTTGATATAGTTGCCCTCTCCATTCCTCTATTTGCCTGATTTTTTTCAGTTTCCCTTTCTGTATTTTACTACTAAATTAGAAAGCACTGGTTATGTAATAAGTTACTACATTGCTTTGGTTGAGTAAAAACAAGAGTTTATATTTTTCTTGTTTCTTATTTTCTTAACCCTTAACTCCTGCTGAGGTCATAACAACCTCAGTCTAAGCTCTGTGTCCATCATACTGTTAACTTAAACAAATGGGTGGTGGGGGTGGGAAGGGTAATACAGTCCTGCCATTGCCTACCAGTAGGAGAGTCCAAACAGAACACTCTTTTGAGTAGCAATTATTTAATTTGCCCAGTCAAGGCACCGTGTTTATATACTATTTCACATTGAATTTGATTATGCCCTACAGACCTGGCTGGTCAAGGATTTGATATACACATATTGGCTTGGGATTCGAGCTTTCTTTTTTATTTAAATAAAAATTTATATATATATTATATATATACATATATACATAGCTATATCTGTATATATATTGGGTATGTTTTAAGGATTTTTTCGCATGAGCGCAGCTGTTGCGATAAATTGACCGATTGGGAGGTGGTAGAAGCACTGAATGAAGGTGAGGCTTTTTTTTTTTCCAGTTTTCTTATACATTTGTCTTCTTTTTTTAAAAAAAAAAAAAAAAATATATATATATATATATATATATATATATATGTATGCTTTTTCTTTTTTTTTTGGCTTTTGTTTGCTTTTTGACTTTTACTTAAAACCCTTTTACATTTCCACTTTAAATGCCTATTGTTTATTGGGAGAAGGAAAGAAACTTTTGTATGTCTGACAGAGTCCCAAGATTTTTCATTTCTCTGCATAACAGTAAAAGGCAACATTATTGGCCTCCAACCTTCTTTTTTTTTTTTTTTTTTTTTTTTTGGAGAGGGAGTCTGCTTCTGTTGCCCAGGCTGGAGTGCAGTGGGTTGATCTCGGCTCGCTACAACCTCCACCTCCCGGGTTCAAGCGATTCTCCTGCCTCAGCCTCCTGAGTAGCTGGGACTACAGGCACGCGCCACCACGTCCAGCTAATTTTTGTACTACAACCTTCTTATAAGCAGATTTGGACTGATCTTCTCCTTTGGGTATGTCAGATCATCCTAAATTTTAGAAGCAGTTGATTCACTTTGGAATTCAGAATGATTCTTGTATTAGAAGATAATTTGTGGGTATTAATTTTTGTTTAAGTTTAAAATAAAAGTAAAGATTCATTTTGGATATCAGTTGAAACCCCTTAGTAACTCAGTTTCTGTTATTCTTGTTCTCATTTCCTTTAAATACACTTGTTCTTGGCTTTTGCCATTTTGATTCTGTGAAGTAGGCAGGAGCAGGGATTAATTTATACAGTATTCCTGTTCTGAACAAAACCAGAAAAGTCACTGTATAAACTTGACTTAAAATAGTATCTTTCTCTTTTCATGTATTTTCATTTGGGGGAAAAAAAATCTCTTTAATTGTAACCTGAATTCAAGCTGTACCCCTCCATGGTCCTACACTCTAGAGCTAATCTGGTTGGGCAGAAAGGCAGAAGGATGGTATATTGTCCCATTGTGCCTATAATGTATTTTAAATTGGTCATTCCACCTTACCTAATGGAAATTCTTGCAGCTTTCCTAGTGCTCATCAGCGGTTTTAGGAATTCACTAACACCCCCAAAATTTGTTTTTTGTTTTTTGCTTTTTTTCCTTTTCCTTTTCTCTGTGATATCATGAGCCTGTAAGGACAAATGGCATATTTGGGCATAACTGCTTGACTCTGTAACTACTTTTTTAAAATCAAAATTGAAAAGGTATTAATTGCTTCTGGCTTTTTAATTTTTTTTTTTAGAGACAAAGATGAAACCAGATAGGAAATACAGTTTTTATGTTTTCTACTTACTAAAATATTAGTTTCTTCTAAATATTACTTTATTTGTATTTCACTAAATTCCAAAGCAAAAATCAGATATCTGAGATGAACAATTTTGAATGGGTTAAGGTAGGAGTAATAAGCATTGTGTTCACTCATACATAGGTGAGGGAATTTTATTTATAGCGAGAAATATAAAAGTATTTTGACTTACTCTTTTTTCAAGGAGTCGCTAGGAAAGGGTAGAAGAACTGAGAATAAGACATCTAGATTCCATTTCTGGTTTATATGTAGCTCTTTTGCCTAATTTATATATAATTTTGTCATAAGATAAGTCCAGTAACTGTCCTGTCTTAGATAACGTACAGAGGCTGAAGTGACCAAAGATCCATTCCTTATTACTTTTCTAATTAAAAGAAGAGTTAGCTAGATTTCTAGTAGTAGTATTCTAGATATTGATAAGACATTATTCCTAATGCCAACTACAAATATTCAACTACTCAGAATGTATTTAAAAAATTGTTTGGTACAGCATTAATGTTGGTGATTCCTTTCTCCCATCTTATTTCCCTTCCCTTCTATTCTTTCCCATGTATTTCTTTTGCCTAAAAGAATATTGGTATGATTCTCATTTGCTACTTTGAGTATATAACTCCATCAGACTTTCCAGAGTTCTTCAGGGATGGAGCTCAAAGTTTACATTTTTCCATATATGTCTTTTTTTTTCTTGACCTTTTTCCACCCTGTAATTTCCCCTTGACTTACCCACTGCCCTCCCCAATCTGCAACAGTGACAGTTTGCTGCCTCAAAACAGAGCATTCAAATGAATTCGCTTAGCCAATAACTTCTGTGAAGTTGCCTTTTCTAATGGTGTTATTACTCAGTGATGCACAAATGTGGTATTTGCCCTACTGGTAGGCAAACAAAGGTCTGGTTAAGAATGGTAACCTGCTGTTTTCTTTAAAGGAGAGCCAAAGACTTGTGCTTTACTCTGTTTTGGTTTTGGGGGAAGTAGTAGCCATTTTGATCATGAAACCTTTTAGTATTTGTGAGTTGATTGTACTGTGTAAGTAGATTTATCTAAAGTTAACTGTTAAAGTTAGCTAGCCTTATAAAATGTAAAAGTAATGAAAATTCATCAGTTTCTCTAAGCCAGTGAATGTCGTCTTTTGTAATATTGTGTATAAGCATTTGTGCCCACCCCAGCTTCTGCTATCACTGTGGTCAAGTCATGGGTCTGAGTAAAAGAATTCTTGAGTATGTGACTGGTGAGAAATAACTAACTATAGTCAGTACATGTACAGATTGTTAAAATTCAAGACAAAATACTTTCACTAAAAAAAAGGATTCGTCTCAGTAAAGAAGTATTCAGTTGCTGTCACTTACATACAAATGGTGGTGGGTAGCAGTCTCACCATTTTTCTACTCTCTTTTTGCTCGTTTTAAATAATTGAGTAAAGGTTTTATTTGTAAAATCTATCTGTAAAAAGCACCTGTAACGATTTATATGTCATTGAAAGGAATGGCCCAGTTACTTTTTAGGAGAGATTAATAACCTACCTGGAAATTAACTGCAGTGTTTACTTAGATTTTTTCCCCCTAATAAGAGTCTAAGTGTGTTAAATTTTTAACTGATGATATGGTTACAGTGTTGCAAGGTGATCTCTTCCCCTGAAAAATCTGCCTATCCTTTTAAGAAAAATTAGACCTACTAAACTAAAGCAAATTTTACTTTCATCATTAGCACCTAAACAAGCAAGCAGTCTACTACTGTCATCATTTTACCTGAGTGCCCATTTTGCTGATCCACATTCATACCTTTCTACCTTGGACAGCTATGATTTTTATATTTATTTGTTGCTTCAGCTCAGGTTTATGAAATTTTCCTGCTGAAATGACTTATTGGGAGTTGTAGGTTGATTATAGTTACTATTAAACATTTTCTCAATTTAGCTTTTCTGAGCCACTTCAAGAAGAAAGCTGTTTTTGTCAAAAGGTACTATTAATTGTAGCAAGTAAATCTTAAGATTTGAATTTTTAAGATTTTATTTCTGTGTTCACTAAAGATCTTTCCACAAGTAATAGATTATAATTGATAAGTAATACTAGCTATAGTGTTAATAAAGAGTAAGACTATCACCACCAGGAATAAGTAACACCTTTTAATAATAAATCTATTCCTAATAGGTATGTTTTCAATACTGCACTGAACAAAGTGGGTAAAGAGCCCTTTGAAATCTTATTGTAATAAAGGGACTTACCTCACCACTGGAATCCTTGTTTTCAGAGCCTCTGGATTTTCAGCCAAACACTGAATTTCTCCTAAACTTTATCCCTGAAACATCCCTAGAGAACGAACTTTATTTTCACAAGAAAATAAGGCACAATAAGGGGGAAGAACTTAAACCTCAACATAATATCGTGTCCAAAAATGTGTATTTAGAAAAATAAAATCCTGTGGAGTTTGTTATCCTAATGTTTATTTTATACTAGATAAGGTGACTTGTTTTCTTGTATTGAGGTCTTACTGTTTCAGATTTGTTTTTGTTTCTGTTCTAACTCTAAGCAGACAGAGCTCACAAGTCTTTGGCATCCATTTTAGGTTGTACACTCAGAGTCATCTTATAACTGGAAACTGTCAGGTGGTCCCCCACCCCAGTGAGTGTATGAAAGAGTCAAGAAAAAGATTGGAAACAAACTATTGGGTGAATAATTGGTTGCTCTATTATTATTATTATTATTATTTGCCTTTTTTTAATCACCATTTATTTGTGTAATCTTTCTCCATTGATTGGCTGTCATTCTTATAATATCTGAACTACCCCATAAAATAATTCTCTGACTTAAAGGCATTTAGCTTTTGCTTATCGTTTTTACATCCTCTATTCAACTAAGACACTGTCTTGAGAGTTATTTTTTCCAGATGGATCGTTGGCCTAAATTTTCACACTTCTCCCCTGTTCATCCTTTTTCCTCTTCCCTGCTTCCTGGGAATAAAAGGAACTTTTTTAAAAAAATTAATTAGTCCACAGGTCTCATTATCTTTCTTTATGATTAATCTATGACTTTTTGGTACAAGAACAATGGAAAAAGTGAATTAAGGTAATGAACAAAACCTTTCACCCACTTAAACATTTTCCAGTTTTGAGATTCCTCTTCGTGTTTGTGGTGTCTTCCCCTTGTTACCCCTTCTGCCCTTTTTCTCTGACTATGGTAATTTGGTCTTTAGGCTCATATCAGTCTCCCCGAGACATTCTGCAGTCATTATCACCTTTTTGGGTGGATTTTATTTTGTTTTATTTTGTTTTTTTTAAAAAAATAACTTTTTAACATTGGTGCATATTTGCTTGGGATAGAGCTTGTGTAATTTACCAATCGTATTGATTGTAAGTGATTGTGCCCTGCAGAGGTATATTTAACAAGACAAAAATAATCTTGGTTAATAAAGGAGCCCATGAGATTTGAGTCAGGTTGTAAGTGAAATCACTTACACTTTTGGATAGAATTTATACTCCTGCTCTTATAAATCAGTGGTAGACTTACCATTTTTTAAAGTTTTCTTGCATTTTTTTGTTTTTTTATTGCCACAGCTCCCTATTCTTTCTTGCCTGCCTCCACCCCCCTGTTCAGGAAAAAAAAAAATTGAGCCTTAAAGTGACAGCTGATTTTTTAATTGCTGAATTTTGTGAAATTTTACTTTTTCCAAGTGTTTCCAACTTTAAAAAGAGAAGTGAAGACAAATAGGTTGGAATGGTGAAGACAAATGGATTGGAATTTCACAGGCTGTGAATAATTCCTTAGGATCTGGCAAACCGTGAAGTCTTATTTGAAGACCTTATCTCCTGAGAGTTCTTTTGGAGTAGGAAAAAGAACCCTATTTGAAATAGACCGTTTTTCTCTTGTTTTTAATCTGTTTAATATTTCTGATTTTTAAGCAGCTTTCAAAACAAGTGTGGTGGAAAAAAAGAAATAGTAGTAGGAAGATGTTTAGGGCAGCAGAACTCTGGGTCTAAATAAGTACATGTTCCCACTTGTTGCCGATTTTTGAGAGTACTAGGGCCATCTTTCTCAATTTTGTATTATTTGTGTGCATGTTTATATCAAAGATGCCCATTTTGTTAAAATGCTATTTCCTTTATTACCTTGGAAACTGACTCAGCCTCATGTTGCTCCTAATTAGTGTTTAAGGCTCCCATGAGTTGCAGATAAAATGATTTATTTTAACAAGTAGAAGGAGGTGATTCACCTTTTGGATTGTAAATATATGAAAATGTCTACAAGGTCTTTATCTGCTTTCTGTCAGCATTTATATTAAATGATAAATTAATGAGGAACGTGTGTATTTTGTAAATGAGTGTGTGCCATCTTATTCTAATCTTGAGATTACTTTCTTACACGTTTTTAATGGAGGGGGCTTTTTTAGGTGAAAAATAAAGAAATGGCTAATCTGCATGAGCAAACACATACTTGGAGTAGCCAATTTTGTGTGGACATCACAGGAATTAGTCCAATCTTAAATAAGCTACAGTCATATTCCTTCATTTGTCACACAGTGATTGCACATTAGGAGTGAGGGTAGTGGTTCTGAGATACTAGCATCAATTCAATGAGATTCAATGGCTAACATCCAGTGTCTCGGTTTTTATGGCGCTTCTGAAAATTAGGACCATCTTTATGCTTAAGTGAAAAGGACTTGTCATGGTAACTTCCTGATGCAAAATGTTTTTTTGTCTTTCCATTTTTTTTTTTTTTTTTTGAGATGGTGTCTTGCTCTGTTGTCCAGGCTGGAGTGCAGGGGCACAATCTCAGCTCACTGCAGCCTCTGCCTCCCCAGTTCAAGCAATTCTCTTGCCTCAGCCTCCCAAGTAGCTGAGAATATAGGCCTGCGCCACCATGCCCAGCTAATTTTTACATTTTTAGTAGAGATGGGGTTTCACCATGTTGGCCAGGCTGGTCTCAAACTCCTGATGTCAAGCGATCTGCCCGCCTCAGCCTCCCAAAGTGCTGGGATTACAGGCATGAGCCACTATGCCCAGCCTTGTCTTCCCATTCTTGCTGACTTCTGATTGTCCTGAAATCCCCACCCATTAGTCATTCCTCGAAGTTAGTGGATATAAGTAAGTTTGTCTAATAGAGACCATACGTTAGTCAACACCTCAATGGCATGAAGAAGAAAAGGGAGGAGGTTGGGTGTGGTGGCTCGTGTGTGTAGTCCCAGCTACTCAGGAGGCTGAGGCGGGAGGATTGCTAAAGTCCAGGAGATCAAAGCTACAATGAGCTATGATGCTTGATCGCACCACTACACCAGCCTGGGCAATGGAATGAGACTCTATTATTCTAGATTAAAAGAAATGTAAGAAGTACAAAAATCAAATGCAGCATAGGTGATTTTAGCAAACCAAATACACAAAAGACTTTTGTATACAGGAAAATTTGATTAAGTATTGGGCATTAGATGATACCAAGGAATGGCATTTTCGTTCATTGTGAAACATGATTATGTAAAAAATCCATTTTTTTAATAAAGATGGATAACACAATAGCTGCAATTTCCTTTAAAGTAGGAACTAAATATTTTTAAAAAGTAAATAATGCAGCCACGCACGGTGGCTCACACCTTGTAATCCCAGCACTTTGGGAGGCCGAGGCAGGCAGATCACCTGAGGCCAGGAGTTTGAGACCAGCCTGGCCAACATGATGAAACCCCATCTCTACTAAAAAAAAAAAAAAAAAAAAAAAAAAATTAGCCGGGCATGGTGGTGGCCACCTGTAATCCCAGCTGCTCGGGAGGCTGAGGCAGGAAAATCGCTTGAACTCGGGAGGTAGAAGTTGCGGTGAGCTAACACCACTGCACCCCAGCCTGGGCAACAAAGAGTGAAACTCCGTCTCCAAAAAAAAAAAAAATCAATAATGCACATTACCAGTGAAGGTTATTTACTTCTCCTACCAACAATTAGCGATTAGGTGTCCATTGGTATATCTGACCTCAAGGGAAGGGACCATAGTAAAGAAAGCTTAGGGTATGAGGAGTGGTAACTGCTGCAGCCATCCCTGAATGATTATAAATTCTGGACTGGGAATTACAAAACTAGCCCTGTCATCTTAATCACCTACCTAGGCCTACCCTGCTCACAAGCAATAGGGTACATTCTGACCTCTTGGGCTGAAACAAAAATACCAATAGAAATTTGGTTTTTATGCCCATTAGTGCTTCAATCCCAATAACCAGCTAATCTTCAGTGATCAATTAGTAAACCCCTTTGCCCTCCAGCAAGATGACTCATTCAGTAAATGGCTGCCACCCTTATTTGGAACACCTACCATATAAAAAGTGGACTTGTCAAATACCCACTGAATACCCATTGAGTATTTACTAAAGAAATGTATTGAGTACTTCCCATATGCACAGCCCGGTAGAGGACAAAGAGTTAGAAAATACTGCCTCCACCCGCAATGAACTTTAATTCTGGAACTTGACAAAACACTAAACAGAATTACCAAAGAATTTTTCAACCATACTTGTCCTCAGAAGAGCAAGGAGCAGTGAGATGGTATCCAAGGAAGACTTAACCTTGCCTGGCTGGTCAGGCTTTCCTGAGGAAGTTGCATTGAAGATAAAACTTGAAAAATCATGGGGGAGCGGGAGAAAGGTGTGTGGGAGACAAGAGGCTTGGTCAGAGAAAATAGAACGTGTGAATTCTCTAAGGGAAGAAAGAGCCTGAGGTGTGGAAACTGGAAGGAGTTCATTAAGACTAGAGGAAAAGGAGTGACACAGTGGCTTGAGATGCACAGCCGGATAGATCATGGAAGCCTGTGGACCGTGCTTAAGTGTTTGGATTTTATTCTGAAAGTAAACGGAATGCAAAGAAGGGTAGTAAGCAGTGGAATGAAGGGACCAGATTTGTGCTTCTTGGGAGCTGATCATAATCCCAAAAGACAACCCCAAATATTGAAATTCTGAAAGACAAAAGTTCCAAAGTTATAATTTTGGGGAAAAAAATGTAAATTCTTTAAAAGGCATTTACTTTTTTTTTTTTTTCCTCGAGACGGAGCTTGGCTCTTTCACCCAGGCTGGAGTGCAGTATTGTGATCTCGGCTCACTGCAACCTCCACCTCCCGGGTTCAAGCAGTTTTCCTGCCTCAGCCTCCCGGAGCACGTGCCATCACCCCCGGCTAATTTTTGTATTTTTAGTAGAGACGGGGTTTCACCATGTTGGCCAGGATGCTCTCAATCTCTTGACCTCGTGATCCGCCCGCCTCGGCCTCCCAACGTGCTGGGATTACAGGCGTGAGCCACCGCACCTGGCCCTATTTAAATTTTTAAAAGGAGATTTAGGGCCAGGCGCGGTGGCGCACGCCTAAAATCCCAGCACCTTGGGAGGCTGAGGCGGGCGGATCACCTGAGGTCAGGAGTTTGAGACCAGCCTGGCCAACTTGGCGAAACCCCATCTCTACTAAAAATACAAAATTAGCCGGGCATAGTGGCACATTCCTGTAGTCCTGGCTACTCAGGAGGCTGAGGCAGGAGAATCGCTTGACTCGGGAGGCAGAGGTTGCAGTGAGCCGAGATCTTGCCATTGCACTCCAGCCTGGGCGACAGAGCGAGACTCCATCTCAAAAAAAAAAATAATAAAAGATTTATTTGAGAAACAGGAAAACACGACAGCCTGGGCAACAATAAGACCTGTGTCTACTAAACCATAGTGTGGTGCATCCCTGTAGTCCCAGCCACTCAGGTGGCTGAGGCGAGAGGATCACTTGAGCCCAGGAAATAGAAACTGCAGTGAGCTATGATCACATCGTCACACCACTGCACACCAGCCTGGGCGACAGACTGAGACCCTGTCTCAAAAAGAAAAAAAAAAAAAAAGACAATACTTCATAGGCCAATTTACATAATAAAATAGGCAATGATACATTTGTATTTAACAAACACGGATATAATAACAGTCACATGGATGTAACAGTTAAGAGCAGACAAACCATATTTATAAGTAGGTCAAAAAGCAAAATGTATAAATGCATATTACTGTGGTTGGTTATTGTACCCAGCATTATAATCGCAGTCATATGAAATATAGTGGCAGACAACTCCAAGAGTTGATGAAATCAATCAAAAACTACAATGAGCTGAGTGCAGTTTTACACTGCTGAGTGCAGAATTACATCAGTAATTCCAGCACTTTGAGAAGCTGAGGCAGCTGGATCACTTGAGCCTAGGAGTTAGAGACCAGTGTGGCAACATAAGGAGACCTCGTCTCTACAAAAAATAGAAAAATTAGCTGGTCATGATGATTTGTGCCTATAGTCCCAGCTACTGGGGAGGCTGACACAGGAGGATTGCTTAAGCCCAGGAGGTTGAGGCTACAGTGAGCCATGATTTTGCCACTGCACTCCAGTCTGGATGACAGAGTGAGACCCTGCTTCAAACACACACACACACACAATGGGTCACCACTGCATATACAGTCGTCCCAAAACCTGAGATCTTGAGAAATTTTACCTTTCATAAATACAGACATACAAAAAAACCCCTTCATTTATTGAAGAAGTTTAAACATTTTTACATTGAGAACCAGGGAAGTGACAGCCTCAAGACCTGGCGAGTCTCTGGTTTAAGTCCTGGAGTCCAAAGGCCTGTGAGCTTGAAGTTCTTTTTTTTTTTTTTTTTTTTTTTTTTGAGACGGAATCTCGGTCTGTCACCAGGCTGGACTGCAGTGGTGCGATCTCGGCTCACTGCAACCTCGGACTCCTGGGGTCAAGCAATTCTCCTGCTTCAGCCTTCTGAGTAGCTGGGACGAGAGGCGCACACCACCACGCCCAGCTAATTTTTGTATTTTTTTTTTTTTTTAGCAGAGATGGGGTTTCAGCATGTTGGCCAGGATAGTCTAAATCTCTTGATACTGTGATCCGCCCCCCTCGGCCTCCCAAAGTGCTGGGATTACAGGTGTGAGCCACCGTGCCCCACTGAGCTTGAAGTTCTAATGTCCAAGGCAGCAGAAGAAAAGTCTGTCACGGCTCTCAGAGATTTCTCCACCTAGTCCACTCAGACTCACACACAAATGTCCTTGGGAAACACCCTCCCAGACACATCCAAAATAATGCTTTATCAGGTTTCTAGGTATCCCTTTATCCAGTCAAGGTGATACCTAAATTAAGTCCACAAGTCTACCTATTGTCAGCCTGGCACCAGTGATGCATCTCCTTAACCCATACTTAATTTCCTGCAGCCTCAACCTCCCAGGCTCAAGTAATCCTCCTACCTCAGCCTCCTGAAGTAGCTGGGACTACAGGCATGCGCCACCCGCCTGGCTACTTTTTTGTTCACAGTGACGGTGTTTGGCCATGTTGGCCAGGCTGGTCTCGAACTCCTGAGCTCAAGTGATCCGACTGCCTCGGCCACCCAAAGCGCTGGGATTACAGGCGTGAGCCACCGCACCCAGCCTCCCTTTGCTGTTTCTCTTTCACCACCTACAACTTCCCAAACTAATATAAAAGCAACAAGCTTTGACCCCACACAACTCTCTCTTGCTCAGCCTCCAAAGAATAGCCTTGTCCAATGTTTCTGTTCATACAAGGTGTCAATTCTTCTGGATGAGTAAGCATTTTTCACCTTACTTGATAATCTAAACTTTCTATTTGGGAGGAATTTAAAGTGCTATATTTCCTGTTATTAAGTTAGCAGAACTACTCTGGACCTGGATTTTTTCAAACATGAATGTTTATCAAGTACTTGGTACATTCAACAGGACATGTTCAATAAATATTTGCTGTTTTGATTTGGTTTCCCTGAAGCCAAAACTGAACTTTCTAACAGGAGGATTTGGGCAAATTCCAGTGAGATGCCTTGAGAGCCTCAGCTAAATGCTGCTAAATGATAATGTAGGATTTATTTTGGTAAGTTTAATTTCACCTTAATTAAAATGTCATGTTCACCTAGTAAACTGGGAACCCAAGGGAGTTGGAGACTGCTTTTTGTGCTAAATGTTTTGCCAAATTTCCATGGAAGGGTTAAGCTTTGAGTTATTCAGTAACCACAGCAGAAGCTGGGTCCTATCTCTTCCCTGCCAAGGTCTTATTCTTGAGTCCAAAGGAAAGAACAGAACAGCCCAGGGTATGAGGCAATGGACATGGACCTGCTGAATTACCTGCTCATGGAAGTTACTACTGAACTGGAAGCAGGGCTAGGGAAAGAGGAATTTTATCACTGATCTTGAAGGAAGTACTAAAAAAAGAGAGGGTAATCAACTGCTATGTTCTCTCCTCTTCATGGTTCCTTGAACCTACTCCTAACACAGCAAAGCACAAGCCTTCCAATCTTTTCACTCAGAATTGAGAAAAACAGTGCCACACAGAAGTAGGGAGTCCTTTTCAAAAACTGATTTTTTTGTGATAAAAGTTCTTAAGATGTCTATCTCTTTCTAATATTTCCAGTTCTAGAAATATTAGAAATTTCCATGAAAACGTTAATTTAAAGAAAAATTATTTTTCTTTCTTTTTTAGAGACAGGGCCTTGCTCTATTGCCAAGGCTGGCGTGCAGTAGTGTGATCATAGCTCACTGCAGACTCAAAATCCTGGACTTAAGAAGTAGCTATGGCTGGCCAGGCATGGTGGCTCACGCCTGTAATCCCAGCACTTTGGGAGGCCAAGGCGGGCGGATCACAAGGTCAGGAGATCGAGGCCATCCTGGCGAACACGGTGAAACCCCGTCTCTACTGAAAAAACAAAAAATTAGCCGGGCGAGGTGGCGGGCGCCTGTAGTCCCAGCTACTCGGGAGGCTGAGGCAGGAGAATGGCGTGAACCTGGGGGGGCGGAGCCTGCAGTGAGCCGAGATGGCCCCACTGCACTCCAGCCTGAGCAACAGCGAGACTGCATCTCAAAAAAAAAAAAAAAAAAAAAAAAAAAGAAGTGGCTATGGCTACAGGTGCACGCCACCACACCCGGCTAATTTTTTCATGGTTTGTAAAGATGGGATCTCGCTATGCTGCCCAGGCTATTCTTAACTCCTGGCCTCAAGCCATCTTCTAGCCTCAGCCTCCCAAATCATTACAAGCATGAGCCACCATGCCCAACCTAAAATATCTTTATTATATTTAAATATACACAAAAAATACTTTTCAGAATACCTATGTGTGTGTAAACACACACACAGTCACAAATTAGTTTGCCCAGCATACAAGCTCTTTTTTTCTTTCCCAGTCTAAACAGTCTAAGATGAACCAAGAGGAAATGGATCTGGGATCATCCAAACCTTGATAGTATAATAAAAGCCAAGGGGAGCTGTGTGCAGTGAGTACCAGAGACTAGGCTGGTGGTAAAGTCTCCCAGAGACCAATGAGAACTCTTGGGAGACCTGCAGGAGAAGCATAGTGGAGAGGGCGAGGCAGCCCGGGATCCAGCAGATGATCACTGCACCCACTATCCCTTGACTGTTTCCTGACTGTGTCTTCCTCCAAACCACTGATGGCAATGTTGGATAGGACAGAATGAGGCACATGGCTTCTCGGTCCGGAAACATGATTATAGATCCGTTTCTTTCATTCCAGGGCATGGGATCTCAGTTTCCCAAATGTGCTGGGTCCAAGAGGTGAGAGGCAGGGAATACCTGGGCTGATAACTTCCAGGGCTTAGGATCAGTCTCATCTTCATCATGTGGCTTATAGACCGACCTGTGGAAAAAGAAAGAGCTAGTGTGCTGAATGCCCAGGCTGAGTTGTGAGTATGCTCATTTGGGATGTGCATCAAATAAAATATGGATAGACAGGCCGACTGTGGTGGCTCATGCTTTTAATCCCAGCACTTTAGGAGGCTAAGGCAGGAAGATCGCTTGAGACCAGGAGTTCGAGAGCAGCCTGGGCAACATAGTGATTTCGATTCTACAAAAAACAAATTAGCCATGTGTGGTGGAGCATACTGTAGTCCCAGCTGTGGAGGCTGTATATATATTATATCTATATTATATATAGATATTATATATAGAGAGAGAGGGGTGGGGGAGAGAGAGAGATAGAGGCAAAGGAAAATGTGGTAGTCCCTGGGTTCATTTCTGGGCACTGGATTTGGAGGGAATTGTGAACAAGTTTGACAGAGACTATCCAGAGGAGAACCAGATGAAAAGCAGTTGGACACTGTGGGTTGTAACATGGGAAGTCCTGGGCATTTCTTTCATATCTATCGTGCTGGGACACAAGGGCTTTGAGAGAAGCAGAGGGAGGTTTGAATCTCAGCTCTGCTAGCTTTGCAATTTGGGGCAAATAACTCTTGTAAATAGTAGTGTTCTCATCTGTAAACTGGGCATAATTAGTATCTTTCTGGTAGAGCTGATGAGAGAATTATATAAGCTAATGCCTGGGAAGCATTTAGTATAGACCCTGATATATAGTGTTTTTAAATAGCACCTATTAAGATGGCACCTATATGATCATAAATCATATTCAAACTTTTAAAGAGTCTGACCTAGGCTAATGTCTAACACTAAAGTAATGGTTAAGTTCTAGACTACTGAATATTATACAGCCATTAGAAACTACTTTCACAGGCAGGGCACACCTAAACACCTCTTTCCACCTGCAGACCCGTTCTCCTTTTCTCCCCTGTCACCAGCCAGGCACTCAGCCTGCCTCAGGTTCCTCTTTGGTGCTGCCACTGCCCTCATCCTGCCCTGCTCCTCTTCTCTCCCCAAGCCTCTGTGTGAATACAACACTGACACCCTTGTGTCATAAAGTCAAGACATATTGAATAGGTGATACATTGACATGTTCAACATTAGAAAACTAAATAAGATGGTACATATTGATAAGTCTACTCCTACCCTTGTCTCTAGCCACCCCTCACCCCATCATCCTCACTTTGTGTTACAAAAAGCACAGCATACTATAAACACTTTCTGCAGCTTGCTTTTTCCCCACATAATTATCCTAAGGACCCTTCCATATCAGTACATCCATATAGAGCATCCTCATTCTTTTACACAATGGCACAGTTTTCCATTGTGGGGATGTGCCTTGGTTTATTTAACCAGTCTCCTACAGATGGAAGTGGTGTCCAACTTTTTGTTATTATGAATCAGGTCATGGCAGCTAACCTTGCTGAAACCCATGCAGGTGTAGCTGTAGGATGAATTTCCTGAAGTGGAATGTCTGATTCACAGGGTACATGCATTTGTAATTTTGGTGTTTCCATGTTTCCCTACAAAGCACCTACAAAGACTTATGGCACTTTGTACCCCGAAGAGCAAAGGATGAAACAGCTTGTTTCCTCACAGCCTAGTGTCTTGTCTAACTTAATCTCTTTTAATTCTAATGGTTTTTGTGATAATCCTTTTTAGAGAAACATGGAAATAACAGGGAGGGAGGAGTGCTTTAAAAGTCTTGCAGGGGCTGGATGTGGTGGCTAACACCAGTAATCCCAACAATTTGGGAAGCCAAGGCAGGCAGATCACTTGAGCTCAGGAGTTAGAGGCCAGCCTGGGCAACATGGCGAAAACCCATCTGTACAAAAAGTTTTTAAAAATACATAAATAAAGCCAGGTGCGGTGGCTCATGCCTATAATCCCAGCACTTTGGGAGGCCAAGGCAGGCGGATCATCCGAAGTCAGGAGTTCAAAACCAGCCTGGCCAACATGGTGAAATTCCGTTTCTACTAAAAATACAAAAATTAGCAGGGCATGGCGGTGCATGCCTGTAATCCCAGCTACTTGGGAGGCTGAGGCAGAAGAATCGCTTGAGCCCAGGAGGTGGAGGTTGCAGTGAGCCAAGACTGCGCCATTGCACTCTAGCCTGGGTAACAAGAGTGAAATTCCCTCTCAAAATAAATAAATAAATAGCCAGACACAGTAGCACACACCTGTAGTCCCAGCTACTTGGGAGACTAAGATGGGAGGATTGCTTGAGCCCAAGTTGTCTAGGGCTGCGGTGAGCTAAGATGGTGTCACTGTACTCCAGCCTGGGCAATAGTGAGACCATGTCTCAGAAAAAAAGATTAATTAAAAAAATTTTTGTAAGTCTTGCAAAAGGATCATTGAGGGAAGCTTAAATTAGCAGGTGAAAATTTGATGGAAAACAATATATTTGCATACTCTCAAGTATGTGAAGTATCCCCACAAGACATTTAACAAAAGGGGAAACATTGTAATTTTACAGCAGAGAAACTTGGCAGACACAATCTTGTAATCCAAGTTAATCACCAGTGATGGGATAAATTAACATCTGTACCTCCTGATGCGATACACTGAGAAGGACACAGTATTACCTCTGTTGTATTCCTGCCCCGAAAAGGATAACTTGAATCTAATCCTGAAGAAATTTTAGACATACCAAATTGAGAGACAGTCTTCAAAATTAACTGGCCTATATGCTTCAAACAAGCCAAAATCATGAAAGAAAAAGAGAGGAACTGTTCCCATCCAAGTACTAACCGGGGCCGACCCTGCTTAGCTTCTAAGATCAAGCACTTTCAGGGTAGTATGACCATAGACGAGAGGAACTGTTCCAAGCTGCAGAAGACTAAAGAGACATGACAACTAAATGCAATGTGTGCTCCTGCCCCAGGGAAAGGAGAAAAAAAATTCTTTTCTTTTTTTTTTATTGGCTATAAATCAGTGCTTCCCAAAGCATGGTCCAGGGACCCTAGGAGATTCAGAAAACCTTTCAGTAGGTATATGAAGTCGAAACGATTTCACTTTATTTATTTATGTTTTGAGACAGGATCTTACTCCATCACCCAAGCTGGAGTGCGGTGGTGCCATCATGGCTCACTGCAGCCTCAACCTTCCAGGCTCAAGTGATTCTCCCACCTCAGCCTCCTGGGTAGCTGAGATTACCAGCGCATACCTCCATGCCCAGCTAAGTTTTTGCATTTTTTTATAGAGATGGAGTTTCGCATGTTGCCCAGGCTGGTCTTGAACTCCTGGGCTCAAGCAATCCTCCTGCCTCGGCCTCCCAAAATGCTGGGATTACTAGTGTGAGCCACTCAGCCTGGCCAAAACTATTTTAATATGTAACTATTTTAATAATAATATTTAGATGTTCTTTGGCAAGACTATAAAAGGATTCTGAAACAAAGAAGGTGAAAACCATTGCTTTGAAAACCAGGTGTGGTGACTCCTGCCTGTAATTCCAGCTAGTGGGGAGGCTGAGGCAGGAGGATTGCTTGAGGCCAGGAGTTTGAGACCAGTGTGGGCAGCAGAGCAAGACCCCCATCTCTAATGGCAACAGAGTGACAACCAGTCTCTAAAAACATTAATTGGATGATTGGCAAAATTAGAATAAGGTTTAGAGATTTTTAAATAGTACTATATTTGAAAATAATGCTGGGCGCTGTGGTTCATGCCTGTAATCCTAGCACTTTGGGAGGCCAAGGCAGACGGATCACTTGAGGTCAGGAGTTTGAGACCAGCCTGGCCAACATGGTGAAAACCCGTCTCTACTAAAAATACAAAAAAAATTGCCAAGCATGGTGGAAGGGGCCTGTAATCCCAGCTACTTGGGAGGTTGAGTCACGAGAATCTCTAGAACCTGGGAGGCAGAGGTTGGAGGTGGGCTGAGATCAGGCCACTGCACTCCAGCCTGGGCGACAGAGTGAGACTCCGTCTCAAACAAAAAAAAGAAGAAGAAGAAGAAAAGAATATGCACCAGGCAGAGTGGCTTACACCTGTATGGAGTCTCGCTCTGTCATCCAGGCTAGAGTGCAGTGGCGTAATCTCGACTCACTGCAGCCTCCACCTCCCGGGTTCAAGTGATTCTCCTGCCTCAGCCTCCTGAGTAGCTGAGATTACAGGTGCATACCACCATGCCCAGCTAATTTTTTTTTTATTTTTTAGTAGAGACAGGGTTTCACTGTCTTGGCCAGGCTGGTCTCAAACCCCTGACCTCAAGTGATCTGCCCACCTCAGCCTCCCAAACTGCTGGGATTACAGGCGTGAGCCACCACGCCTGGCAGAACACTTTTAAAATATATATATAATTTAATTTTTAACATTTGAGACAGGGGCTCACTCTGTCACCAAGGCTGGAGTGCAGTGGTGTGATCACAGCTCACTGCAGTCTGAATTCCTGGGCTCAAGTGATCCTCCCACCTCAGCCTCCTGAGTAGCTGGGACTACAGGCTCATGCCACCATGCCCAGCTTATTATTATTATTTTCTGGAGATGGGGGTCTCACCGTGTGTGGGGTCTCACAGTTGGTCTTGAACTCCTGGCCTCAAGCCTTGGCCTTCCAAAGTGCTAGGATTACAGATGTGAGCCACTGCATCCAGCCTGGATGAACAAATTAAACACAAACCCTGATGTTATAGTTCTTAATTCCTTGACCTGGTAGTATCTGCATCCTAATCTTTTCCAGCGATGTTCACCAAATCACCTATATTTTTGCAGGGCCCCTCATCTGCCCTCCCCCAAGGACCTTCTTGGCAAGACACAAACCTCATAACTCCTATAAGCTGGAACAATAGGTCTCAACAGCATGTTCCTGAAACCTCAAGGTCTTTGTATTTCTGATTTCTCTTTGGACAGCTCTTCCTAAAGATATTCATATGGCCCCCTCCATCATTTCATTCTGGTTTCCTAACAATGATTCCTAAGGGAGGCCTTTCCTACCAAGTGTTCTCAGATGGTGCCCTCCCCACTTCCTCCCACTGCTTCCTATATCCTTGCCCTGCTATAGTTTTCTCTATGGACCTTATTAACATCTGACTGGCACGTTACATATTTATTTTTTAAATACTGATTTTTTTTTTTTGAGATGGAGTCTTGCTCTGTCACCCAGGCTGGAGTGCAATAGCACGATCTCGGCTCACTGCAACCTCTGCCTCCTGGGGTCAAGTGATTCTCCTGCCTCAGCCTCCTGAGTAGCTGGAATTACAGGTGCCCACCACCATGCCCAGCTATTTTTTGTATTTTTAGTAGAGATGGGGTTTCACCAGGTTGGCTAGGCCGGTCTCGAACTCCTGACCTCAGGTGATCCACCTGCCTCAGCCTACCAAAGTGCTGGGATTACAGGTGTGAGCCACCACGCTTGGCCTAAAATACTGATTCTTTATGTGATTGCTGTATGTCTCCCCCGAATGGAATCCCAGCCCCAAGAACAGTGTCTGCTGGCACAAGCAGCACTCGTGTATTTGTTGAACTCAAGTGGTTGAACAGGAGACTTTTCAATAGTCTTTAATCTAGGGTGACAGATGAGCCTCTGGGCATTCTGGGGCCCTTTGGGACAGTTCTCGGCTACTGTTCACACTGCACATGGAGGGCTTCAAAGGATCCAGGGTCTGAATCAGCCAAGAACTTAGACACAGCTTCAGTTCAGGAGAGATGTCCTCTCTCATGAACGAAGAGCTCTCGAAAATGCCTATGACTGCAACAACAACTACAAGGAGTCCTTGATCACACAGCAGGAGGCACATGCGCCCTGTGAACTTGGTGGCTGCAGTCCTTGTGATGGTGCTTTTGGCTATTTCAGAAGAGGGAAATGTAAACAAACCTGCCCTTTATCTCCACTAGTTTGAATTTACCCAATCTCCCCAATAACTAATAAAAATAACGATACACATAAATATAATTTAGTTTGTTTTTATTTCAGCAGTTGTACGTGGGTTTTTCACCTGCCCCGCATTCTGTCTCCTGATCCCCCAGTAGAGTTTTGCTAAGTATTTCCCAGCTGCTCACACCCCTTAGAAACGCGCTTGGCATGCACCCCGAGGCCCTGCTCTTCTCTCCCTGTCCCACCACTTCAGGGCTGCTGGGGAATGGGTCTCTCTGTGGGCCACAGGTGTAACCATTGTGTTTTCCTTGTCTGTGCCAGGGACACCTTGGCACTCAGATGCCTGAAGGTAGCAGCTTGTCCCTCTTTGCCTTCTCTAATTAGATATTTCTCTCTCTCTCTCCCTCTCTCCATAAAGAAAACTATGAGAGAGGGTGGGTATGAACCAAGTTTGTTTCCTTGGTTAGTTTCCTAACCAAGTTTGAGGGTATGAACATACTCTCCTTTTCCTTTTCTATAAAGCTGAGGAGAAGAGTGAGGGAGTGTGGGCAAGAGAGGTGGCTCAGGCTTTCCCTGGGCCTGATTGAACTTTAAAACTTCTCTACTAATTAAACAACACTGGGCTCTACACTTTGCTTAACCCTGGGAACTGGTCATCAGCCTTTGACCTCAGTTCCCCCTCCTGACCAGCTCTCTGCCCCACCCTGTCCTCTGGAACCTCTGCGAGATTTAGAGGAAAGAACCAGTTTTCAGGCGGATTGCCTCAGATCACACTATCTCCACTTGCCCAGCCCTGTGGAAGATTAGCGGCCATGTATTCCAATGTGATAGGAACTGTAACCTCTGGAAAAAGGTAAGAGGGGTGAGCTTTCCCCTTGCCTGCCCCTACTGGGTTTTGTGACCTCCAAAGGACTCACAGGAATGACCTCCAACACCTTTGAGAAGACCAGGCCCTCTCCCTGGTAGTTACAGTCAAAGACCTGTTTGGAAGACGTCATTTCAAGTGCTCTCCCTCCCACCCCACCTCTTGGGGTAAGGCCTTTCCTAAGCTACCCCTTGGGTCCCTAGCCTAAGAAACAAGGGGGATGTCATCCCTGGTGTAAAGATGCTGTGCAGGAAGTCAGCACTCACGGGATCCAGGGGACGCTCCAAGGGGAATCCCCAGGGCCTGCCATCCATCCGGGAAGAGAGCAAATGCTACCCATGAGGACCTCCTCACTCCCTTTTTGCTCTTTCTTCCACTCAGATCCACCCCACTCCACCCCCACCCAAATCCCAGTGACCTTTGACTAAAGGGCCAAAACTGCTTCCTTTTCTCACAATGAGAGTTGTCCCTCCCTCAATGCCACACACACTCCCTTCTTCATCTGAGTTGTCACAGGAGGCTAGAAACGGGGTGGTGGCACAACTGTCTTGGTTTTAATTTGTGCTTCATAGCCCTCCCAGGGTCCTCTCAGCCTCAAATTGCATTTCCAAATGTAGTTGAAGGACAGAGTGGGCAACCGAAGGCAGTGGAGATGGGAAGATGAATGGCAGGGTCCTCTCCTCTCTCTCTCTGCTTCTTCAGCCTGCCTTCCACATCTCCCTTGGTGCCGCTGCTTCTCTCCGGCTTTGCACCTCTGTTCTTGAAAGGGCTGCAGAACTGGACTCAGACCACGCAAGAAGGCAAGTCCCCCTCAGCTGCCCCAGCTTCCAGCCAGCCCCAGGCTTGCCCAACGGACCACGTCCGTGAATCTGCACTGGGTGCCTGTCTTTCTCTCCCAGGAGAAGATGGGAAGATCCAGTACCCACACACAGACCCCCTTGTGTACACGCAGGAACCATAAACCAGCTGGAGGCAGCCCCTGCCCCACCCTGTCTTATCTACAAAAAATATTACAAGAGACTTTATCTCTTGATTTGCTTCATCGAGTGTCCCAACTACCTCATTTTTTTAAAATGTGAAATTAGCTTCATTTACCTTCATTGAATCCATGTTGGCGACTATTAAAAATTCCAGGCAATAAAAAGGGATGAGAGCCTGAACTAAAGCAGTGGCAATAACTGGTGAAAGAGTAAAAAAACAGAACTGATTGACTCTGGGGTGAACTGATTGACTCTGGGGTTTGACTAAATGAGGAGGAGAGAGGGAGGAATCCAGGGTGATTCTCAGGTTTCTGTACGGGATTCACTGAGCCCACTCACAGGAGCAGGCCTGTGGGGGAGAATTAATTACCAGTTCAGTTTGGTCCTGTTTCCCTGAAGAACTTGTAGGAGTTCCTGGTGGAACTGTCCAGCAAATAGTCAGTCTGGAGCTCAGTGGAAGGGTTAGGGCTGGAGCTAGAGATGTAGGAATCTTCAGCACACAGATATTGCCATTGTTTTTGTTTGTTTGTTTGTTTGTTGTTGCTGTTTTGAGACACAGTCTCACTTTGTCACCCAGGTTGGAGTGCAGTGGCACAATCTCAGCTCACTGCAACCTTCGCCTCCTGGGTTCAAGTGATTCTTCTGCCTCAGCCTCCCTAGTAGCTTGGGACTACAGGTGTGCGCCACCACACCCAGCTAATTTTTGTATTTTTAGTAGAGACAGGGTTTCACCATGTTGTCCAGGCTGATCTCGAACACCCAACCTCAAGTGATCTGCATGCCTCAGCCTCCCAAAGTGCTGGGATTACAGGCGTGAGCCACCGCACCCGGCCAGATATTGCCTTTGCTCCATCCATTTCTTCTTACTTCTCTTGTGTTGCTGAAATCTCTCTGCTGCATCTATCAGAGTCCTTCCCCAAACAGTTTCTGTAGATGGCTCCCCCTACCACCCTGACTCTTCACTGGGCACTAAAGCCGATTTTTTAGGCATGCACATTCCATGTCACAAACAGGAAGCTTCTCATTCTTTTTTCTCCCAGCGTGGGGAATTGAGCACATAATACTCCAAATAACCATCAGATGATTCTAATTCCAACATGACCACGTCCAGGCAACTGAACTGTCCCCTGGCAAGAAGTCTAGGACTGAACCTGTCCCGGGCCCCTGTACTTGGTTCAAAGGATTTAGCCTTTCTCTTGGCCACACCAGGTGGGCTGGAATCCTCTGCTTTACTGGGGCAACCCTGTGGTGGGCAGTGGGGCTAGGGGTTGCAGCCTAGCTTAACTTGGCATTTTGTCTCCTTGCAGGAAGGTTTATCTTTTGTCCTTGCTGCTCATTGGCTTCTGGGACTGCGTGACCTGTCACGGGAGCCCTGTGGACATCTGCACAGCCAAGCCGCGGGACATTCCCATGAATCCCATGTGCATTTACCGCTCCCCGGAGAAGAAGGCAACTGAGGATGAGGGCTCAGAACAGAAGATCCCGGAGGCCACCAACCGGCGTGTCTGGGAACTGTCCAAGGCCAATTCCCGCTTTGCTACCACTTTCTATCAGCACCTGGCAGATTCCAAGAATGACAATGATAACATTTTCCTGTCACCCCTGAGTATCTCCACGGCTTTTGCTATGACCAAGCTGGGTGCCTGTAATGACACCCTCCAGCAACTGATGGAGGTACGACCAAAGGTCTTCTGCCCAGCCACCTTGTTAGGAGCACCTTTGGGGCTTCCATAGGCCCAAGTCCAATGATTCCTCAACCAACACTGCAGGCCACTAGGGGCGCTCATTATGCATTACGATTCCCTTTGAACATCACTGTGTTATAATTCCCTTTGAAAATCATTTTTTAAAAAATTAGCCAAGGAATCTTGGCTATCTACTTTTTAAATCCTGGTTTCCTCTTTTGAGCACCTTAAAATGGGGGAAGGCTTGTATCTTCTCTCAACTTCTTTTCAGTAATTCTTTCATCTATATGTTTACTCATTAATTTGATCATTTATTTATTTATTCATTCAGCACTTCCTCTGTGCCAGGCAATGTGTAGTGCCAGTCCCTCCTCTGGTGGAAGAAGAGTAGCTTTACCATATGGTGACATCAGGCATATAGGCTCTCGTGGAAAAAAATTCTAGGATAGTATTTTTTTTTTTTTGAGATGGAATCTCGCTCTATTGCCCAGGCTGGAGTGCAGTGGTGCAGTCTCGGCTCACTCCAAACTCTGCCTCCCAGGTTCAAGCAATTCTCCCACCTCAGCCTCCTGAGTAGATGGGATTACAGGCACACGCCATCACGCCCAGCTAATTTCTATATTTTTAGTAGAGATGGGGTTTCACCACGTGGCCAGACTGGTCTCAAACTTTTTTTTTTTTTTTTTTGAGACGGAGTCTCGCTCTGTCATCCAGGCTGGAGCGCAGTGGCACGATCTCAGCTCACTGCAACCTCTACCTCCCGGGTTCAAGCAATTCTCAGCCTCAGCCTCCCGAGTAGCTGGGATTACAGGCCCCCGGCACCATGCCTGGCTAATTTTTTTTCTTCTTAGTAGAGATGGGGTTTCACCATGTTGGCCAGGCTAGTCTTGAACTCCTGACCTCGTGATCCACCTGCCTTGGCCTCCCAAAGTGCTGTGATTACAGGCGTAAGCCACCGCGCCTGGCCTCAAACTCTTGACTTCAAGGGATCGGCCTGACTTGGCTTCCCAAAGTGCTGGGATTACAAGCATGAGCCACTGCACGGGGCCTAGGATGGTATATTGAGACCAGGGGCCCAGGAAAGCCAAGAGAAGCCTCAAGGACGTGAGAGTGTTTTCTGGCTCTGGGAAGTATGGATCATTTCAGCTCAGTGACTTAGTTCCCACCCCCTTCCCCCCACTGCCTTTTGTGGGAGGGAAGTAGGGCATGATAAGATGAAATGTCATAGATTGATTGATCACTGTTGGCCTCTGGGGCTATGACAAGTCATGGATGGAAACACTAGATCTTTAATCTGTCCTTGGCTTGGCTGCATGACAGTCTTTCTTCAAGTTGGATCACACTTTGGAAGCAGAGTTCATCAATAGGGAGGCATGAGTCCCTTCAAGATGGTATACGGTGCTTATTTGAAACTTGGACACTAAAGTCTGTGGGTCTTAGGAGGGTTCCTTCTATTCTAGTGGTCAATTTCCATGGAACTTCATCACCTTTGCTCAGGGCTCTGGGGTGAGTTAACCCAAGTCTTCACTCTTTGAAAGAAATTGTAGATTTAAAAACTCTGAAGACACATAATACTGCCTTCTCTGGGCCCTTCAGTCATTTTTGTATACATTGGTACTGGTCTCAAAGTACTTCCATATCACTCATGTCTCTGTCCCCAGGTAAGATCTTAAATGTAACCCTTCCTACAAGAAGAACAGAACAGAACACTGCTTCCAAACCACACATGTTCCTTTGGTCCTCCCCTCTACACAAACGCCATGTGTTGGGAAAGCAGGGTGAGACTGAATCTCTCTGGAGAAAAGAGAGATTCAGCACCAAGCTTTTGATCAAAAGCATAATCCCCCCCTAAAAAAAGTGCCTATTGGAGCAAAATCAGGAAAACCAAAGGCAGAGAACAGATAAAACCAAAAGGCCTTTTGTAGCCTGAGGAGAGAGCATGGAAAGGGCAGGAGGGGAACAGCCTCACCCATTTTGCCTTGGGGATGGTGAAGGTGGGCATTGGGGGATTCCAACTTCAAAGCATGGATGACTTCTAAGTCCTTTTCAGCCCTGAGCTCTTAGATTCTGAGCCTGTTTAATCCCTTGCTGATAGATTCACTCTTCCTTTTTCACCCCTACCACCAGTATCCCAGAGCCTCCATGAGCAGCTGGCCCCAGTAGATGCCACAAAAGTGTTTGTTACGAGAAGGACACCGTCCTGATTCTCTTCTCTGTCCAGAATCACCAAGAGGACTTTTCCCATTCCAGCAAGAAAACGTCTGTGTGTTGATCTAGAGGCGTTTAGAGACTTTAGGTGGCAACCTAGTCTCTCTTTTTCCCTTTATCCTTCCTACCCTTCATTCTTCTTTTATCCTTTTATTCATCAGAACACAAGAGTTGAGCATTTATGCTGTCCCAGGTACTGTGCTTGAAGGAGTTAACAACTGAGGTGGCTATTAGTCAGAGACTGACCAGCATGTGCTCACCACCCATGTTAACTAGGCAGCCCACCAAACCCACCACCATTTTTTTTTGACTTCTATAGGTATTTAAGTTTGACACCATATCTGAGAAAACATCTGATCAGATCCACTTCTTCTTTGCCAAACTGAACTGCCGACTCTATCGAAAAGCCAACAAATCCTCCAAGTTAGTATCAGCCAATCGCCTTTTTGGAGACAAATCCCTTACCTTCAATGAGACCTACCAGGACATCAGTGAGTTGGTATATGGAGCCAAGCTCCAGCCCCTGGACTTCAAGGTGAGTTGCAGATGTTACCCCTGACCTCCGAGTTCTTCCTCTCCACTCAGAGATTGAGGAGGTGGAGAAACAGCATCCAAATTCACACTGCTTTGCTGCTGAAGACTGCTGGAGGGCTGACTAAAAGTTAGAACCCCTGCAATAGTTATTCTTACTTGAAACCTGAGAAATCAAAGGTATCCATGCTTGGATTGTAGTGACTGCCCAGAAAACATGAATTAATAATCAATTCTTCATTCCATCCACCAACTTCAAATATATACCAAAGGGTGTTTTGAAGATGCCAGTTCTACAAGATATCTTACTTAATTTGAACTGTTATCATGGTCAAATAAAGTTGGTACATGATGCATGTTACATTCTCCTCTTGGAGATTCATGAAGCACATGGGCCTATGAAGGTTCTGAGAAACTCTGCAACAAAGAAATCTGTTGGCTTTATTCAATCGGCATTCCTCAAATGTATTTGACTGCATGGGCATTTCTCTCCTCCATATAACCTGCCAACCCCATATAACCTGCCAACCCCATATAACCTGCAATCATTCATTGCTTCCCCTGGCACATGCCTTGGAAATTCTACTTTTGTGAGTTAAGGTTTTCCAAAGTCAGAGAAAATAATATTTTATCTTCTTTTTCCCAGACTATTTTCGCCTTCCTTCTTTTCATTTATTTCTTCCTATTTCTTTTTGTTCTTTTTCTTCTGATAATATTTATTAACTACAGGAAAGATTCATGGAACTATATTAGATATGTGAGGCTTCCCCAATTTGGGTTAGAGCAATGGCTTCTTAATCAAATGGTGGGAAAGGACAGAGGGATGGTGAGAAAAATAAAATGCTGCCTGGGAAAATGGAGAAGCCAATTGAATAGCACAGGTGAGTAGGTTTATTTTCTGTTCTCCTCAGGAAAATGCAGAGCAATCCAGAGCGGCCATCAACAAATGGGTGTCCAATAAGACCGAAGGCCGAATCACCGATGTCATTCCCTCGGAAGCCATCAATGAGCTCACTGTTCTGGTGCTGGTTAACACCATTTACTTCAAGGTACTCAGAATGGCCCTGGAGAGACCCCAGGGACTTCCTCTTGCTCTTCAGCTTACCCCCTTTTTTTTTAAATGGCGAGACCGAAGCCCTGAGAGGGCAAATGGACTGCCGAAAGCTACACAGGTACAGGTCAGCAGGGCAGGTCAATCTATTATTTATTTATTTATTTATTTTTGACAGAGTCTCGCTCTGTCGCCCAGGCTGGAGTGCAGTGGCGTGATCTCGGCTCACTGCAAGCTTCGCCTCCTGGGTTCACGGCATTCTCCTGCCTCAGCCTCCCAAGTAGCTGGGAATACAGGCACCCACCACCATGCCTGGCTAATTTTTTGGTTTTTTTTTAGTAAAGACGGGGTTTCACCGTGTTAGCCAGGATAGTCTTGATCTCCTGACCTCGTGATCTGCCCACCTCGGCCTCCCAAAGTGCTGGGATTACAGGCATGAGCCACCGCGCCCGGCAGATTGGCTTCTTTCACCTAGTAAAATGCATTTACTGTTCCTTTGTGTTTTCGTGGCTTTGTCACTCATTTCTTCTTAGCATGGAATAGCATTACATTTGGTCTGGATGTACCACAGTCTGTCTATTCATCTACTGAAGGACATTTTGGCTGCTTCCAAGGTTTGACAGTTATGAATAAACCTACTCATAATTCCATCATTCTGACACAGCCATTGTTAACCTTTTTGTGCATATCCCGCCAGTCTTTTTTCCGAATAATTATATATTAATGTAACACTATAATATGGATATGTCTTGTGTCAATAACTATCCTCCTATGAATGTTTGTGTTCTTACTTTGTGATTCTCTTCCAGGGCCTGTGGAAGTCAAAGTTCAGCCCTGAGAACACAAGGAAGGAACTGTTCTACAAGGCTGATGGAGAGTCGTGTTCAGCATCTATGATGTACCAGGAAGGCAAGTTCCGTTATCGGCGCGTGGCTGAAGGCACCCAGGTGCTTGAGTTGCCCTTCAAAGGTGATGACATCACCATGGTCCTCATCTTGCCCAAGCCTGAGAAGAGCCTGGCCAAGGTAGAGAAGGAACTCACCCCAGAGGTGCTGCAAGAGTGGCTGGATGAATTGGAGGAGATGATGCTGGTGGTCCACATGCCCCGCTTCCGCATTGAGGACGGCTTCAGTTTGAAGGAGCAGCTGCAAGACATGGGCCTTGTCGATCTGTTCAGCCCTGAAAAGTCCAAACTCCCAGGTTTGTCTAGGAAGGAGTTTCCTCCCTTCTCCACCCGCAAGGTAGTCTGACCAAAAGTGGAAGAGTTGGAGAAAGAATAGAAAGGAGCAACAAGTCAGGACTCCTGGATACTGATCCTAGTTTCTACTGCTAATTTGTGGAAATCTCTTTTCCTTTTGAGACCTCAGTTTCCTCTTCTGTAAAAGGGAAGTTTGTTCTTGGATCTCCATGGGCCCAGCTAGCACTGGTGCCCTGTGAGTCTGTATCAGGTAGAGGAGATGGGACCAGGTGGAGAGGAATTTGAAAGGGCATTGGAATTCAGAGCAAAGAGACAGATATTAAGAGCTGGGGAAATGTGGTTCCCATTACACAGGCCTCACTGACATTTATTATTATTATTATTATTACTTGAGACAGAGTCTTACTCTGTTGCCCAGGCTGGAGTGCAGCGGTGCGATCTCGGCTCACTGCAACCTCTGCCTCCCGGGTTCAAGCGATTCTCATGCCTCAGCCTCCTGAGTAGCTGGGATTACAGGCACACGTCACCATACCTGGTAATTTCTGTATTCTTAGTAGAGATGGGTTTCACCATGTTGGCCAGGATGGTCTTGAACTCTTGACCTTGTGATCCGCCTGCCTTGGCTTCCCAAAGTGCTGGGATTACAGGCGTCAGCCACCGCACCTGGCACATTAAAATATCTTTTAAAGAAGTTGGCTGGCCAGGGTGGCTCACGCCTGTAATACCAGCACTTTGGGAGGCTGAGGTGGGAGGATCGTCTAAGCCCATGAGTTCGAGACCAGCCTGGACAACATAGTGAGATGGTCTCTACAAAAAATAAAAAAAATTAGCCAGGCATGGTGACGCACACCTGTAGTCCTAGCTTCTTGGGAGGCAGAGCTGGGAGGATTGCCTGAGTCCGGGAGGTCAACGCTGTGGTGTACTGTGATCACACCACTGCACTCCAGCCTGAGCAACAGAGTGAGGTCCTATCACTAAATAAATAAATAAATAATAAAATAAGTTTACGATGTTAAGTAATTAGATTTATCTTTATTGACCTTTTTTTTTTTTTTTTTTTTTTGAGACGAAGTCTTGCTCTTGTCCCCCAGGCTGGAGTGCAGTGGTGCAATCTTGGCTCACTGCAACCTCCACCCCCCAGATTCAAGTGATTCTCCTGCCTCAGCCTCCCAAGGAGCTAGGATTACAGGCGCCTGCCACCACGCCCGGCTAATTTTTGCATTTTTAGTAGAAACGGGGTTTCACTATGTTGGCCAGGCTGGTCTTGAACTCCTGACCTCAGGCGATCTACCTGCCTTGGCCTCCCAAAGTGCTGGGATTACAGGCGTGAGCCACTGTGCTATTGGGCTGTCTTTAAGCTAGTTTTGAAAACTAAAAATGTTGCCAGACTGGAAAGAAAGATGTTCCTTCTGGATGGAGTGAGTTTTTTCTGTAAGAACAGAGTCTTGCCGTTTCTCTCTCCCACAAAAAGCTGAAGCCTGAGAATGAATTATCAGGAGCCATGCTGAACAAGCCCAAAGTACTTTTATTATTATTATTATTATTATTATTATTATTATTATTATTATTTTTGAGATGCAGTTTTGCTCTTGTTGCCCAGGCTGGAGTGCAGTGGCGTGATCTTGGCTCACTGCAACCTCCACCTCCCGAGTTCAAGCGATTCTCCTGCCTCAGTCTTCCAAGTAGCTGGGATTACAGGCATGCGCCACCACACCTGGCTAATTTTTGTATTTTCACGATAGAGACAAGGTTTCACCATATTAGTTAGAGTGTCTCCAACTCCTGACCTCAGGTGATCTGTACACCTTGGCCTCCCGAAGTGCTGGGATTACAGGTGTGAGCCACTGCACCCAGCCCCCAAAGTACTTTATTATTTTTAACACATATTCATTGTGAGAGTATGATTAGGTGAAGATTTAGGATTTCTTCTTATGTTTCAAAAAGCCCCAAAGGATCTCTTAATCCAAACTGAATTCCCATCTGTGGGTTGAAGCCAACTTTCTCCCATCTCACAAAGACTTCTCCGGTCTTCCTTCCAGGTATTGTTGCAGAAGGCCGAGATGACCTCTATGTCTCAGATGCATTCCATAAGGCATTTCTTGAGGTGAGTACACCTTCCCCACTCTCTTAGGGTACAGAAAGGAGATGCATGAACAGCAGGAACACGTGGAAAAGGCCTGTTTCCAGTGTTAAGGCATGCAAAAGGCCTCCACAGGCCTGCTATAATACAGCCCTCTCCAAAACCTTCATGGTGTGATTGTTCTGCCTTCCCTCCCACTACCTCTTCTGTAGCAGGTCAAGCGGGAACACAAACATTTAGGGAGGGTGATATAGGAAAAGAAGCCAGCAAAGGCCATCAAGAAGAAATTTACAGCATGAGGAGAACCAGAAGAGTATGGGGTCGCAGAAACCCAGGGAGAATTTTTTTTTTTTTTTGAGACAGAGCTTCGTTCGCTCGTTGCCCAGGCTAGAGTGCAATGGTGCGACAGCTCACTACAACTTCTGCCTCCCGCGTTCAAGCGATTCTCCTGCCTCAGCCTCCTGGGTAGCTGGGATGACAGGCATGTGCCATCACGCCCGGCTAATTTTTGTATTTTTAGTAGAAACAGGGTTTCTCCATGTTGGTCAGGCAGGTCTTGAACTCCCGATCTCAGGTGATCCACCTCCTTGGCACCCCCAAAGTGCTGGGATTACAGGCATGAGCCACTGCACCCGGCCAACCTAGGGAGAAGTTTTAAGAAAATGGATAGCATCTAGTAAGAAGACTCCTGGGCTGGGCATGGTGGTTCACACCTGTAACCCCAGCACCTTGGGAGGCTGAGATGGAAGAATCACTTGAGCCCAGGAGTTTGCAACCAGCCTGAGCAACATAGTGAGACCCTGTCTCTACCAAAAAAATCTTAAAAAAAAAAAAAAAAGTTTGGAGACTGCCCATAGTTTACCTTTCCCTGAGGACAGAATAGTGTGGCCACATGCCTAATTGTAATGGATGAAGAGCAAATGGAAGGTAAGAAAGGGAAGCTGGTGAGTGTGCATCAGTGTCTTAAAGTGTGCTCCAACTAGAGCACTAGACTACACTGGAGGAAACGAAAAGGTGGTCAAATAAATGCATATCCTCTCATGGGAGATGAACAGTACACACTGACATGCTGAGGTCTGACAAGTCCCACAGTAAAGAAGACGGTTGAATATCACTTAACGTGTTCCCCCAAATGAGATGTGCATGGAACCCTGTGTTAGAGTAATAGCCGTGTACAGCCTGTGGAACTTCTGGTTCTCAAGTAAACACTAAACTATGGACCAACAGCAGTAGTTATCTGGGGAGCTTTATCTTTGGAGATTCTGGGATGGGCCCTGAGAATCTCTGTATGTACTAAACTCCTCAGGGGATTCTTATGCACAATGAGATTTGGGAACCACTGGTATAGACTATTTTTTGCGGGAGCCAGGCTGTGAGGGATAGGAGATTGGACAATGGTAGAGATGTTCCTAGAATCAAAGAAATCGAAAAGAATGAAGGTTGTAGTCAAAGAGAAAGGTTTCAGAGGATGGTGCTAAGTAAATATAGATCCAGGGATCAAACTCAGAGGAAAGTGGAATTTTAACGGGAGCGAGGAAATGTGATAGCTTGAAAGAACACAAGGTTATAATCTGAGAAAAGGATGCTATTAATATAATTTCAAAGGTAGAGTAGTTCTGAGATGGCAAGTCCAAGGTGTAGCCATGGACAGGTTTGCTTAAGTGGAATGAAGGCAATGCTCATTAGGTTTGATGAAAGAAATGGGAGACTAGGGTGTTGAACGGGTCTCCTAATGAGATTTTTTTTTTTCATTGAAATGGAGTCTTGCTCTCTCGCCTAGGCTGGAATGCAGTGGTATGATCTCAGTTCACTGCAACCTCCGCCTCCTGGGTTCAAGCGATCCTCTCGCCTCAGCCTCCCAAGTAGCTGGGACTACAGGTGCCCGCCACCACGCCCGACTAAATTTTTGTATTTTTAGTAGAGACGGGGTTTCACCATGTTGGCCAGGCTGGTCTCAAACTCCTGACCTTAAGTGATCCACCTGACTCGGCCTCCCAAAGTGCTGGGATTACAGGCATGAGCCACCGTGCCCGGCCTACTGAGATATTTTAATTGCCTCAAATGATAGCAGGAGTTGGAGTGGACAGAAAGGCTAAGTGCAAAAATCATCAGTGTGGGGATATAATCTATAGGACAATGAATGTCAATGACCTTTAAGACAATAGCAAGAGTAGAGGTATTGAGGTCAGAACAAGGGATTTTACAAGAGTGCTGTATTAATGGTTTTGGAAGTTAAGATGACACTGCTCACACCCTCTTTCACATGGATTTTTGGAAGAAAGAACACTTAGGAAGACTGCAAGGGAAATTGAGTCCTCAGGGTTTTAACTCTCATTGAATATCCTCTGGTAAGGACTCCAGTTAGAAGTGGTCAACTCAGACCTCCTTGAGGGGTCTGAGTTACTATTAGGAAGAAGCAGAGGTCTGGATTCATTTTATCCACCTGAGCCCAGTACACAATATGTAAGATTTTTCCATGGTTCTTACAACAAAGCCGTTTTCTTTGAAAACCTTGGGAATCCTTAATAAACAGGACCCCAACTAATTGTAGACCTGAGAAGCCATTAAAAACCAGAATCTGATTTGAATAAAAGGATCCTGGTCATGCAAACACTCTAGTCTGCTAATAAGCTAATAATTTAGTGCTGGAATGAGCATGAAATAGGTAATATGGGGAGATAGCGGGTAAGGAAGGGAGGAACAAAGGAAGGGGAAGGAAGAGTGAGAAGGAAGGAGAAGACATCATCAACCAGCTCCACAAAACCCAGGGAGCCGGTTAATCATGTGCTTTCATTAAGAGCAGAAACAGAGTTTTAGTGATATTCTGGGTCCTGAGGCAAAATTTTCTGAAGGTGTTTCCCTCTAGATCTGCTTATCAGCCATGTTCAAATACCATTGTTTCAGTCTATTACTCCAAGAAAATGGCATCTCGTCCAGCCAGAGAACCCACCTCTTTTCATAGGCCCTAGGTCCTGAGTGGCTCTTTGGAGTAGCTGTATCTTGGATCTTGATGCTCCAAGAGTGAAACTGTTTCTTTCAACTATGGAGTTCAGATCTTGAGCCAAAAATCTTTCAGCGGCTGGTACAAAAAAAATCCGCTGTAAAACCATTTACAATGGTACCAGCCAGAAATGTGATAACCTGTGTACATTCAGATTTCTGGGTTACCTGAATGGAACTCTTACACTTATTACCTAGCACAAGGCTTGGACAAACACAAGTACCTTACATTCTCTGCATGAAAGAATGAGTAGAAGTAGGATTCTGGAGGGAATCCAACCTGACCCAAATGTACTTTTTACTGGAAAACAAAAGCATTTGAGGAATTGCTGTGTCTGTGGATGATTTACCTGCCAAAAATGAACGGCAGAGTGGCTAATTTAGTTTTATTTCCCATGTGACCTGCAGGTAAATGAAGAAGGCAGTGAAGCAGCTGCAAGTACCGCTGTTGTGATTGCTGGCCGTTCGCTAAACCCCAACAGGGTGACTTTCAAGGCCAACAGGCCTTTCCTGGTTTTTATAAGAGAAGTTCCTCTGAACACTATTATCTTCATGGGCAGAGTAGCCAACCCTTGTGTTAAGTAAAATGTTCTTATTCTTTGCACCTCTTCCTATTTTTGGTTTGTGAACAGAAGTAAAAATAAATACAAACTACTTCCATCTCACATTATAAATGGACTCTGCATTTGAAATGAAGACAAGGAAAGGGGAAACATGCTATTGGGGCACATGGTAAAATGATGCCTTCAAGTTGTTCTTTACCCAGTAACCACATCTGGATCAAGAAAATGAGGGAGAGAGCGATAAAAGATGGTAGACAGCCAGAAAGGGAAGGGAGAGTGAATTCTCAGTATTTCCATCACACTAAAACATATCAAAAATTTAAACAGATTAGTTTCTATATACAGAAAAGACAGATTCAAATCTGAGTATTAAACCATTTAATTCTCAAACCACTCACATGCATAATGTTCTTTTACACAGTGTTAAAATAAAGGGGAAAATGCATTTTTATACAAACAGAATTTCAAGTATACATTAATAGACTTTTCAGATTACTAACCAAGTTGCTAAGATTTCATTCACATTGTTCTTAAAGCTGTTCAACGAGAAAGCTTTTGCTAAACTGCTTTAAATATGTTTATATAAACCCATATTTTCACTCTTTCTTTGAACTCCCTCCCCCAACCCGAGTCTCTGCCCACCCTCCTGCCCTCCCCCCTTCCCCGACACGACAGGGGTCCTGGGGCTCTAGGAGACATGCAACCCCACCAAGAACTATTGGCTTGTCATCAGGGGAAGGACAGAATCTTACAGGAGGAGAGACTGAGAACACCTGTCAAATGAAGGGAGAACAAATCTGATACTTAGAAATGACACAAATCAGGATCGTGTCTTAGAGTCTTTGTGTTTTCACTTGATTTTTAATTTAAAAAATCTCAGCCTCCCACAAAACACCACCAAAGTTTCTGACAAATTGGTAGCTGTGAAAATAATCTTAGGTAGTTTTTCCCCAGTGAAACTTCCAAAATCAGGACAGGTATTTAGAACCCTTTTTCAATTTGGCGGTTCTTTTTCCCTTTGGCATGGAGTGGGGGCCACTTAAAAGTGGATGTTATTACTTGTGTGTTTACATTAAGAAATTTGGTTCATTTCACAGGGTCTGGTAAGAGCTCTCCCTCCTTAACTCTCCTCCTGAAGTAATCTGGTTTCAGGGCCAGGAACAGCCACTCTCCTTAGGAATTAAAGTGCATTTTTTTTCGGTAAAGGGAAAGAGGGGGAGGTGGAGGTTTACACTTAAGTGATAATGATTAAAGTAGGGTTGGGTGAGAGAAAATCCTACTCCTATATATAGGTATTTATAATTAAGGTCATAATAAAAACTGATATTCTTAGGAAATAAGATGCACAAAGCCAGTCTAGCACCCTCAGTGGTGCAAGAGCACTATTCTGGTTCACTGACTTTCCCGAGGCATCTTTACTATTAATGGAGTAACTGCTTCAGATGAAAAGACACAAATCTCAAACATTAGTTTTTTTCAAAGGGAAAAAACAGACTGGTAGGTTCTTACAGCTAAAAATACTCTATTCCATTCCCTTTCAGGGATAACATTTTAGAAACTGATTGTCTGTTTTAATATGAATCCTCCTTGATTAGCAAGTTGTAAAAAATATTAGATAAATTTGTTGTTTACAAATATTATGGTAGCCTTTAGAAACTTAGGAAGAGGTGGGCATAGTTGATCCTTGCTATCAATCAATATCAACTGAGAGGAAGTGAAATTTTCCTTTATTTGATCGCTACCATCAGAATCTTATTTTCTGACTAGTTTAAATGCTTTACAATTTCTTCTTGGGTTAAAAACCCAAGAGTTTCCCATAGAGAAGTAAATGCTACATTAACAGCTATACAAAGATGTGATGGGCTCAAGATGAGAAGGGGGATCTTGTCCTGGATTCTGGCCTCTGAGTCCAGTGTGATCTGCTTTTCACAGTGACCAGTGTGAAGGCACAGTGCCAGGGACAGGTAGATGGGGACAGCTGTCACCCATCATATAAGCACCATAGAGAACAGCTGGATAGATTTCTTTCAGACTATGTCCATCTGAAGGAAATCAAATTTCTGCTACATTGACTTTTCTGTCTTTGAACCCTCAGCCTTTTCTCCTCCTTTCAGAGGCAGAGCAGAGCGGGTCCCATTCAGAAATTATGAGGAGCCTGGAAACCTAAATGTTCTTCCAATGTACTCATTTAGAAAGAAATGCCAAAAACAGAGTTCTAGGCCAAGCACAGTGGCTCACACCTGTAACTTTAGGAGTCCTAGGTGGGAGGATCGCTTGAGCCCAGGAGTTTGAGACCAGCCTGGGCAACATAGTGAGACTCTGTCTCTAAAAGAAAATAGAAAATTTAGCTGGGCGTGGTGGCACATGCCTGTAGTTCCAGCTACTTGGGAGGCTGAGGCAGGAGGATAGAGTCCAGGAGGTGGAGGCTGCAGTGAGCTATAATTGCACCACTGTACTCCAGCCTGGGTGACAGATCAAGACCCTGTCTCAAAAAAAAAAAAAAAAAAAAAAGTTCTAACTTTAAGATTTCTTAAAGGGAAGGAAGCCATTAGTTCCTGATGTTCTGCTATCAGATTACAAAATAATGCAATGTGCTAAAACTGTGAACAGAGATCATAGCAGATGAAAAATTAATGGACTGAGAACACATTTCTTTTGCCTATAGTTTGGGAATGCTTTTCTTTCGTTGAGAGTAGGGGGATGGAGCAGGGTGGTGAAATAGTAGTACTCAAACTAACGTTTGTTTTGCTGTCTTAGAAAGGATTTCCTAGAGGTTTAAGAGGAATCAGCAAGCCAACCCATTAGGCAGAACTTGACCAAACTTCACAGTGCTGACAGGGAATTCCTGTTAGGGAATTTGTTTCATTCCTTGCTTAAAATATAGTACAAGTTTACGTATTTATCTTTTATCATTACTTCCCCACTCTGCTCTACTCTCTCCCCATAAAATCTTAAAATCCAGTGCAGTATAATTTGCATAAAGTTCAACAATGTTTCACAGTACTCCACAAGGTTCTTCAGTATGAAAACCCTAAGGGGGCTACTCTCTTTGGAGTCTCAAAGGCTATTGCTTTTCTACTCCACCAGTAACAGGAAGCCTTCAGCAAATTTTCTAAGGCATAGGAGGCATTTTCTTGGACACTGCAGCATTTACATGCTAAGCAAACAGCCAGGCCTTAGTGCTACTTTAATGAAATTTCACAGACTGATGCTAAGTCAGTCCTCTGCACTAACCAACTTTCTCCTTGACCTACTTTTTCTCCTTGCACATATCACCTACTGAAGTTCAAATTACCACGTACTTGTAAGCAATATATAAATGAAACTTTCCGTGGTATCCAGAATACTCTCAGAAGAGAGCCTGCTACATTTGAACTTGCTCTTAAATACAAATTTTCTTCATGAGTTAGAAGTCACTTGGTAGCTAGTTAGTTTGAACAGTGGTTCTCACTATTTTAGGGTAATAAAACAGTTCTCCCCTCTGTGTTGAGGTTGCCATGGGCAAGAAACAAACCCATTAAAACACGTTTACTACCTGGGATGAGAAAAATGAATCTGGAACCTCATTTGGGAGTTACTTGGTTAGGTCTTTGACATCCCAGAAGAAAGATCCTAAAATGACTCATTTCACATTTCATATATTATTCAGAAATACTTAAGCCTTAACTAGTTCATTTCATTCACAAAAAAACAATCCAAGAAAAGTGAAAGTTAACTGACACTGAAATCCCACTTAGAAGACAGGCTAAGAGATAAATAATCAAACATATTACCATCACCACAGGCAGGATCCTTCCTTTTCTCCATTAACAATGCCACCTGTTTATTTTACAAATAGAAATTGCTGTAAGCAGTTTGGGCTCTTTTAATATATTCAAGTGCTCCATTTCAGCTAGTTGAGAAATCTCCACTGAAACTACATATGCAAAAGAAAGAGGATTCTAGAGAAGGAACTTTGAAAATTTGTTTTGCTTATTTATGTGTACTTTGTATTTGGTATAGAGAGGAAACTGGATGGATGACAATATCTCCCTCCAGAATTATTCTGAGGACAAATGGATGATCCATTTTACTACCTAAGCCTTGACCCACTGTACACTTTGAATTGAGAGCCATGCATGGAATATCAATAAAGATATTTTCAGGTCAAAGAGGACTGGATTGAGGTTATCCTGCCATGACCACTAGGGATTACATAGGGAGTGATTCTCAACCTTGGCTGCACATTAGAATCACCTAAAGCCCAGGTTGCACAACAGACCAATAAAATGTAAATGTCTAGAGGGGGTCCTATGCAATTCTAATGTGCAACCAATATGAAGAACTGGGTCAACTAGTCCTGTAATAGAAAGCATAAGGCCGGTGTTCATCCAAGCTAGAGAGAGAAAAGGTAAGACTCCATGGCTTCTGTCCAGATTTATGGATTTAACATGCTGCAATCAAACTACCTAGGCATTTTTTCACTACTTTTTAAATAAATAACTGGCTGTAATAGGCAGCAACAGCAACAGTAAAGTACTGATTTAGGTAAGAAGGCTGCACCTTAAGTATGTGTTATAGCAAAAGATCAGGGGACAGGCCTAGGACAAAACTCTGGGCACAAACAAAAGATAAGCCAGAAGGAAAAATTTTCCTAAGCAGGAATTAATTCCTGGGTCTAGGATATTAGCATGGCTTATAGGCAGAGAACTATGCTACAGGTAGAAAAAAAAAAATAGTCGTGGTAAAAAGATTCATATAATTTAATTTTACCACTTCATCTCCCTACAAGATTCTTACTGCATTTGGGCAGAAATTACTGTATCAGTTGTTATTTGTGAGTAATGCTTGTCTTATTATTTGGAATTTCACATTCTCTGCATCTCCACTTGCCGTATCCAAAGTCACCAGGAAACTAAATACTTATCAGCTAGTTCCTAAAATACGGGAGCCAATCTCTAAAAATCTGAAAATGGGTCACTCTCTCATTTCACTTCTAACCAGAGAATCCCTGTTTAGACATTTAGACAATATAATCAGTGTATTAGGGTAAAAAGCATTTCCACAAGTAGAAAGCATTCTAGGATATCAAAGGACCAACAGTTCCTCCTTAGCTGTAAGAAATATTAGAAAAGTGGACAAGTTGACTTGGCTCAGTGCACTAGTGCCCCAAACAGAAAATAAATTGAGTGCTACAACTGGATTTAAAGATTAGGTGGTCTGCCTGGTGGCATATTACTATTGAAACAACTTTCTGACACCTACAACATTCAGGTGAGGACATCATGACTATTATGACAATATTGACCTTAAAAACAAGAATATCTCTCTTTGGAGAGATTAGAAGTAAAAGAGGTCATCTGAAAATCCATCATGGGCCAGGTGTGGTGACTGGCACCTGTAATCCTATCACTTTGGGGAGGCTGAGGTGGTAGGATCGCTTGAGCCCAGACTTTTTTTTTTTTTTTTTGAGATGGAGTCTCGCTCTTGTTGCTCAGGCTGGAGTGCAACCGTGTGATCTCGGCTCACTGCAATTTCCACCTCCCGAGTTCAAGCGATTCTCCTGCCTCAGCCTCCCGAGTAGCTGGGATTACAGATGCCGCCACCACACCCAGCTAATTTTTTGTATTTTTAGTAGAGACGGGGTTTCACAATGTTGGCCAGGCTGGTCTCGAACTCCTGACATCAGGTGATCCGCCTACCTCAGCTTCCCAAAGTGCTGGGATTACAGGTGTGAGCCACTGCATCCAACCAAACCTAGATGTTTAAGACGAGACTGGGCAACATAGGGAGACTCCATCTCTACCCCTGCCCCCCAAAAAAAAAGAAGTTGGGGATTCAAACAAATGTTACACATCATTAAAAGGAATTAGGTGTTTTAGTCTTTAAAAACAGACTTGACCTCCACTGGCTACTCCTGCCAAACAGAAGCCAGTGGATAAAAGCAGTAAACCGGGAGAAGTCTGTAGGAGACAGAGAGAGAAAAAAAAGCACTAAACTCAAGTGTTCTGACATTGTTTGATTTGGGCAACAAAATTAAATATTGATATCTGAACATGATAAGAATTTCAGATACTGCAGCCTCTCTATTTTGGGTCTGGCTTTCCTTTGCTTGCTACAGAAAGCTATACTCTTTCTTCAGCCAAGTGCTCAGAGGTAGAGGAGCTGAAGTGAGTATAGAGAAGAATGGGGTAGACAGTGGCTGAGGAATCCAGCTTCCTGCCCAAGGGACTACAGAGCAATCTTGAATATGCTCAGTCTCTAGTGGGAGGTAGGATATTCTACACTGACTTTTATGCCTTCACGAAATACCTTTTTCTCACATACACACATAAACTTACACATACATAGCTGGCAACTCACAGCAATATTGCAATTCACAGCAACAGTATACCTATCCCAACAGCCACTTTCAACCTAAGTTTTATATTAATCCCCAACCCTACTCAGGTAGATGGCAAGCCAAATTTATTTTTTTGAGGTCCCTCCTTTTGCCAGGTTTGAAAACATACATTTCACTTTTACACCTACATCTTTTTTCTCTAAAGAAAAGCTGCATTAAGTGGGTGCATTGTGTTATAACATCTTTACAAATAGAAAGTGCAAGAAATAATTTTCTTAGCCAAAATACCAAGTAACAAAAAGCTCTCATAGCCTACTATGCCAAGAATTTGATTTTTAGAATTAATGATACAGCTAACAAAATGCTTCTGTGCTACCAAGGTCACAGTAGATGACTAAATATATTTATAAACATACATGAAAAAATAGCCAAACTTCCCATAAGTTATTTGCATGAACTATCTTTAGTATACCCACTCTGGGTTCAATGCACATGCATATACAATGGAATTATATTAGTGTTATTTTTATTGTGCCAGTTTTCCAAAAAGAAAACAGACTTTTTAAAAAAAATTCGAGTTACATGATTTAAAATTATTTTTGTAAAAATATTAGAAATGCCATATACATTCTAAATATTTCTGCTATCTAACAGATAGCCATTCTAGAGACGGACTTCAGTCACACTATTAGTGACCCCTTTTTTAGCATCTTGGCTTCCAGAGGAAACACATTTTAAGCTTTGTTCCCTGCACTGCAATTCTGTTTTTTCAGTGGTTCTTAAAGAACCACTATAGTTAGGATTCTATTACTTTATAGGAAACTCAGTGGATCATCTTCAAATATGTCATAAACATCTGCTTCAAGATGTGACTAAAAGCAGAAATCTAAACCTTAAGGAATTTCTACTCACTCAGGTTGTTGTATTAGCTTGAAATGGTTTAGATTTGTGATGCTGAAAATAAAGAATAAATATTTGGTCAATCTACAAGGTTCCCCTTTTTCTGGCTTTGTTCTCTCTTGCAATTTAAGACCACATTTAAGAATTATTTAAATGAATAGTAAGAATTATTTTTCATGCAAACACCAAATGATTTCAAACTTAAATTCACAGAGAATCTATAGGAGGGCCCAAAGGGCTGTAATAGAGAATGAGAGACATTTCCATAGATCATCATTAAGATTTTTCATTCCCTGGGACAATATTTTCAAAGGCTTTCTCTGTCATAAAGGGCAGACTACACCAGAGTGGATTATACCAGAGTGGAAATGTGAATCCAAAAGAAAGTTTTAAGGCCTTTAAATTTTTATTCATTAAAATTTGTCCCTTAACATGTTAAGAATGAACTGGAAAAAAAAATAATTTGCCCTAATCTTTATATGATAAAATCTAATTAATCTTTATGCCTAAAAGCCTCAAACATTCCATCTCTGGTTATGCAAATACAAATGCCAAGGTCTTCTTTTTCCCTTCCCAGGACTTTGTAGGTACCCAAAATTAAGTCTTCAGCATTGAGTACCCCTTTATTTCCTGTATTTGTAATTGCTAAGGCCTGACCTAGGAACAGAGATCTCTTTACTGTGATAACTGCAGATTATCAGTAGGAAGGCCACACAGCTAATGCTCCAAGGATTCATTGCACATGGACTGGATAATCTCAAACCTTTCTTAAGAAGTGTATTGATTTGGGGTTCATCAATATGGACAATGAAATTCATTCTCTGTCCATATTTCTTCTCAGAGCAGGAACAGTCTAGTAAGACAGCACGAGTTTAAATAAGGCATCCTAAATCTGACACATCTAACCAAAAATCAAAAAACTTCAATGATCTGTTATTTTAAATGAGAGAGGCTGGTAACAACTGCCAATTTTAAAAGATTAACAACATATAAAATTGGGCGATGAATTTTCCTGTATGAAAGGTAACAAGAATGAAAGGAATTGATTCATCTTCGAGCACAAAATCATGCTGGAGGTGTAGAGGTAGAATGGGATTAAGATAAGTAGGTAAAACTTTTCACTATCTCAAGAATATGATCCATGTAGCCACCCAATAGAAACTCCTGTTGAAAGAGATTCAGCAGCCATGCAATGTTTCCATACCACAAGAGTATTCACCTATTTGTAAACTTAAAATACAACTGATATCTCCAAGAAATCAAATTATTTAATAGTAAGCTTTCCGGGCCAGGCACGTTGGCTCATGCCTGTAATCCCAGCACTTCAGGAGGCCGAGGAAGGTGGATCTCTTGAGTCCAGGAGTTCAAGACCAGCCCAGGCAACATGGTGAGATCCCGTCTCTAAAAATACACAAAAATTAGCCAGGTGTAGTGGCACACGTCTGGAGTCCCAGCTACTTGGGAGGATGAGGTAGGAGGATTGCTTGAGTCCAGGAGGTTGAGGCTGCAGTGAGCTGTGATTGCACCACTGCACTCCAGCCTGGGTGACAGAGTGAAACTCTGTCCTAAAACAAAAAACAAACAAAAAAAATGTAAGCTTTTTACTCCCTCTAGAGTATTTCTAGCTCCGCATGCAGTTACCGTGGCTTCAGAGCAAAACCAGGCAAATGTTCACAACTTGGAACACAGTACAAAATGAAAATTTTGCTATAAGATAAATGAAACTTGGAGGGAGAGGGCAGCAAATGAAGTATGCTCCAGATATTTGTCTCATTCTCCTTCTAGCTCCTTTAGTGACCCATGGTAGACATAATAAATGGTTTCTACAGCACAAACAACTGATGAATAAACACCAAAGAGTCAAGACAAAAAACAAAACAAAACAAAAAAAACATTAACACATTAAAAATAGCCCCAAGTCCTGGACATGCCTTCCATAAAGTGGTAGGGTATTTCTTCTCTCCTTAAATTTGGGCTGACCATTGAGTTCTTTTTTCCCCCTTCATTCTTGCTGTCATCTTACCATTAAGTTCTTCGACCAAGAGTACAGTGGTGGCTGTATGATAATTCTAGGCCTGGCCTTTAAGTTGACTAGATTCTTCTGCCCAGCCTTTCAGAGGCCTTAGCTGTCCTCGTAGTAAATCTGACTACCTTGATGAAGAGAACACATGGAGAGTCCTTAGACTTCATGGAGAGAAAGAGGAGACCTGCTGAGTCCATCCTTCTAGTCTCCCCACCAAAGTGTCAGGTATGTAAGATCGATCATCTTGGACACTCCTTCCAGACTTGTCTAACCACCTGCTGAATACCACCAGGTGACCTGAGTCGTTGTCACAGGGAGGAGAATTGCCCAGACAAGCCCTTCCTGGATTTTCTGATTCACAAAACCATGATATAGGAAATGGTTGATTTTAAGTAATTAAAATTACTTAATTTTAATTAAGTTTGTTACACAGCAATAGGTAACTGGAACTCTTTCAATTTTTGCCTTGATAGTACCTCACTCACTATTAGACCTAACCACACGGGTGACTCCCTTGAATCAGTGGGCAATATCCACTGAAAATATTCACTATTCAACTCTGCTCAGAGATCAACTGCATCAGCTTTTGAAGAACCTTCTAATCACTTACTCTTGAATTACACATTCACAAAAAGCAGTACTGTTCCTGGCTACTGTATATTCCAGTCAACTTCAACTCTTGATAAGTAAATGGAGTCAATATGACATCATGCAGATAGTCTGGGCTTTGGAATCAAGATTGGTAAATATTGGCTCTGTAATTTACCAGTTATGTAACCTTGGGTTCATCAGTTTCCTCATCTATAAAATATGATATAATTACACCTACTAGAGGCAACTCTAGTGTTAGCCTGAGTCAGTTGTGTCTGTTTCTTCCCATCTAAAATGAGGATGTTATCTACCCTCATGGGATTGTCATAAGGATTAGATGAGTTAATCAATGTGAAGCACATAGAACTGTGCCTGGCACATAGTAAGCATTCAAAAAAAGTTAGTTATTTTTAACATTACTGTTATTACCTCATAGTATTATTGTCTTAACCACAGTTATGACGATAAAGCACTTAATAAAGCTAATTCTGTCCCCTTTTTGATCTTTTATCTCTACAGTAAAAAGTGCAGGCTTTTCAAAAGCAATACATCCCAGACGCCAACCAAGTGGGCTTAGGACTCTCAAGTATAGGAAGACACATCATGTCTAAACTATGTCTAAAACCAGTTTTATTATACAAATCCCAAGCATGTTGTCTGGTATCAAAAAGTACTTAATATTTACTTAATGAAACATTCTCTTATACATTACCTATCACTGCAGACAGGTGATTTCATAGAAGAGGAAACATGTTCCCATGAAATACCTTAACTCCTGGCATTATGGATTAACTGAAATCCTAAGATTCACAGTATATTAAAATCATGGTGTAGGCCATATGAGATGCTGAATATAAAACTCTCTTAAATGGGGCTGGGTGCAGTGGTTCATGCCTCTAAGTCCAGCACTTTGGGAGGCCGAAGCAGGAGGATCAATTGAGGCCAGGAGTTCACGACCAGCCTGGCCAACATGGTGAAACCCCATCTCTACTAAAAATACAAAAATTAGCTGGGCATGGTGGCACACGCCTGTAATCTCAGCTATTTGGGAGGCTGAGGCACAAGAATTGCTTGAACCAAGGAGGTGGAGATTGCAGTGAGCCAAGATTGAGCCACTGCACTCCAGCCTGGAAGACAGACCAAGACTCTGTCTTAAACAAAACAAAACAACCCCTTTCTTAACCGGATGGTGTATTCTAGCCTCCTCAACAGGACCTATTGAGTAGACATGAAAGACGCAGGCAATAGACAAGTTTTTTTCATTAACTGCTTTGCTTTTGTAATTTATTTCCTTGTTTGAAGTTTCCAGTATTTGAGCTAATGGGCTTCTTCTATGTTAAGATGTGAGCTACTGATATATTGATAATGGTAAAAATGTCAGGTAAGAAAATTTATATACGTACCCTCTATAAAGATAATGGGGGTTTCAAGTAATATTTGCCTTCTCAAGTCACTGCTGTGTCACAGTTGAGGAGAAAGACAGCCTGCCTACACAGCAAAACTGAATAATCTGCACCAATATCTTCCAGGTTTTGATACTACTATCAATAATTACATACTTTGGAATGTAACATATTCAGATGTTTCAAAGTATTCATAATATCTAACTCTGGCTTATCCTGAACAAAAAAGCCTGCTTGCTTAGAAAGTAGAAAGACTGGCCCTGGGAAAAGCACCATTTAAGAGGAAGAAGACTAAAGACAGGGAAAGAGACTAGAAAATACGAAAAAAGATAAGACTGAAAATTATCAAGGAAGTCATAATGCTTGGAAAACTCCATTGCTTTCAATAGATGCATATTTAAATTGACATCTATTACCAAGACCTCAAATAGAGTGGGATGCAGATGATTCACTGGGCTAACAAAATCCAATTTCTTTCACAAGTCCCACCTTCCAGGTTAATCAGAATCCTAGGTTAATCAGAAAAGTAATACTCCAAAATCTCAAAAACCTACTGTTACTATAGGTATAACTGCTCTAAGCCAGGGGAGATCTAACCTAGGCAAATATTCTGGAACTTTATAGATGAGGATTATCTATTACTCAGAGGGTATATCATATAAAACTTCCTAATATCCAATTAGAAAGCAGCAACTTTAAAATACCTAGTGAAGAGAGTCCCTATTATAGAAAGCTAGTTACTCACTTGAACTTTGTCTATGTTGACAGCGCTCACAACAGATTCAAACTCCCTATACTGTATCAGCATGGCCTAGAAAACTTTGTCAAGATAGATCTAATTCAAAAGTCCCTATATCATTTCCAAATGGGAAGCAATTATTCTCTCTTCTTGCAAGGATTTTTTTTTGTTTTAGAGATAAGGTCTATGTTGCCCAGGCTGGTCCTTAAATTCCTGGCCTCAAGTGGGCCTCTCAGCTCAGTCTCCCAAGTAGCTGGGATTATAGGTGTCTGCTGTCACACCCGGCTTCCTGCAAGGATTTCTGTTTATGAACCCCCTAACATTTCCCATTTTTCCCACATCGAGTATAAGTAGGCTATCTGAACACTAAGAATGAACATTCACAAAGCAAACATGTTAATGGTCCAATATGTATTTAGAAGAATTATAGACAATAACAGAAATGGGAAGATAGGTCTAAAAAGAATTTGAAATCCTCAGATGTTTCATTATGTTTCAAAACATCCAGGAAAAAAGGAAGAAAAACTTGGCTTTTTACTGCTCTACATGGAACAGAGTAAGTTTAAAGAAGTTAAAATTAAGATACATTGCAAAGGGAAAAGGTAGGGGTTCTAATCCAGAAAAACAGTACTTTGGATATGAATCAAAATACTTCTTCATAATGAAATTAGTTTTTAATCCACTTGGGAAAAAATTCATTCTTGTCACCATTATGCAAACCAGTTCAAGTTAACTCAGAGGAATGGCAAAACTTACTTACAACTAAACTTTAAAATACCGGCACCATTAAGACAAGGACAAACAACAGGCCAATTCTAAATGCTTTTAAAGTAATGGGAATCATGAAGGAGCACAAAAAAATCATGAAGGAGCACAAAAAGAGTTATGATAAGAGGATCTAGAAAAAGTTGGCAAACTCTTTCAAGAAAACATGTATATGTGACAACATGAATTTAAAACTTCAACCAAACTATTATAAAGGCAAAATGTCATGAGTAACAACTTTAGGAGGTAATTCTTTCTTGGAGTTGGCAAATTTTTTCTAACAAGTACCAGACAGTAAATATTTTCAAGCTTTGTAGCCACGTGATCTTTGTCACAAGTACTCAACTTTGCCATTGTAGTAGAAAGAAGGCATAAACAATACCTAAACAAGTAAGTGTGGCCCTATTCCATTATAATTTTCTTTACACAAGCAAGTAGCCTCAGCATTTGGCCTGGAAACTACTGTTTGCTGAACCCTGATCTAATTCCGTAAGTCCTAAGGGTATATTTTGCTGAGGACATCTTCTCAAACCTAGGGATTTGCCCGACAATTGCTTGTTGCTTTTCTAAATCTGCTTAGCAACCAAAGTATTTCAATATTTTAAACTCTTTCACATATAACCTAAATAAAGAGCTCAATTTCCAAAGACTAAGTTCAATTAAGACTCATTTGTTATTCCTTGAACTAATAAGTACACAGATAAGGGGAAGGACATTTTAGGAAGAGAAAAAAATCATGCCTCTTGTACCTGAAAAAAAGAAAAACTTCCAGGATTCCAACTCTTCCTGATTAAATGCCTTTCACTATGATGAAGAAGACTTTTGTCTTTGTTCAGTTTCCTTTCCATTATCCATTGCTTTCATTTAAGTTAGACAGTCTGGTCAAACAAAATAAATACAGTTTTCACCAGTTAAAAGAAACCCAATTAATGTCAAGTAACAGCTAAAACTCTGGAAAAGTTACTTCTTGACCAAAGATTATTCAGCTATTAAGAATGACATTTACAGCCAGGTGTGGTCACACGCCTGTAGTCCCAGCTCCTCAGGAGGCTGAGGAAGGAGGACCACTTGAGCCCAGGAGTTTGAGACCAGCCTGGGCAACATAGTGAGACCCTGCCTTTAAGAAAAAAAAGAAAAAAATGAAGTTCCCTACTTCACTCTGCCACCAGACCAATTCCAACCAATACCAGATGTCAACTATGAAGTCGGGGGGAAAAAGTTTTTTCTATCTTCAAACCATCTTTGGAAAACCCTGTTTCACTGATGTAGAGGGAACTGGAAACATTTAAAAAATGACAAAAAATAAAATTTTCCTTAACTGCTCTCTTCATTCCCAAACTTTATCCTCTATGAACTAATTTACCTTTATGTATTTGAGATTAGATTTAACCCTCTATTATAATAAAAATGGCATGGGGTAGTTTGCAACTTGGATAAAATAAAATTCAACTTGGTTCAGAGGTAAATACGGTTCTGAGTAAAGAGAGAACAAGTCATTAGAAGGAGCCTTTCTGCCTAAGTACAGCATTAACTGTTCATGCCAATGCTATATTTTATACTGGTATTAGAGTTCAGACAGAATAAAGGAACATCTTAGTATGAAAATAGATTAATATACTTCCGTCTCTCTTCTTTGCTGAGAATACTGGATAGCTCCTTTGCTACTAAGTGCCACTCAATAAATGAAAACAGTCCCAGTGTTTGCAATTTCATGGCATTAAAGTACTTCATGATGATGTAGCTCTCATTGCTAATGCAGTTCCCTTCACAAGGTAACACGTGCAAGTTAAGATTTGGTAATTAATTTTCAGCATCAACCAAACAAAGTCCATTTAGTACATCCTTAAGAGGTATCCTCTGTGCATACACCAATAGCTGTTCATTAATGTAGATAGAACATCAGTAACTCCTATGACCAATGTGTTGTTAGCTAAGAACTAGGACAATGTCACAGTGTATGTGGGTAAGAGTCTTGGACAGTTATTTAGAATAACAACATCTCTTTTAACGAAAAAGCTGAAATTGTTTTCAGAAGTTTTAATTTGTTTAAAAGCTAGCCTGCCTTAAATTTTCATGAATTTTGTGGCTCTGGCTAGGCCAATTGAGAGAACCAGCAAACATGATTGTGCTAAAGTGGTCCTAGATGACCAGGAAGCACCCTATTCACAGTATCAATATAGGAAAAGGCTATTTAAAGTGAATGAAAAGAAAAGGGAGGGGAAACCCACCAAACATTCATAGCATTTCCACATGAATGAGATAGTCCCTACCTCATTTGTTTGTTGCTAACCCTGGAAGGAGAATTGACAAATGCTGCAAAGTTTCTCTTTACAGAAATTACTGCACTTCACCTTTAAAATTTGGTAATAGTTTAAAAAGCTCCATTTTCTCACATATAATCTAAGAAACTAACAAAGCAACAAAGAATTCTTTCTCCAGGCCAAGTTCACTGGCTCATGCCTGTAATCCTAGCACTTCGGGAGGTCAAGGTGGTAGGATTACTTGAGGCCAGGAGTTCAAGACCAACCTAGGCAAATTTTGTAGAGACACCGTCTCTACAAAAAAATTTAAAAATTAGCTAGACATGGTGGTGCATGCCTATAGTCCTAGCTACCTGGAGGCTGAGGCAGGTCAATCACTTGAGCCTAGGAGTTCAAGATTACAGTGAGCTATGATTGCACCACTGCACTCTGGTTTGGGTGACAAGAGGAAGACACAGTCTCTAAAAAATATAAAAAAGAAGAAAAAGAAAAACAGAACTTTCTAGCATACTATTTCTCAAAAGTAGGATGGACTTAAAAGTTTTTTGGTAGGCTTAAAGGCTCCATCCAAAGCAGCATAATCTGTACTTCTCACCTCACTGCCTATTTAGTAATGACAAAATCTGTCCACTGAAAACCTTATTACCAGTTGTTTCCCTAAGGATTTTTGGCTAATTCAACTTTACCTTTTCTATGCCACAGAGCACAGCCAGTCCCTAAAGATGGCTTTAGAAGACAGTTTTTTCCTTATCATGCTGTTGTCTAACTAAAGCGGAGGATGCACCAGTCTATGTCTTCTAAAGACAAAATACAGTTTCAATGCTGCCTTTAAGGGTAGGCTCTTATTAAATGGTAGCATCATTATCTTCCCATAAAAGATGCATTTCTATGCTTTTTCAGAAGATAAAATAACCTTTCTCTTGTGAGAGGGTGCAGCTTTATGTACATGTACAATTCTCAGATTGCTTAAGATCTACCCTTTGCATTCTAATTTCTTATCTCAAAGAGATTTCTTTCTTTTCTACCCACCTTTTCACATACCACAAAGCAATCTCAGGAAAGGAGCACATGACTAACATTCTCACAGATGGTTCACCAGTGCAGGTACAACCTGTCCCTCTGCCAAATCTCTTTTACAGTCATCTATGCCTCTGCACTGAAACAATTTCTTAAACCATTACATACTTAAAAGAACCCCAACAACTAGTGCTCCGTCAACAGAAGCTAGAGATTTTTCAACTTGCACTGTAAGTTATAAGCATCTATTTGCCGGCATCCCTTAATATTCCTCCTTCTCTCACTTCATGAAAGACGGGGTATCCAAAGCTCTACATGTTTGCTAAGTTCTTTCTCTCAGTGCTGGATTAAGAATCTTAGAAATACCCAGAATTACTAAAAGGGTCCCTTGAAGTTTTAAAAATCTTAGGAATGACTAAGTAACCAAACCTGACCAAAATTGATCCTTTGATCATTTATTGCAACATGATTCTGCATGATGTTTTCTGATAAGTGCCCTGTAGTATATTATTAAAAAGCAAAGCTCTTGGAGTCACCAGCTATGGTTTGCTGATGGTTGGTTTATGAATTACTAGGTTTGCAGACCCGAGACATAGTTTTAAGTGAGGTCCTTCTATATGCCTGAAAATATAAACTATTACATATGTATAAGGAAATGAAATTGTGGTTGCAGTAAGAACCATAGTGTTGAATTTCTTCAACCACAATACTGCAGAAAAAACATGTTTAAAACTTCATATAAAAGTTATCAAATATGGAGACCTGTGGATTTAAAAATACAATCCAGGCTCATTTCACTGGAAAGTGACATTTTTGATTACAATATTGCTGAACGTGAAAATAGGAGCCAAAGAGACTAGATGAAACTTTGGTAGTCAGCCTAACACATTAATTCACCTGAACTAGAGCCATTACCCAAGGATGTGTAGCACTATGGTTTACAAATACCAGTCAGGAAGTTGCAGAACGGCTCTGTGCTGTTTGATATTTGCAAAACATAAAAACACTTCCCTCCCTGCTCTCCTCTTCCTCAACACAACACTCAAGCCCCCCAAATGTAGCAGTACCTATTGCATACACTTTGCTGCTCATTTCACTCCCAGTTGCCAAGTGCTTCAGGTGATGTTGTCCACTAGAATACTGCTTCAAGATGGCTGATTATATGAAATAACCAGGCAAAGTATTAGATGCCTAGTCAGGGGAAAGATAAAGCCTAACCTTTCAAAATAAGAACCACCAGTATTCATTTTTTTCTTGAAACACAAAAATGCATGTTATGCCAGGGAAGGAAGAGGAGAAATTTCTCCTCCTCATCACCATCATGACTACCTCCTCTCTTGCGGTTGGCTGCTTCGGATGGTTGAGGCTCCTGCTGCATTTTTTAGATCCGGGCAATTATAGCCACCAAGATGATATGGACCAAAGTACAGTGTTCAAACATGACTGATAGATAAATGACCATTTATCATCATCGTTTTGTTAAAAAACCTTTTTTCTTATAAAGTTAACAAACCAAGGCTGTTGATCCCTGAATTAGAAAGTTGATTTGCTTGATTATTTTCCAAAGTGTGAGGCGGGCAATAAGAAGGGAGGAGCCTTTAGTGCTTTTGTGTAAGTTGCTGATCCTCCAGTTTGGCAACATCTTGGGAGCATCTTCTGGCCTAGTGATGTGGCATTTTGTGAATCTAAGTATCAGCCCATGGCTCTGATGCTGGCTGCTTATGGCTCATAGGGGAAGAGGGTCAGCCCCCTCCCCCTGGATGTTTCAGTCTGGCCCAGTGGTGGACACAGAGCCCTGGACAGCTTCCCCAGGAGCAACTGTCTCTTCCTGTGAAGGTGACTCTTCCTCAGCTTGTCCTCGAGATGTGACAGTTGTTTCAGGGGAGATGCTGTGAGGCCCCTCCAGGGGTATACAGCCAGGGTGGTTTTTGCGAAAGTGCTGATTCAAGATGGCCTGGAAGGGGAAACTTTTGCCACAGACATGACAGTGAAAGGGCTTGTTGCCTGTGTGCTTGCGGATATGATACTCCAGCTGATCTTTCCGGGTATACTTCTTGCCACACATGCGGCAGACGAATGGTGTGATCCCCATGTGTAGGCGCATGTGGCGGTCCAGGCTTCCCTTCTGGTTGAAAGATTTGGCGCAATAGATGCAGGTGAGACGAGGGTTGTACCGGAACCACCGCTCAGATACTTCCTGCTCTCGGAGATACTCCACATAGCCACTTACTCCCATCATTGCTGACTCTTCTACCTGTACCAGGTAAGGAAAATAACCAAGAAAGAACAAATATTATTAAGCATACATATTAAAAGCAATCAAATCTATTTTTACTTGTTACTAAGATATATGTACCTTTTTAGTGGCGGATCAAACAGAAAATTATTACCAAAAAGTAAAGATATTACCATAATAATTTTTAAAAAATTGAGACTACTCTATTCCATTACTATAAAAGAACAACACAGTAAAGTTACTTTCTGGCTGACAAACTGGATGCTTATTAAACCCCTGCTGAATGTACTATTTTACAGTAATGTGAGGAGAAACTGAGCCCACTTATACTATACCCTGGATCCTAATCTTACAATTATATTCTAGACAATCAAATACTTAGGCAGTGCTGGTCTAACAGAACTATCTGTTTTTGTTTTTGTTTTGAGACAGGGTCTCTCACTCAGGCTGGAGTGCAGTGGTGTGATCACGGCTCACTACAGCCTAGACCTCCTCAGGATCAGATGATCCTCCCACCTCAGCCTCCTGAGTAGCTGGGACCACCAGCACGCACCACCACTCCCAGATAATTTTTGTACTTTTTGCAGAGACGAGGCTTTGCCATGTTGCCCAGGCTGGTTCTGAATTCCTGGACTTTGGCAATCTACCCACCTCGATCTCCCAAAGTGCCAGGATTACACGTGTAAGCCACGACGCCCAGCCAGAACTATCAATGATGATGAAAATGCTCTACCCCATTCATTACAGTAGCCACTAGCCACCTGTTGCTATTGAGTATTTGTAATATGGCTAATACAACTGAGTAATTTTTACAATTTTAAGTGCTTTCAGTTAATTACAATTTAAATTTAAATAGCCACATGTGACAAGTGGCTAATGGCTACCATTTACTATATCAGATAGTATAGAATATATAATGGCAACATATTATAAATTGTGACATTATCATTAATACCACATTTTAATCTAGCAGTAGCTAGCTTTATAAAAATGTATACAATTTGTAGGTGACAATATTCCTTTTTATGTAAAATATTTCAGTATCATATGAACATATTATTTTCACTCTAAAGACTACTAAAGTTTAACTGACTTCAGAGTAAATTGTCTGAGGGCATGGGTTTCTTTTATCCGAAAACTGGGAGGCAGTATGAACATATTCCTTTCAATAAATTACTTAAAAATCTTGGATTTAAGGCCAGATGTGGTGGCTTATGCCTATAATCCCAGCACTTTGGGAGGCTGAGGTGGGAGAATAACTTGAGCCTAGGAGTTTGAGACCAGCCTGGGCAATATAGCAAGACCCCACCTGTACAAAAAATAACAATAAAAAATTAGCTGGGTGTGGAGGTGCGCACATGTAGTCCCAGCTCCTTGGGAAGGCTGAGGTGTGAGGATCATTTGAGCCTGGGAAGCCAAGGCTGCAATAAGCTGTCATCAGGCCACTGCACTCCAGGCTGGGTGACAAAGCAAGACCCCACCTCAAAAAAAAAAAAAAAATCTTTGGATTTAGAAATGCTTTTTGTTCAAAATTCTGTATTAAAAAAATCAATCAGAAATTATTTTTTTAACCTGAGTTAATAATGACTGACTTCTGAAGTCATTATATTAGAGGAATAAAAACCTTTTTAAATATGTAGGAGGGAATTATATGTTTAACAAAGAATAAAGTACCAATGCAAAGAGAAGAAAATGTCAAAGTTGACTCTGGAGTAACTGGAGCAAGATTCATCTAGTTAGCAATTAATATTGTGCCGGTACTTTTTCCCCTAAGATAGACACTATAGAAGATCTTGTGCCCTTTTAATTTCTAAAAATGTGTTTTGTCCCTTCCTATGCTGATGGTGCTATTCAGCCTTTCCAATAGAGGCAGTTCTCAACAGGTTTGGGAAGCAGTATGTAAAGTCAAGGGTTGAATACTAAGACTGAGGTTTTAAGATTATTTTATTTGTTTCATATTAATATTTCTTTCTGCTTCATTTCCCTGGATAAAAAAAACTGAGTTCACATAAAGAATGAGGAATCATCCCACTAAAGGTCTTGGGTGACCAGGGACAAAACAGAATAACTTCTCTAAGGCTGTCTTCTCATCCATAAGGTACAAAGGTTATCACATGATTTGCCAGCTTTAGAGGATTCTCACGAGAATTGAACATGATAACAGTACACTTTTCTTTTTTTTGAGACGGAGTTTCGCTCTTTTTGCCCAGGCTGGAGTGCAATCTCGGCTCATCACAACCTCCGCCTCCCGGGTTCAAGCAATTCTCCTGCCTCAGCCTCCTGAGTAGCCGGAATTACAGAACGCACCACCATGCCTGGCTAATTTTTTGTATTTTCAGTAGAGATGGCGTTTCTCTGTGTTGGTCAGGCTGATCTCGAACTCCCGACCTCAGGTGATCTGCCCGCCTTGGCCTCCCAAAGTGCTGGGATTACAGGCTTGAGCCACCAGGCCCAGCCAACAGTACTCTTTTTTCTAAATACAATGGTAACTTTTAGGACCTTCAATGGTCCCAAAATATTATGCGATGAATGCATAATATTACATAGCAATTAAAGATGCTGGAACCTGTGTTCAAATCTGAGTTCTATTTATTGTGTGACTTGGAGCAGGTTAGTTAACACTTCTATTCCTCAGTTTCCTCACCTGTAAAGTGAATATAGTAATAGCATTTGCCTCACTAGTTGCTTTGAGCATTGAATGAGTTAATACACTAAAGTACTGAATAAATGTTAGCTATTATTAAACATTACAAATTCATATTATTTATAATCTTGAGGGTAACAATACCCTAAGAAATCTCCCTAACTCTGAAAGGATTTCCTATTTAATAAATGGTGCTGGGAAAACTGGCTAGCCTTATGTAGAAAGCTGAAACTGGATCCCTTCCTTACACCTTATACAAAAATTAATTCAAGATGGATTAAAGACTTAAATGTTAGACCTAAAACCATAAAAACCCTAGAAGAAAACCTAGGCAATACCATTCAGGGCATGGGCATGGGCAAGGACATCATGACTAAAACACCAAAAGCAATGGCAACAAAAGCCAAAATAGACAAACGGGATCTAATTAAACTAAAGAGCTTCTGCACAGCAAAAGAAACTACCATCAGGGCTGGGCACAGTGGCTCATGCCTGTAATCCTAGCACTTTGGGAGGCCGAGGTGGGCGAATCATGAGGTCAGCAGATCGAGACCATCCTGGCTAATATGGTGAAACCCTGTCTCTACTAAAAATACAAAAATTAGCTGGGCGTGGTGGCGGGTGCCTGTAGTCCCAGCTACTCGGGAGGCTGAGGCAAGAGAATGGCGTGAACCTGGGAGGCAGAGCTTGCAGTGAGCAGAGATTGCGCCACTGCACTCCAGCCTGGACGACAGAGCCAGACTCTGTCTCAAAAAAAAAAAAAAAAAAAAAAGAAACTACCATCAGAGTGAATAGGCAACCTATAGAATGGGAGAAAATTTTTACAATCTACCCATCCGACAAAGGGCTAATATCCAGAATTTACAAAGAACTTAAACAAATTTACAAGAAAAAATCAAACAACCCCAGCAAAAAGTGGGCAAAGGATATGAATAGATACTTCTCTTTTTTTTTTTGAGACAGAGTCTTCCTCTGTCACCCAGGCTGGAGTGCGGTGGTGTGATGTCAGCTCACTGCAAGCTCTGCCTCCCGGGTTCACGCCATTCTCCTGCCTTAGCCTCCTGAGTAGCTGGGACTACAGGCGCTTGCCACCACACCCGGCTAATATTTTGTGTTTTTAGTAGAGACAGGGTTTCACCGTGTTAGCCAGGATGGTCTTGATCTCCTGACCTTGTGATCCGCCCGCCTCGGCCTCCCAAAGTGCTGGGATTGCAGGTGTGAGCCACCACGCCCGGCCGAACAGACACTTCTCAAAAGAAGACATTTATGAAGCCAACAGACACATGAAAAAATGCTCACCATCACTGGCCATCAGAGAAATGCAAATCAAAACCACAATGAGATACCATCTCACACCAGTTAGAATGGCGATCATTGAAAAGTCAGGAAACAACAGGTGCTGGAGAGGATGTGGAGAAATAGGAACACTTTTGCACTGTTGGTGGGACTGTAAACTAGTTCAACCATTGTGGAAGACAGTGTGGCAATTCCTCAAGGATCCAGAACTAGAAATACCATTTGACTCAGCAATCCCATTACTGGGTATATACCCAAAGGATTATAAATCATGCTGCTATAAAGACACATGCACACGTTATGTTTATTGCGACACTGTTCACAATAGCAAAGACTTGGAACCAATCCAAATGTCCACAATGATAGACTGGATTAAGAAAATGTGGCACATATACACCATGGAATACTATGCAGCCATAAAAAAGGATGAGTTCATGTCCTTTGTAGGGACATGGATGAAGGTGGAAACCATCATTCTGAGCAAACTATCACAAGGACGGAAAACCAAACACCTCATGTTCTCACTCATAGGTGGGAATTGAACAATGAGAACACTTGGACACAGGGTGGGGAACATCACACACTGGGGCCTGTCGTGGGGTGGGAGGAGGGGGGAGGGATAGCATTAGGAGATATACCTAATGTAAATGACAAGTTAACGGGTGCAGCACACCAACATGGCACATGTATACATATGTAACAAACCTGCACGTTGTGCACATGTACCCTAGAACTTAAAGCATAATTAAAAAAAAAAAAGAGAAAAAAAGAAATCTCCCCAACTCTAAGGAAGGTAATATCATACCAGTATTATCCACATGCAGAAAGTAAATGCATTTTAGTAATCAGTGATAAACTGTGAGCACAAACATCACACATTATGATCAGTCTCATCCAAAAAATTACTGCAGTGAAGTTGCAATAGAAGAACAAACACCACAAAATGCAGATTGGGTCCTTGTCAATGGCAGCAATATACTTTTTGTAGTTTTATTGTTTTAAACTTAAAAAGAAGCAAAGGCAAAAACGGCTAGCCTCATGGTTCTCTCTGTTGTCAAGAGGTGGATTATTTCATTCCTCTCACTTGACAATTACCTATTAGACTGTAAACTCTGTTGTAAGCACAGGGACATTCTGCACTGCCAAATATCTAGGAATTTGATCAGTGCTTGGTTCAATAGCTATTTCTTAATGAATTACTCCATATAATTTATATGAAAACTCCATATAAATGAAAGGTTTCCATATTTTCTAAAACAAACATCAGTCTAGATTCTTGACATGGACTTCAAAGCCTTCTACCATTCTAATTTTCAGTTACTAACCGCAGACCCAAAGTTAACTGAAGGGCCTTAAAAAGTCATCTGGTTTGGTGTATTAATGTTTTTGAAAGATCTCCAAAATTAAGGATTTTACAAGTAACTAAATAACTCCCTATTTAGTAGGTGCCTATTTATTGGGCAACTACTAAGTAAACTTAGTTACTTAGAATTACTTAGAGATAAAACAACAACTATTAATCAGGCACTAAGAAGATAATGTCAGAGATACAAAGAAGATAAGAAAACGTGGTCTCTCAAATGCAATAAAATGCACTTGGGTAGTGTGTGCCTGATCCTGTGTTCCTGTTTCCCCTAAATGCTTTCCCCCACACCCCATTAGTTATTGTATTTGTCTGGGCTTTGTAGGACTTCAGAGTTGGTGATTGCTAGGTGGCCTAGTTTGTGTAAATATAATGTGCTGGTCTTTCTCCATGTTCTTTTTTGAGACAGTCTCGCTTTGTCGCCCAGGCTGGAGTGCAGTAGCATCATCTCGGCTCACTGCAACCTCTGCCTCCCAGGTTCAAGTGATTCTCCTGTTGCAGCCTCCCGAGTAGCTGAGATTACAGGTGCCCACCACCATGCCTGGCTAATGTTTTATATTTAGTAGAGATGGGGTTTCACCATGTTGGCCAGGCTGGTCTTGAACTCATGACCTCAGGTGATCCACATACCTGGGCCTCCCAAAGTGCTGGGATTACAAGTGTGAGCCACCTCGCCCAGCCGATAGTTGCAAACTACTTCTCCGTGTTCTTTTGGGGTTTACAAACTTCTTTTTGTATTGAGAGAAAAATAGCCAAAACATCTTTGACAGAAGGTTCTGTACCTGGCAAAAAATCTGAAACATTAGACTGCGGAGCCCTCTTCTTAAAAGTGGGGATCTTGAACCATCCTTTCTTTAGTTTTCTCCTTTCCCTATTACCTATTGGGCCAGATCTTCTGTCCTAAAAATTTGTCTCCTACCCTTCTCCCTCTTTTCCATCGACCCCCAAAAGAAAACCTACACACCCACGCATATACATATTTAATTTTTAGGGCAACTACACAACTCTGAAATGATTGATGCAAAAATCCTGAAGAAGCTAGGAAACCCCCATCCCTTGTTTCCAATCTCCTGAGTCAAGACCATTTTTCTTGATGTGATTCATGCTAAACCCTTAAGACACTGCTGGATTCTGGATGGATTAAACCTACCTCATCTTTAATCCTAAAGTAGAGAGAAGCAACTGGGGGCTTTCCATGTAGAAAGTGGGGTCAGGAAGCCAAGAAAGAGAATAAATGCTGATTTTTTTTTTTTTTTTTTGAGATGGAGTTTTGCTCTTGTTCCCCGGGCTGGAGGGCAATGGCATGGTCTCGGCTCACTGCAACCTCCACCTCCCGGGTTCAAACGATTCTCCTGTCTCAGCCTCCCAAGTATCTGGGATTACAGGCACCCGCCACCATGCCTGGCTAATGTTTTTGTATTTTTATTAGAGAAGGGGTTTCACCATGTTAGCCAGGCTTGTCTTGAACCTCACTCCTGATGTCAAGTGATCCGCCCATCTCAGCCTCCCAAAGTGCTGGGATTATAGGCATGAGCCACTGCGCCCAGCCTAAATGTTGAATTTATATCCAAGTCACTCAAGAACTTTTATACAGGTGTAAGAAATTTATGTCAAAGTAGCCACAAGATTGCTTAACAGGAGATGAACAAATGTAACTTAATGTTTACCACTAGAAGCTAAAGCTTTATGTGAAATCTTGAATTTATGAGGTGGAAGGGAGGGTAGGAAAGTCTGTACCTATCTGTTCTTTTCCTGGTCTCTTCCCCTTATTCCTGAACTGCAGGAGACAGAGCCTCTTTGGGCATTGGTGACCCCATCACTGGGGTGTGTTTATTTGATGGTTGATTGTGCTGTACTGGGTACTTCCTTGCCCATTTTCTAATCATTCTGTAACATAGGCTGACTCTTTCCCCTTCCTTCCCTTCTCCTTTCCCTGGGAAAATAGAATGCATAAACAAAGACTTATTGGTACTAAAACTGTCAAAAGACAAAAACAAAAAGAGGAAAGAAAATGTGGTCTCTGCTCTCAAGGAGATTTCAGTTTAACAGGAGACACAAAACTAATGCAAATAAAAAAGGAACAACATATATTGAGTCTAGAGAATTAGGAAAAATTGTATTGTACCATGCTATAATAGTAGCCTAAAAAGGAAAAATCAAAGAGGACTGGAGCAGTTAGGACAGATAAAACTAGGAGCTGGACCTTGGCTGAACCCAGACACCTGAAAAGAAATGAGGCATTCAGACTTTAGATGCAGAAAGAGAAATAGTTTAATGTGGTTCTGACACAGGGAGAGTCTATCTGTTTGAGACAGTGAATGCTGATGAGTGGTGGGAAAAGTTGGGTTAAAAAGACTGTAAATCACTTGAAAAATTAGGCCAAGTATATTAACCTTCATGTCATAGAAAAAGCTACAGAATGTTTTCAAGTAAAAGAGTAACTTTATTAGTGTGTTCCAGTTTAATCACCCCCATAATCAGGAAGTTCTTCAAATCTATCAATATTCATTCTTACTGTAAGTCCTTGCCCTGTTTTAGTTCTCTGTAGTAGAGGAAAAAAACTGGTGAGTAGACTTACCATATTAAACTTTCATATCCATTAAGGCATATATATTACCCTATCCTTGAGGCTGTATGTGGTGGCTCACATCTGTAGTCTCACCCCTTGGGAGACCAAGGTGGGAGGACTGCACCTTGGTCTTCCAAGTGATGGGATTACAGGCGTGAGCCACTACTGAGCTCAGGAATTCGAGATCAGCCTGGGCAACACAGTGAAACCCTGTGTCTACAAAAAACAAAAAAATTAACCGGGTGTGGTGGCACATGCCAGTGGTCCCAGCTACTCAGGAGCTGAGGTGAGGGGACTGCTTGAGCCAGGGAAGGCAAGGCTGCAGTGAGACATGATCATACCACTGCACTCTAGCCTGGACGACAAAGTGAGATCCTGTCTCGGAAAAAAAAAAAAAAAAAAAAAAAAGAAAGAAAATCTTGACAACACTTTCCTTAAGTGGACACTGATTTCATTATTCCATTGCCTTTTAAACAATCCTAGTCCCACAACACTATTACTCAAGTTTATACTGTAGAGTCTTACAGTTTTTTTGTGTGTATTTGTTAGTCTGTCTTATGCCCCCATTAAGTTGTAACGTCTGACTCATTACTGAATTTACAGTTATGTACCACATAACATTTTGGTCAGTGATGGACCACATATGTAACCGTGCTTCCATACGATTATAATACAATATTTTTACACTATCGTTTCTATGTTTAGATACACAAATATTTACTATATTCAGTAATTTATGTTTAGATACACAAATATTTACTTTGTAACTGCCTACAGTATTCAGTACAGTAACATGCTATACAGGTTTGCAGCCTAGGAGGAACGGGATATATCATATGAACTAGGTGTGCAGTAGGTTATACCATCTAAATTTGTGTAAATATACTCTATATTTGCACAATGACAAAATGGTCTAGCATTTCTCAGAATATACTGTCAATTAGTGACACACGCCTATATCTGCTCAACAGCCTCCTCTGCATTGCTATCATACCATATTTGAGAGATGAGGAGAAAAAGGGCCCTAATAATATGAGCCAAATTACCTTTCCTCCAAGCTCCTAATATTTTCTCTAACATCTTATCAAAACTAAAAAACACAGTTTGTAACAATGTCTTACGGCTATTACTATACCATGCACACAATAAATATTCAGTGGTTTAGGCTGGGTACGGTGGCTCATGTCTGTAATCCCAGCACTTCGGGAGGCTGAGGCGGTTGGATTACCTGAGGTCAGGAGTTTGAGACCAGCCTGACCAATATGGTGAAACCCTGTCTCTACTAAAAATACAAAAATTAGCTGGGCGTGGTAGCATGCACCTGTAGTCCCAGCTACTCGGGAAGCTGAGACAGGAGAATTGCTCGAACCAGAGAGGTGGAGGTTGCAGTGAGCCAAGGCTGCGCCACTGCACTCCAGCCTGGATGACAGAGCCAGACTCCATCTAAAAAAAAAAGTAATAATAATTCAGTGGTTTAGTTAAAAATTAGACAAGATACTATCAGTGTAATGCAGAGGCTAGAAACATGAGCTATGTAATCTTAATTCAACAGTGTTTACTTTTTAAAGGCAAAAATGTTCACAATTTATTGTCTTCTACTTGGTGAGTTCATGAGCTTTAAAAAAAATCATTCAATCAGACCTGTGAGAAAAAAAAAATGAGCAAACTCATACTAGTTGCTAAGGAGAGTTGCAAAGAAAATAGAAAAAAACCCATCATTCCTATCCTTTCTAGAATGTGTTAGTCTAACAAAATATTCAGGAAGAAAATAAATGACAAGATACAGTACATGAAATAGCAAACACACATAAAAATGTGTAAGCAGCTGGGCACAGTGGCTCACGCCTGTAATCCCAGCAAATTGGGAGGCTGAGGCAGGCAGATTGCTTGAGTCCAAGAGTTTGAGACCAGCCTGGGCAAACTGGTGCAACGCCATTTCCACTAAAAACACACAAAAAAATCAGCTGGGCATGGTAGTGCGCATCTGTGGTTCCAGCTACTCAGGAGGCTGAGGGGAGAGAATCACCTGAACCTAGGAGGTTGAGGCTAAAGTGAGTTGAGATCGCACCAGTGCAATGCAACCTGGTCAACCAGAGTGAGACCCTGTCTCAGAAAAAAAAAAGCATAAGCAATTTGTTTACAAATATATAATGCAGGCCGGGCGCGGTGGCTCACATCTGCAATCCCAGCACTTTCGGAGGCTGAGGTGGGTGGATCACCTGAGTTCAGGAGTTCAAGACCAGCCTGGCCCACATGGTGAAACCCTGCTATCTACTAAAAATACAAAAATTAGCTAGGTGTGCTGGCGGGCGCCTGTAATCCCAGCTACTCAGGAGGTTGAGGCAGGAGAACCGTTTGAACCCAGGAGGCAGAGATTGCAGCGAGCCGAGATCACACCACTGCACTCCAGCCTGGGTGACAGAGCAAGACTGCCTCAAAAAAAAAAAAAAATATATATATATATGCACACATATATATATAAATAAAATGCTACAAATTAGTAACTTCATAACTGTGTGTGTGTGTATACTACGCATAGTATATATAGTATATATAGTGTGTGCATACTATAGTATACATAGTGTGTGTATACTACATATAGTATATACAGTACACACGTGCACACACACACACACACACACACACACACACACACACACACACATAATAATCAGACTTTCGATTCCAGGTCCTAAATTACCTGCAAATTACCTGTATGTGGTTTTCTGGGATTATTTTTTATTACTATCAGGTCTACAGTGTGGTTATTATAATCAGGAAAGAGTTCCACAATCTTACTTTTTTATATTTCCCAAACTCTGCTGACATCGAAAGTGTATTTTCCTGCACGCCCACAAGCAAGAATTTTAAAAAAAAAGTAATCAAATACAGTATTTAACTTTGCATTTTTTACATAACAAGTCAGGCTGTCTACTAATAACAAAAGTTCTATTTCTTGCTTTGTCATCCTTATGCTATAAATTTGTATTTCTTGCTTTATTGCATTGACTAGGACTACAAATAAAAAGCTGGGTAGAAGTGGTGGTAGCAGACATTCTGTCTCATTCCCAATCACACGAAGGAAGCTTTCAATAATTTACTATTAAGATGTTTTCTGGGCTGGGTGCAGTGGCTGGGTGCAGTGGCTCACACCTGTAATCCCAGCATTTTGGGAGGCCGAGGCAGGCGGATCATGAGGTCAGGAGATCGAAACCACCCTGGCTAACACGGTGAAACCCCGTCTCTACTCAAAAATACAAATAATTAGCCGGGCGTGGTGGCAGGTGCCTGTAGTCCCAGCTACTTGGGAGGCTGAGGCAGGAGAATGGCGTGAACCCGGGAGGTGGAGCTTGCAGTGAGCCGAGATTGCACCACTGCACTCCATGCACTCCAGCCTGGGCGACAGGGTGAGACTCGAGACTCCGTCTCAAAAAAAAAAAAAAGATGTTTTCTATAGATTTTTTAGATAGATACTTTCAATCAGATTAAGAAAGTTCCCTTGTATTTCTTTTTTTTTTTTTTTTTTGAGACGGAGTTTCACTCTTGTGGCCCAGGCTGGAGTGCAATGGTGTGATCTCGGCTCACAGCAACCTCCGCCTCCCGGGTTCAAGCCATTGTCCTGCCTCAGCCTCTGGAGTAGTTGGGATCACGGGCACGTGCCACCATGCCTGGGTAATTTTGTATTTTTAGTAGAGACGGGTTTTCTCCATGTTGGTCAAGCTGGTCTCGAACTCCGGACCTCAGGTGATCCACCTGCCTCGGCCTCCCAAAGTGCTGGGATTACAGGCGCGAGCCACTGCGCCCGGCCAGTTCCCTTGTATTTCTAGTTTGCTAAGAGTTTTAGCCAATTGTTCTTTTCTGTATTTATCAAAATTGCCACATGTAATTTATCACTTTTTCCTTATTAATGAAACAGATTACAATGATTAATTTTAAAATGTTAAACCAGCTATCAGTGTTAATTTGTTAATGTTCTTTTCAAAATATTTGCATCTATGCTTGGTAGAAATACCAGTCTGCAATTTTCCTTTCTGGTGATGTCTCTGTATAATTTTAATATTAAACTTCTGCTACCCTCAGGGAAAAAAAATACAGTATTTCTTTAACAGGGCCATTGTTACCTCTCCTACATCTTTTCTTTTTCATTATTTTCTATTCATACACAGTAGCAATTCCTCCAACCACCAAAGCAGTTCTAAATCCACAACTCCATACCTGGGAGCTGGGTTGCTTAGGCTCATCCATTCTCCCAGGAGACTCACTTCTGGCTCTGTGTCTCTCTGTCAAGGGAACAACACTGCCGGAGGGGCTAAATCTGTTGGAAGAGGAACATAAAGGGGACTAATACAAAAGCAGCATCAAAGAACCTGAAAAATGGTGATGTCGCCCCTCTTTATTCTATGGCTGAGGAAGGGGGAACAAACCAAGCAACAAATAACTGAGGAATAGTTTTGTGGAGTTAATACATAATCTGATTTGAAATAATAGGTTAGCCCTAGTAAATTTAATAAACACAAAATGACATAACAGATAGAACATATGAGCTGGTGAAGCTAAAGCTAAATATAAGCTTTCTTCCTTATATAAATACTGGGAGACCATAAAAGAATAAATTAAAACGGGGCCTATAATTTTGTTTCTTCTACGTAATTACCAGGTTTTTGGCTGTTTCTTCCCCAAGGTCCCATAATAATCTGTATTTTAGACTATTGATATAGATCATGGAGATTAAAAAATCTTTGCATTGAAATTGATATTACTTTTTTTTTTTTTTTGAGACAGAGTCTTGCTCTGTTGCCCAGGCTGGAGTACAGTGGCGTGATCCCAGCTAACTGCAACCTCCACTTCCTGGGTTCAAGCGATTCTCCTGCCTCAGCTGGCCCAGTAGCTGAGACTACAGGTGCGTGCCACCACGCTCAGCTAATTTTTGTATTTTTAGTAGAGATGGGATTCACCATGTTGGCCAGGCTGGTCTCAAAGTCCTGGCCTCAAGTGATCCACCTGCCTCAGCCTCCCAAAGTGCTGGGATCACAGGTGTGAGCCACCACACCTGGCCCTGATATTACTTCTGATAGTTTTTTTTAAAATTTTATTTCCATAAGTTATCATGGAACAGGTGGTATCTGGTTACATAAGTAAGTTCTTTGGTGATTTGTGAGATTTTGGTGCACCCATCACCCGAGAACTTCTGATACAGTTCTAACATAGGAGGACAAGTTCTATGCTCAAGATTATTTTAATAAGGACACAGGAAGACAATACTCAAATCAAGATCACCTGAAGCCAGGCACAGTGGCAGGAGAAACGCCTGAACCCAAGAGGTAGAGGCTGCAGTGAGCCAAGATTGCACCACTGCACTCTAACCTGGGCAACAGAGTGAGACTTCATCTCAAAAATAAAATAAAATAAGGCCGGGCGCAGTGGCTCACACCTGTAATCCCAGCACTCTGGGAGGCTGAGGCAGGTGGGTCACGAGGTCAGGAGATCGAGACCATCCTGGCTAGCATGGTAAAACCCCATCTCTACTAAAAACACACACACAAAAATTAGCTGAGCATGGGGGCAGGGACCTGTAGTCCCAGCTACTCGGGAGGCTGAGGCAGAAGAATGGTGTGAACCTGGGAGGCAGAGCTTGCAGTGAGCCGAGATCGCACCACTGCACTCCAGCCTGGACGACACAGCGAGACTCCGTCTCAAATAAAATAAATAAAATAAAATAAAAAGACCACCTGAAGTGGATACAGTATACACTAACTGAATCTCTGTGATACATTTGTTTCTCAAGACCAAAGTAATAGTTTTTTAGTTTTCTTTGCTCATATAGTCAATTTAAATTTATTTTTAAGAGGGAAAAAGAACAAATATTACCAATCTAAATTAGTAATATTTCTTTCAATTGAGACTTTCTCTCAATTGACTGAAACCCATGGTATTTCCACCAAAAAGAAATGTCTAATAAATACAATGTATTAAAAGAGAAAAGTGAGGCATGGGGCATAGCAGCACTGGTGAAAAAAAGGGAGATTGTCAGGCCTGTGGTAGCAGCAGTCATCCATGAAAGAAAACAGGGAAGATACCATCACGTGACAAGGGAAAAAAGAGATGAAAAATATCCATAACGCTTTTCTTCAGAATTACTATTTTACTAATTTGAAAAGAACAATTACTGCTGGTACCATACTTCCTCTAATTTGGTAGTTGGGGGCAAAGAAAAGCAAGCAGTGCTACAAAGGAAAGTGAGACTCCTGGAGGCCACCTACCTGTGTGATAACACACCAAGGAAGGGCAATGCTGCTAGGTTCCCAGCTGATGATCGGCTCCCTGCCTCGAATCCCGAGGAAGCCCTGGCAATTACTGATCCTATCCTAGTGTGGCTGCAGATGCTATTCTGATTCACGGAAGTGTCTAACTTTACCACAGTTCTCACAACATTGTGAATACTTCAGGAATGGAGCTTCCTGGTTTAAAAAAATAAGAATGCAAGTCTTTTGGCACACCTCCAGTTTCCCCATCATCAACTTATTTTGACCAAGAAAATCAGGTAAGGAAAATGCTCTCTGTACTACAGAGGACACTTTAGTGATGTCTACACAATAGCCATTACATGGGAAAACCAAACCAAACCAAACCTACCTGTCAACTTCACTGCTTGTTGGCCGAGCCACCTTGGCTCCTGAAGACCCTAAAGTATAATTTTCCTGTCCTACAGAACCATGGCCTGTGGTATCAATCACCATGGCTGTTACTTCCTCTGCACTACTCCCATCTTCTCCAGAAGGCTGATTCTCAGGCCCAAGCCACTCCTCCAGATTTTCAGTTTTGATGTGTACTGCTCCAAGAACTCTAACTTCATCATCACTCCGACCCCCACGGTCCGCCACTCCTGTCTCCACATACCACTGTCCTGCTCGGTTGATCCGAAGAATGGGCTCCCGGCTCTCTACATCAGAACTTGGTTCAATGATCTGAGGGCTGGTGGACTCCTCAGGAGGACTTAGCTCTCTGATATCCAGCACAGCACTAACCTGACCTCGCCGGTTTCCCTTTGGGGTATTATGTCGTGGGCTAAGGGAGCGGTTGAGATTTGGTGTAACCCTGTGAGACTCTGGAGGTCTCTCTTGATGCTTTGTCCTTGTTTGACTTAATTCTGCTTCAACCTCAGCCACATTAATTTTGAAATGAATGCCCTCCAGGATCTGTGTACATTTGTCTATAATATGCTGCATTTGCAGAAAACTGGCAGCTGTTAGGTAGCTGATGATATCTGCCAGTTGCAGGCATATCCGCCCTGTGTAACAGAAAGAAAGGAGCTGTTCAAAAACAGTAGGGTTCTTGATGACTGAAATGGAGACTGTACTCATCTCATTCAAGGACATGTGATCCCGGAAATAGGGGGAGCTGGCAGCCAGCACCACTTTGTGAGCCCGAAAAGCTTGTCCTTGCACATTGACCACAATATCACAGAGACGGCCCTGCATGCGCAACTGGTTTAGATGGCTCAGGACAGAGTTGCTGAAGTCAGGAATCTCCAATTGTATGTTCCCACCTTTCTCCATGGTCGTGCCTGAGGGTGCATTCAACCCTGCTGAAAAAAGAAACCATATTCTCATTAATAATTATAATTTTACTTCCCGGATGGTTTCCATTTCAAAAGTATTTAAACATAGTTATCTGGTAAAGTTTCAAAATCTCCAGATAAAAGAAATACCTTCCTTATATTTAGATGTGGAAACAGAATCACCAACAGGTTTTTCAGTTTAAGTTTCACAGGAGGACATAGTTAAAACTAAAAAGTGATCTTTAGACTCCTAAAAATTCATGTTATGACCATGCTTTCCTTACTAATAAGTTATATAACATCAAAACAGAAGTTCAACAGAAGGTAGGGGGAAGGACTTTTAAGTGTTAACTATAAGGTACTTGCAGACTGAATATAACATCTCATAACTTTACAACTTTTCTCTGGAGGAGGAAAGCTTTCTGAATAAATGCAATTCTACATAGCTTGATATCCCTCTTCTTAGTATTTTACTACCTGCTGCAAGAATTATGTTTATTATTTTATAAAAGGACTAATATCCCACATGAATGTAGGCTAATATTTCTAAGCTTAAGAATCAGAGCCCCCCCCACAAAAAGACTTTGGTTATAGGGCTGTGAAGCAAACTCTAGGAAAAATCCCACAGCTGTGCCAGGATTCAACCAAGATGCAGAGAATGTGAAGTTCAGTTGTCAAAATTAGGAAAGCTGGGTAAATCTGCCAAATTCGAAGTTGGCAATTCCGAGGTGGTGATGAATACTTCCATCCTGAAACTTAGTTCTCCAGATCCGATGAAAAAATACAGCATTTACCAAGTATGCCAACATTTTTCCATTAAAATATTTTTAAAAAATGGCTGAAACACTAAACCTGAAGCTGTATACAAGATAGTTGAAAGTACAGTTTCAACTACTGAAAATAGTTTGTATAAATCCGAACAGGAAGACATTTACTTAAGCCCAATGTGCGTTCACTTATCTATATATTACATAGTTACACCACACCTGAAACTTCAGGAACTTACTCTGCCAAGCTCACAGTACTGCCCCGCATTAACAACACACTTATTAAATAGGGAAGTGTATACACTGTTTTCAACAATCAACTTTAGCCAATCTGACCTTTTTCCAAAGCGTTATTGTTTGTTTTGAAACTTTTAATCCAATAAGAGCCTCTGTCGATGCCATCATGAATTCAGATGTGTTTATTTTGGAGCCTACACCAGCGCCTTTTTTGTTTGCTCTTTCCGGCAATTCCCCAGTGAGGAAGCCCCTGGAGGAAAGTCTTTCGCTACCGTCGGCACTGGAGGGGTGAGAGCTGTAAAAGGGAGAATTGGGAACGGCATGGGGTTGGCCACTCCAGCACTTGAGCAGCTTTCTTCTGCGTTAGGAAGCCTGGGGAGAGGGGAACTGGCTAAAGGGCAAAATGTCACTGAGGAACTTCGGAGAAGATGGGGACAAGGCGTCGGGCGGGGGAGCCAGCGCTCAGGTGAGAACTAGGAAGGGGGCGGCGCCCAGGGACCGGCTCCAGGCGGCGGCGGGCGGGGAGCTGCCAGGAGGTGGGTGTGCGTATCTGGGTGTGTCCCGGCTGCGGTGGGGGAGGGGGCCGCCCTTCCCGGGGTCCTGAGGGAGGGGCCCCGCGAGGGGGCGGGTCCGGCAGATCAGCCCGGCCGGGGGCCAAGGGGGTGGAAGGTCGCCCGGTGCCTGGAGGCGGGGTGAAGGAAAGTAGCTGAGCGCCCCAGGAGCGCGCTGCGGCGGAGGGCGGGCGAGGTGACCCCGGTGCAGGGAAGTGGCACTGGGGTGTGGGGCCCGAGTCCAGTCAAGGAGCAGCACCTACCTCCGGGGGTGGAAATGGGCCGGAATGGGCCGGAACACCGTCCCGGAAGTGAAATCCCCCACCCCCTCCCACGGAGCGGGCGACGTGCCGGAAGGAAATCACTCAGCCTTACACCGCCCCCCCTTCCCCCATCCCCAGAGCTTTCCTTGCCTCGCGCCCCCTCCCCTCTCTGCTCTTCCTCCTCAGTCGGGAGGAGGGCGGGAGCACGGCATCACGTGGACGGTCATGTCTCTGCCCACAATGGCGAGGAAGGGCGGGGAAAAGGGGCGGACTTAAGGGGTGGGAAGAAGGTGATACTGGATGAGAGGAAGATTGAGGGAGGTTAGGGGGAGGAGCCGAAGCGGACGCTGCCGGGAGCGTGCGTCGTGACGTCATCAAAAGAACTCTTATATACAGGAGCCCAGGCACCATACTGTCTTTTCGAGGTAGGAGTCGACTCCTGTGAGGTATGTTTTATCTTTGCGAATGTTGCGGGTTTTGGGGCGCTCCAGCCTTTGTCTGCTAAGGTCACCCTGAATTGACTGGGACTTCTAAGCCAGTCGCGCGCCTTTGCAGGGCCTACAAGTTGAGGATGGTGGGGGATTGCACATATGGTGCATGCGTGACCTAAGCTGCGACTATGTTAGAGTAGAACTGCGGAGAAGCCTCGGCTCTCGTGCCCTGCCTCTGATGAAGCCTGTGTTGGTAGGGACATCTGAGAGTAATGATGAATGCCAACCGCTCTGATGGTGGCACATGCCGAGTCACCCGAGTAAGCTATTGTTAAGGGCCGTGACCCGAGCCTCCATCAGCCGTCCGCTCTCATGAAAGGCTGTCGGTGGTAGTCCACGTGCTTAAGTGCCTGCATTCCGCAGTGTCACCAATATTTCCATTAGTGTTTCTTTTTTCTTTTTTGAGACCGAGCCTCGTTCTGTCACCCAGGCTGGAATGCAGTGGCTCGACATCGGTTAATGGCAACCTCCGCGTCCCGAGTTAAGCAGTTCTGCCTCAGCCTCCCAAGTAACTGGGACTACAGGCGCGCGCCACCATGCTAGGCTTTTATATTTTTAGTAGAGACGGGGTTTCACCATGTTGGCGAGACTGGTCTTGAACTCCTGACCTCAGGTGATCCACCAGCCGTGGTCCCCCAACATACTGGGATTACAAGCCGTGAGCCACCGCGCCCGGCCGCCATCGGTGGTTCTTAACTGCGGGTGCAGTGCTTCTTTGTAACATTAAGTGTATCCTTTACCTGTCGCTAGATAATGAATGGTATGTTACCTGCATCATTGGTTTAAAAAGACGAACCGTTTTTTTAAAGAACACTCTTTAAAAAAAAGAACCGTGGAACAATGAATTAAAATCTGTACCTGATCTCTTTAGGTATGGTGCTGGGTGCAGATGCAGTGTGGCTCTGGATAGCACCTTATGGACAGGTAAGAATTGGGGAAAGTATGGTGGGAAGAATGAAATCTAAGAGGTGGTCTCAGCCTGTGATGCTTTAAGAGTAGTGGACAGAAGGGATTTCTGAAATTCTATTCTGAGGCTTTAATGTTAACAGCATTTATATTTAACGTGACTGCTGTGAGGTTCATTCTCACTGTTTTGCTTGCATCTTTTTGTTTTCTAGTTGTGTCCCCAAGGAAGGATGAGAATAGCTACTGAAGTAAGTTGAAAATTCCCTCTCAAAAAGGTTTAAAGCCATTGGATGTGCCACAATGATGACAGTTTATTTGCTACTCTTGAGTGCTAGAATGATGAGGATCTTAACCACCATTATCTTAACTGAGGCACCCAAAATGGTGAGTTGGGGAACATAGAGAGTACACCTAAGTTCACATGAAGTTGTTTCTTCCCAGGTCCTAAAGAGCAAGCCTAACTCAAGCCATTGGCACACAGGTGAGACACCTCTATTTTGTACTTCTCACTTTTAAGGGATTAGAAAATAGCCAAAGCAATGATGATTATCTATGTTAGTGCTTCTCTCCCCTCTTTTCAAATGAGAATTTTGCTCTCATATTGATACTAAGTTTAATACTGAAGAAAATGTGAAAACAGATACTATGATGGTTGCATAGTTCAGCAGATTTAATCATGAAGAGATGTACTATCTGTCTGATGTATCTGGGGTAGTTGTGGTTTGCTGTTAATGGTTAAGCAGTGTACCACCAATCTACCATTAAAATATTTTTTGCTGACAATTTTGTATTAAAATTACAGGCATTAGACAGAAAGCTGGAAGTTGAAATGGTAAGTGAAACTGTATCCAAGTAAGCAGGTAACTGGGCAAACTTCCTACGGCACAAATGGCTTTTTAGTTACCTCCTAGTGCTGAATGCATTAAATAAATGGCGGATTCTTGTCTTGTTATGATTAATAAGAAAGTTTGTAAATGCAGCCTGGATGATGATAAGCAAATGCTGACTGAACATGAAGGTCTTAATTAGCTCTAACTGACTAAAGGCATTTGTTAGTTTTGGCAGGGGGTGAACACTCATCTGTGGCTATTCTAAGACCACTCTTATTTCTTAGGTGGAGTCCAACTTGCCTGGACCAGCTTAATGGTTCTGGTAAGTATTAATGAAAACAGTAGATAGACTTAATGAAAATGCTGATGGTGATATGCTTACTGCTGAGCTAATGGCTTAAGGCTTGGCTGATGAATACTGACTGTATTTTCCTTGAGCATGTCTGGAACAGTGTTTATGTGTTTTCCTTGAGCATGTTTGGAACGGGGTTTGTGTAATGATGTTGATCAAATGTCTGACCTGAAATGAGCATGTAGACAAAGGTAACACTGAAGAACCCTGTGACAGACAACTTTGAAAAGAGTTTAATGATGTTTAGCATTTTAATGGAAGTCCTCATTTGTATTCCAGCTCCTGGTAACGTTTTTATCCATGGATGACTTGCTTGGGTAAGGACATGAAGACAGTTCCTGTCATACCTTTTAAAGGTACATGTTTTATTGATGTTAACGTTAATTGATTGAGCTACTGTTAGTGATGATTTTAAAATTAAAGCAGATGGGAATCTCTCTGAGAAAGAAAATGGAGATTAATCTTAAACTGAAACAGTAGTTGGGAAATCTTTTAGAAATCCACCTATTACTACCTATTGGTAAAGGAGATTAAATTTCTACAGGTATGGAGAGTCGGCTTGACTACACTGTGTGGAGCAAGTTTTAAAGAAGCAAAGGTATAGCAGTTCCAAGTATTTTTTTTTTTTTTTTAGACAAGAGTCTAGCTCTTGCCCAGAATGGAGTGCAGCGGCACTATCAGTTCACTGCAACCTCTGCCTCCCAGGTTCAAGGAATTCTCCTGCCTCAGCCTCTTGAGTAGCTGGGATTACAGGCATGTGACACCATGCCTGGCTAATTTTGTACAGCTATGTTGTCCAGGCTGGTCTCGAACTCTTGACCTCAAGTGATACTGCCCGCACTGACCTCCCAAAGTGCTGGGATTACAGGCGTGAGCCACCATGCCCCGCCTCAAGTCTGGTTTTTAAGTGTTGTAAAGCCGATACAATGATGATAACATAGTTCAGCAGACTAACGCTGATGAGCAATATTAAGTCTTTCGCTCCTATCTGATGTATCTGGCGGTAACATTCTAGTTTATGCCCCGAAAAGGGGAATATAGCCATTCTATAATGTTTGGAGATTTTGGATTACTCCTAATTGTATGCAAGTTGTCTTACTGTGTATTGTCCCTTAATTTCAGGACTCAGAATTCATGATTGAAGAAATGCAGGTTAGTTTAAACTTTGAAGGAAATTTTTAAGGTGGCAAAAGGTTTTGGTGGCATATACACCTTAATCTGTAGATGGGAGTGATTAGCTGTTTAAAAGTTAAAATGTGACTGAGAAGGAAATTGAGTAGGGCAAATTTTAAATGGGTATTATTTTTCATCTTCAAACAGGCAGACCTGTTATCCTAAACTAGGTGAGTCAGCTTTTGGTACATGTGATGATTTTCAGTGTAACCAATGATGTAATGATTCTGCCAAATGAAATATAATGATATCACTGTAAAACCGTTCCATTTTGATTCTGAGGTTACTCTACTAACAAGCATCACACATTTGTATTTTGCCCTGATTAATATGTTGGCTTCGCTTTCAGGGTTTTTAATGACCACAACAAGCAAGCATGCAGCTTACTGCTTGAAAGGTGAGGATTGGAAATGTTGGGACTATTATAATTGCAGAATACATGATGATCTCAATCCAACTTGAACTCTCTCACTGATTACTTGATGACAATAAAATATCTGATATTCTGCATTCCCATGTAGCATTTTAATTGAAGTCTGTAAATGTGGCTAAAAGTCTTGTCTTATTTTTTGAGACAGGGTCTTGCCTCACCCAAGCTAGAGTGCAGTGGCCTTTGAAGCTTACTACAGCCTCAAACTTCTGGGCTCAAGTGATCCTCAGCCTCCCAGTGGTCTTTGTAGACTGCCTGATGGAGTCTCATGGCACAAGAAGATTAAAACAGTGTCTCCAATTTTAATAAATTTTTGCAATCCATCTGGAGTGTGTAGTGTTTACTTAAAAAAGGACAGTGCTTTTCATCTGTTCATTAGCTGTAAGCATAAATCACATTCAAAAGCTATTATAACTCCATGGTATTTGCTTCATTAACACTGCAGCCAGTTAAAATTTTATGGGTATTTTACAAGGTGTCTTATGCATTAAAGTGCAATATTTCCTAATTCTCCATATGAGCAAATTGTCAGGTTTCATAGGCCCCTGTGCTAATTGGTTTTGAGCTTAAAGTATTGATGGAGCTACTTGGAGAAAGTCATGTTGAGTCTGAGGCTGGGAAAATAAGTTATAGAAAATACTATAGAAATGCCCAACTAGTGATAGGCATTAATGGAATTGGGAAAATCTACAATCCATAGCCATGGTGATAGGTTTTTGGCAAGCACTAAGTGTTTAGGGATGCCAAAAGTGGGTATAAAGGGCACAACTGGTTTAAGGCAATCTGTCCCAGGGAAACAGGACCAAGGGGCCAAAATTCCAAGATGGGTCAAATTTTAATTTCAGTGTCAGTACAGCTGTGCTTATAATGATGTCTTTGTTAGCAGTAATGGTTTTACAAATCTGTTTCTGGGCTAAAGCACTTTAGTCCCATTAATGATAAAACTTCAGTTACTCTCTGAATTTTCCTTTTTTTGAGACTGAATCCTGTTGCCCAGGCTGGAGTGCAATGGCATGATCTCAACCGCTGCTCACTGCAACCTCTACCTCCCGGGTTCAAGCGATTCTCTTCAGCCTCTTGTAGCTAGGACTATAGGCACCTACCATCACAACCAACTCATTTTGGTATTTTTAGTAGAGACGAAACCCCATCCTCCCAAAGTGCTGGGATTTCACAGGCCTGAGCCGCAGTGCCCGGCCTCCCAGGCCTTTTATGCTTGATGTTTTTTTCAGGGCCCTTCCCATTGTCATTTCACAATCTCATTGAAATGTCAGCTTATGCACTAAATGCGTGTAAGTTGGGAATGCCCAATTTTGTCTAAGAAAAAAGGCCTCCCCCTCCCCCAAATAAGCACATTCTTTCATTTCCTGGGGCTCACCCGAATGTCTCACACAGGCTGTAAAACAACTACCACCACCTGGCTGGGTGCTGAGGTGGGCAGATTACCTGAGGTCAGGATTTCAAGACCAACCTGGCCAATATGGTGAAACCCCATCTCTACTAAAAATACAAAAATCTAGCCGGGTGTAGTGGTGGGCTATTGTAGTCCCAGCTATTCGGGAGGCTGAGGCAGGGGAACTGAACCTGGGAGGCTGAGGTTGCAGTGACCCGTGATCCTGCCACTGCACTCCAGCCTGGGTGCCAGGGTGAGACTTTCTCAAAGGAAAAAAGAAGGCTGGGCGTGGTGGTTCATGCCTGTAATCCCACCACTTTGGGAGGCCGAGGCGGGTGGATCACACGGTCAGGAGTTTGAGACCAGCCTGACCAACATAGTGAAACCCCCATCTCTACTAAAAATACAAAAGTTAGCCAGGTGTGGCGTGCACCTGTAATCCCAGCTACTCAGGAGGCTGAGGCAGGAGAATTGCTTGAACCTAGGAAGTGGAGGTTGCAGTGAACTGAGATCATGCCACCGCACTCCAGCCTGGGCAACGGCGAGACTTGGTCTCAAAAAAAAACACACACACAAAACTACCACCACCTACCCCAATCGGTTACCCTTTACTTTTCATGTGACCACCATGACCTATTATGTGTTTTGTTCTTACTTCCCCCACAAGAATGTAAGCGCTTCAAGTTTATTCCTTAATGTTGGAAAAATGAATGAAACTGCAAATGTAGTAGATCAGTTTTTGGGGAGGTACCAAAGACAAGTTGGTAAAATACCTTGATTTTGAAGTGAAAAACGATGTTACATTTCAAAGTATCTTTTCGCCAGGTTATGGCTCAGGCTTCGAGACCAGCCTGGCCAACATGGCAAAACCCGGTCTCTACTGAAAAAAAGCGAAAATTAGCCGGGTGTGGTAGTGTGGGCCTGTAGTCCCAGCTACTCTGAACCCTGGAGGTGGAGGTTGCAGTGAACCAAGATCGTGCCACCTCACTCCAGCCTGGGCCTCCTAGGCTCAAGTGATTGTTGTGCCTCAACTACCTGAGTAGCTGGGATGACAGGTGTGTGCCACCACTCCCAGCTAATTTTTTTTTCTGTATTTTTAGTAGAGATGGAGTTTCACCATGTCAGCCAGGCTAGTCTTGAACTCCTGGCCTCAAGTGATCCAACTGCCCTGCCCTCCCAAAGTGCTGGGATTACAGGTGTGAGCCACTGCATCCAGCCAAGTTCTATTCTTTTTTTTTTTTTTTTTGAGACGGAGTTTCGCTCGTGTTGCCCAGGCTGGAATGTAGCGGCGCAATCTTGGCTCACTGCAACCTCCACCTCCCAGGTTCAAGCGATTCTCCTGCCTCAGCCTTCCAAGTAGCTGGGATTACAGGCGTGGGCCACCATGCCTGGCTATTTTTGTATTTTTAGTAGAGAGGGGGTTTCACCACGTTGGCCAGGCTGGTCTCGAACTCCTGACCTCGTGATCTGCCCACCTAGCCTCCCAAAGTGCTGGGATTACAGGCGTGAGCCACCGCATCCAGCTTCTTGTTCTCTCTTTTATATATAAGTGCCATTTGCTGAATCAGAAAACTTTTTGACAAGCATATTAAAAGATTTCAGTTGTATGTAGTAGCTCATGCCTGTAATCCCAACACTTTGGGAAACCAAGGTGGGGGGATTGCTTGAGTCCAGGAGTTCAAGACCGGCCTGGGCAACATAGTGAGACCCTGTGTCTACAATTAAAAAAAAAAAGAAAAAAAAAGTGAGCCGGGCATGATGGTGCATGCCTGTAGTCCCAACCACTCATGAGACTGAGGTGGGACGATCGCTTGAGCCCAGGAGGTTGAGGATGCAGTGAGCTGTGTCACACCACTGGATTCCAGCCTGGGTGACAGGGTGAGATGTTGTCTCAAATAAAATATTAAAAATTGGATCACCTTATTCAGCATTCTGTTGTTTAGCAGTTTTGGAATTTTAGTTGTTAGTAAATCTTGACCTTGAGTACACGTTATTTTGATATTCTGTGTGACAAAATGGGAAGTATGCATGAAGCACATCTGCCATAAAGTATGGATGTCTAGATTTTTTTTTCCCTAGAAAAAGTAGTTACAATTGTTTGAGATACAAGCTGAACTAGCTGCTTGTTTTCACAGAACATTTTTAGTTTGAAAAAACCTGACAAATTGATTATTCATATTTTAGGGGTAATTTTGGCAGAGATTTGCTCAAAAAAGAACAAGTCAGCTTGGAAAAAACTGATGGCATTTGTTGCCAATGATAAAACTCAAGCTTCCAAATGAAACCTAAAATTTTGGAAGGCTTGTATACACTTCTGTGCCCTTATAGCTTCCTCAGACTTAGACTTTTGTAATGGGATTGGTGGTAATATTAATTAATGGTATTTTGTTTTAGATATTGTATATCAAAATGTGTCAACATTTGGAAGATTTGCATAACTCAGTGAACCAATATTTTCCAAATGATCAATCACTGGACTGGTGTTACAAATATCACACATAGGTAAAAGTTCTATTTAAATACAAGGTACACCAATGGACTTTAGAAAAGCTCATCAATACGATTTCAGAATCCACATTGCAACTAGCCTTTAAGGAACTCTACTACTTGTCATATTTTGGTGTGGTATCAAAGAGAGTATCCATAATTATCAGACAAAGCTATTAAAATACTCCTCCCTTTTCCAACTTTATATATGAGTGGGGTCAGATTTTCTTCACAGACTTCAACCAAAACAGCATATAACAACAGATAGGATACAGAAGCAGATATCAGAATCTAGTGTCTTCTATTAAGCCAGAAATAAAAAATATTTGCAGAAATATAAAACAATGTTACTCTTCTATTTTTTTTTTGAAAATAATTATTTTTAAAATAAAAACATGGCTGAGTGTGGTGGCTCACGCCTTTGTAATCCCAGAACTTTGGGAGGCTGAGGCAGGCGGATCACCTGAGGCCAGGAGCTTGAGACCAGCCTGGTCAACATGGCAAAACCTCGTCTCTACTAAAAATACAAAAATTAACCAGGTGTGGTGGAGGGCACCTGTGGTCCCAACTACTCAGGAGGCTGAGGCAGGAAAACTGCCTGAACCCGGGAGGTGGAGGATGAAGTGAGCCAAGATCGCACCATTGCACTCCAGCCTGGGCAACAGAGTGAGACTCTGTCTCAAAATAAAATAAAATAAAAACATGCTATTTGTGTTAACATGTAATGGGTTATTTTAAAATGAATTTAACATTTTAAACTAAATCATTAAATCAATTATTAATTAATTAAATAGGAGGCTGAGGCAGGAGAATCACTTGAACCCAGGAGGTGGAGGTTGCAGTGAGCCAAGATGGTGCCACTGCACTCTAACCTGGGCAAAAGAGCGAGACTCTGTCTCAAAAAAAAAAAAGGTATAAATCAAAAGAATTTCAAGGCAGAAGTGAAGACTGAGTAGAAGAAAACAATTTCAAAATCACTGATCAAGACCTTGTTCTCATTTTGTCTTTTTTTGAAATGGAGTCTTGTTCTGTTGCCAGGCTGGAGTGCAGTGGTGTAACCTCGGCTCACTGCAATCTCCACCTCCTGGGTTCAAGTGATTCTCCTGCCTCAGCCTCCTGAGTAGCTGGGACTACAGGTATGTGCCACCACACCCAGCTAATTTTTGTATTTTTAGTAGAGATGGGGTTTCACCATGTTGGCCAGGATGGTCTCAGTCTCTTGACCTTGTGATCTGTCTGCCTCAGCCTCCCAAAGTGCTGGGATTATAGGCGTGAGCCACTGTACCCGGCCTCATTTTATAATTATTAGTTTATTAAAACTTTTATGTGTATGATTAGAACTTAAAATCACAATGAGTTTTGGTGTTCACTTTTTCGCACATTTGAGGTTAATCTAAGGTTGATTAGAATTTTCAATTACTTATAATTGAGAGAAAATAGTGTTCAGTGATTAATAATATCTTTGTTGTCTTTTTTTTTTTGAGATGGAGTCTTGCTCTGTCACCCAGGCTGGAGTGTAATGGCACCATCTTGGCTCACTGCAACCTCCATCTCCCAGGTTCAAGCAAACCTCATGCCTCAGCCTCCCGAGTGGCTGCGATTACAGGCATGCGCCACCATGCCTGGCTAATTTTTGTGTTTTTAGTAGAGACGGTTTCACTATGTTGGCCAGGCTGGTGTTGAACTCCTGACCTCAAGTGATCCACCCACCTCAATCTCCCAAAGTGCTGGGATTACAGGTGTGAGCCACCACTCCCGGCCAATAATATCTTTAAAACTAAAAAAAAAAACAGAAAATTGATAAGTAAAATGACTTTTACTATTGATATCAGTTTTGTTTAATCTGAAACTATAAAATAGAGATATATCTACCTATTTATGGATGGATAATACCATCATCTCATATTTGTGGAATGCTTTATAGTTTTTCAAAGTACTTTTATTCACTTTATCTTCCATATATGTTATCTCCTCTGATTCCAGCAATAACAGCCCGGTGAGGTAGCCAGGGCAAGTATGTATTTTACACATTAGCAGGAAGGGAGGCTAAGCGAGGTTTATGTAACTTACTCAGGCTGAAACACTGAAGAAAAATTTGTGACTCTCATTTCAGTGATGTTTTCTGCATTATTAAAAAATATTATGCTACTCCTCACTATATTATGTTGATGGTTGAAATGTCATTATAAAGCTTAATTTATATGATTCTCTTGATGAGGATGATGAAGCAAATGCTCCATCAACTCACTAGTTTACAGGGGCAAGCATTTTCCTACATTTCACACATAATTTGATTACCTCTGTCCTAAGTGAATAATCTACTATCTGGGTATGAGAAACATGATTTGAAAACACTAAACCACTATATTATTTCAACAAAGAACCATCTTTCACACCTAAGTAAAAAGGAACTTCAAAAAAAGTCCTAACCAAAAAAAATCCAAATGATGCATGAAATCAAGTCAAAATTGGGTATCTTTTATCTGTTTCTTCGTTGTGGTGAAGAATGTTGCCTGGATTCCTTCCATCTAAAGACTTGATTGTTAGACCTGTGGCAGAACTCTAGATCTGACTTTAGCCTTGGGGAAGCAAAGAGGACAAAACCTAAAAGCTCAACTTTCTGCATGGTATGCATGATTCAATGAGCTCTTTCTGCTTTGGAGTCTGTTGGCTTGGAGACTCGGATATGATAGGGCTTCAGTTCCTCAGGAGGGACAGAATCTGGGGTATTGCTCATGAGGTCATGTCCCCGGAAGGACTTTGGGAAGGCTATGACATCTCTGATGCTTGGAGATCCAGTGACAAGGCATATCAGTCTGTCTAACCCTGTGAGTAAAATACAAAGATAACAGATGAGAAATGTAATCTAATGTTGGAAATAACTTAGTTTTTCTATAAAAGTTGTAGAAAACTTTTAAATAAGAATCTTTAACAAACTGTAGCCAACCATCGTTCCCTACCTTTTTAGAGAACTTTTGTTTGTTTGAGAGGTTCTTTTCTATCTCATTCTGGAAAAGTATTCAGGACTAATGTTCACATGCTACTTGGATTGTCACAGCGATTAGTGTTCCTAGTAAAGGCTTACTAAAGGCCCTAAAACAGATTCAACAGTGTATTTGGTGCTTGGCAGGGAACTCCATAAACACAGAAGGAAGTCCCTGTTGTTGGGGCCTACAATCTAGGTGAGCTTCCTAGAATTTCTTACTCTTCCTTGCTTTGACAAAACAAGCAAAGTGAGTAACCATGGCAATCAGAAGGACACTGGCATCTTCCTGTTTTCATACAAGCTGAACATTATGGAGCAGTGCTTTCCAGACTCCAATGAGTGCGTATGTGAGGCCATGGGGATTTGAACAATATTGACTTAAGATCTGCAGTTTTAAGCTATTAATGATCTTTCAAATGCAAATTATCAGTTAAGTTATATCTTTATAACTGTTAAGATATATTTAAAAAATATATTACTGAAATTTCAACAGAAACTTACATTCTCATGGAACTCTTGGACTCATCCTTCCACCTCTACCAACACAAACTGAGAACCTGAATTTGAGACAGTGCAATGGAATTCAGTTTATCTTATAAAAGGAAAAGTTGTTTACCTAAGGCAATTCCTCCATGAGGGGGTGCCCCATAATCTAAAGCCTGGAGCAGATGGGAGAGCATTTTCACATCCTCCTGAAATTCAAAAGATAATTCAGTTTAAATATATTTTGAAGGTCCACTAAGTGCCACCATCTAGGCTTAGATGATAAAGGGGAAACAAAGTTGAGTTTTAAAACAGCTAAAACTGACTTAACCAATAATAAAAGTTTATTGGAAAAGTGTAAAGAAAAAATTACCTTAAGTGATTTGCAGGTTAGTAAGGGAAAAAGACAAGTCATAGATGATTATAACATGTACAAAAATGCCTGGTGTTCAGTAAATGCAGCTTTTACTGTATTCACAATGCAAACAGAGTGAGACCAAATGAGGAGGTGGGGATAAAAAGCAGGAAACTCTCCTGTCACAGAGACCAAGGGAAGAGAGCATTACTAAGTGGGCAACATTGTCAAATGCTGCCGGGAGGAAGGAGAACTTAAGGGCCAAGAACAGGCCACTGGATTTAGTGATCTTGTGAGTAACTTTTGTGGGGCAGTACATGTAGAAATGTTGAAAGTGTGTTTGGAAATGGTTCTCCAACCAGGCTACAAATCAGGATCAAGTGGGAAGCTTCAAACAAACAGAGGCCAAAGCCTTATGCTTAGAACTCTTTTATTCAGTTGGTCTGATGTGTAGCCAAGGCACCAGTGTTTTTTTTAATGCTTTCCAGGTGATTTGATTGTAAGGTGCAGCAGGGCTGAGAACCACTATTTAGGGAAGCAACAGAAGTAATGTATTCTAGGCCAGGTGTGGTGGCTCACACCTGTAATCCCAGCACTTTGGGAGGCCGATGCAGGCAGATCACCTGAGATTGGGGGTTCAAGACTAGCCTGGCCAACATGGCAAAATGCTGTATCTACTAAAAATACAAAAAAAAAAAAAAATGCTGGGCGTGATGGTGTGTGCCTGTGGTCCCAGCCACTCGGGAGGCTAAGGCAGGAGAATCACTTCAACCTGGGAGGCGGAGGTTGCAGTGAACCAAGATCACGCCACTGCACTCCAGTCTGGGTGACAAAGCGAGAAAAAGAAAAAAGTAATGTATTCTTAGTGACTCTTGAAAAGTTTGACAATGAGAGGAATGAAAAAGGCTGAAAACTGCTGACTGGAAGCTGGGCTGGGCAGGAGGATCGCTTGATCCCAGGAGTTTGAGGCTGCCCTAAGTTATGATCATGCCATTGCACTCTAGCCTGGGTGACAGAGTGAGACTCCATCTTTTTAAAATCAAACAAACAAACAAACACACAAAACCCAATGGGTGATTGGAGGCTTTGAATTGGCAGGAGAAAAGTTAACAGATTTCGGCTGGGTGCGGTGGCTCACGCCTGTAATCCCAGGACTTTGGGAGGCCAAGGCGGGTGGATCTCTTGAGGTCAGGAGTTCGAGACCAGCCCGGCCAACATGGTGAAACTCTGTCTCTACTAAAAATACAAAATAGCCGGGTGTGTTAGTGCGCACGTGTAATCCCAGCTACTCAGGAGGCTGAGGCAGAAGAATTGCTTGAACCCAGGCGGCGGAGGTTGCAGTGAGCCAAGATTGAGCCACTGCACTCCAGCCTGGGCGACAGAGCAAGACTCTGTCTCAAAAAAAAAAAAAAAAGTTAACAGATTTCACAATGCCCTTAAACTTTAAGGACTCTGAAGGCTTAAAGCTAAAGGAGTCATCTCATGGTCTGAGTTCTCCTTCCATCCTACCTCACACTTGTCAGTTAATCCCACAAAACGATCTTTTAGGACCAGACTCTCTCAGACCTTTTCCTTTCTGAAACCTACCCAAGCCTTCTACAGCATCACCAACAAACTTCAAATTCTTAGGTCTGCACCTGTACAGACTCTTCTTTTACTTTTAAAAAATCCTGATTACTCCACTATCACTAAAATATATCCCTGCCTTAAATATAGCTAAAGTAGTATCTAATAAGTGATATAAAATCTTTTCAAACTTCTCTCTCTTTCTCTAACATTATCAACATTTTTAGTCACTTCAGACTGCATGGTTTTCATTTGATTTGATTTTTATTTTTTCAAGCTGCATGGTTTTTTTAAGCAGGGTAGTGGTTAGGAGCATGGGCTTAAGAGCCACCTCACCTGGATTCAAATCCTGACTCTGCTTACTTTTGTACTGTCACTTTGGCAAGTTAAGTAAGTTGCCTCAGTAAATCTCATCTTTAGAGTGGGCAGAATAAGGATATTTATCTGCACTATTATAATAAGGGTATTTAATATGCACTATTAATTAGTATTTAAATAGTACTGTTTAATAGTGCTATGTGCCAGATACTATTTAAGCATTTAATATTATTATTTACTTTTAATATTATTATTTACTTTTCCAAGTCCTACATTAAAGGTAGAGAGATAGCTGATGCTATTTTGTATCTTGTGAATCCTCCAATCATAACAAATGTTTAATAAAATAGGCTGATTTAAGTCAGATGCAGTGGTTCATGCCTATAATCCCAGCACTTTGGGAGGCCGAGGCAGGAGGAGTGCTTGAGGGCAGGAGTTTGAGAGCAGTGTGAGCAACATAGGGAAATCTTATCTCTTCAAAAAAATAAAAAAATTTGCCGGGCATGGTGGCATGTGCCTGTAGTCACAGCTACTTGGGAGGCTGAGGTGGGAGGATGGCTTAAGCACAGGAGACTGAGATTGCAGTGAGCTATGAATGCACCAGTAGACACCTGCCTGGGTGACAGAATGTCTCAAAAACAAAACAAACAAGCAAACAACAACAACAACACAAAACTGAAAAATATTCTGGTAAAAAAATAAGCCCAGGATAGCAGATGATGTTTGTTACCTTTAGTAAGGTTGCCAGGATATAACGCTGCAGCTCTGCATTGTGAATTCGAATTGAACCACCTCCTATTTCATTGCCATTTAAAACCAAGTCATAGTGTTGGCTACGGGCCTAGAAGATTCACAGATACTTTATGTTAGAGAAAATGTCTGGTTTTCTGTTCTACGGGTTGAAGACCCTGTAGATTTTTAAAGACAATGTATTACTACTAACTCAAACTCCACAATTTCTTCTGGGGCTTCCAGAACTGGGTCCTATCTTTCATCAGACCTTGAAGTCTGAAGTTCTTTGCCTTTATATACACATTTCCTTTTGATTTGGAAGTATAGATACGGTACCTTTTTGGGCTCAGTGTACAGGAGATGTATGTCACTGGGGTGGGGAGCAGTAAATGGGTGGTGGGCCGATTCCAGCTCTCTGGGATTTTCCTCCTTGGGCAGGAAGAGTGGGAAATCTACCACCCAAAGGAAAGAGAACAGAGTGGGGTCACGGAGCACCACTCCTCTTGTTTCTAGAAGGTCAGCACATTCCAGTCGTAATTTTCCTAACAAAGAGCACTGCAAACAGAAGACGTAAACATTGAGTTAACTTCTTGACAGAGCAGGCAGGAAATGACACAGCCTGGATTCCGAAGCCAGGCCATTCTCTAGGAAAGGATTAGCCAATTAACAGATAGGATGCCCTTTGCTTCTCAGGACACAAAGATCTGAGGATAAGTCTAATTGCAACAAGGTTGAGAACAATCATCACACTCAACCAACTGGGTGAGTACTGATAACTCGGTGATTAAGAACACAGGGATCAGCACTTCATAGACCTGGGTCTGAATCTCAGTGTGGCTAATTACGAACTTCTCTGTACCCTTTTTCATTGTAAAATTGGGATAAAAATATCAACTCCAAAAGACTGCTGTGAAGCTTAAGATAATATACATAAGGTGCAGGACCTGACAAAGTATGTGAGTGGTAGTCGTTCTGATTATTTCCTCACTTCTCTTGAAGGGTTGTGGTGAGGATTTGGTAAGTGCCTGGCACACTGTTAATGTTCAGTGAAGGCTGGCTATCACTATAGGTAATGCAGATTAGAGGTCCATTTAAGAGTGCGGAGGGGTGCAGTGGCTCACACCTGTAATCCCAGCACTTTGGGAGGCCGAGGCGGGCGGATCACAAGGTCAGGGGTTCTAGATCAGCCTGACCAACATGGTGAAACCCCGTCACTACTAAAAATACAAAAATTAGCCGGGCGTGGTGGCATGCACTTGTAATCCTAGCTACTCGGGAGGCTGAGGCAGGAAAATCGCTTGAACCCGGGAGGAGGCAGAGGTTGCAGTGAGCTGAGATCACACCACTGTACTCCAGCCTGGGCAACAGAGTGAGACCATCTCAAAAAAAAATAAAAAATAAAAAAAAATAAGAGTGTGAATTTTGGAACCCAACTTCATGGGTTAGAAATCCGGCTCCTCCACTTCCTAGCTGTGTGACTGTGAGCAAAATTTTAAGCTCTGTGACTCACTTTTCTTATTTTTAAAATAGCAACAGTATCAGAACTTCTTTCATAGGGTTGGCATGAGGATTAAATGAGTTAATGTATACAAAGTGCTTAGAACGGGCTTGGCAAATACTAAGTGCTTAATAAGTGCTACCTATGGTATGCAGGACTTCCCTGAGAAAGGACAGCTGGTTAGAACAGTGACATATGCCTAGAGACATGATAGGGTATTATTTTGCAGCCCATTCTATCTTACATTTACGTCTACATAACGGACCTTCATTGTGACATTTTCAGAATGTTAATGTTATTCCTCGAAAGTCTGGTTTCTAGCTCTCTTTCAAGGAAGGCCTTGTAGGAATCAGACCTATAACTTCCTGAGAATGAAACACCAGCATGTTTAGTTCATACCAAGAGAAGGTTTAATAGCCAAATTAGTTAGGAACAAAATCCCATGTTCTTTTTTAAGAAATGCATTCATAATAAAATTTGGAAATAAATAGCTTTCTTCATTTTACTATTGTAGGGGAAGGGGAGACGGGGGATTACATTTAGCTTTGAAGCTGAACTCTGAAACTTTTTCTGTGGAAGAAACAATGACAAATGAAAATATAGATTAGAAGAAAGAACTTGATGAAGTACTAGTTAGACACACTATCATTTTGAAAAAACTATATACTAAAGTGAAAAAATAAATTTATATCATGCTTGATCTTTACAGTACATTTTTAATATTCATATTTGACTTTGTACTATACTTTTCTATATTTTACAAAGATCCCTAAAGCTAATTCAGTCTTCCATATCCCCTGAAGAATCATGACTCAGCCAGTGCATGATGGCACTCATCACCTACAGCTGCTGTTCTTGAGGAAAAAGGGTCCCACTTTGACCAAGTTGGTCCAGGGGTGTCTGCCAGCCCTCCAGCTCGCCAGTGGTCTGATCCGTCCCTCCACAATTTACGAATGCATGATGTATAAAAATTTGAGACTCCTAATTTTCTTCATTTGTGAAATCTTGACACTGAAAATATTTTTTCATGGTTATATGACTAATTTCACTACCCCTTAATCTAAGTGGCTTTTCTAATTAGGGTCAGGTCTAATCTATTTAAGTAATGCCAATGGAGGCTGGTAGCTATGAAAAAAAACCCTTTTTTTTTTTTTTTTGAGACGGAGTCTGGCTCTGTCAGCCAGGCTGGAGTGCAGTGGCACAATCTCGGCTCACTGCAACCTCCCCCTCCCAGGTTGAAGTGATTCTCCTGCCTCAGCCTCCCGAGGAACTGGGACTACAAAATACAAAAATTAGCCCGCCACCACACCCAGCTAATTTTTGTATTTTTAGTAGAGATGATGTTTCACCACGTTGAACAGGCTGGTCTCAAACTCCTGACCTCAGGCGATCCACCCACCTCGGCCTCCCAAAGTGCTGGGATTACAGGCGTTAGCCACCATGCCCGGCCAACCCTTAAGTTTTTATACAGTGCATTATAAAGCACTATAAGATTTATGCAGGCTGGGCACGGTGGCTCACGCCTGTAATCCTAGCACTTCAGGAGGCTGCGGCGGGTGGACTGCCTAAGCTGAGGAGTTTGAGACCAGTCTGGGCAACATGGTGAAACCCTGTCTCTACTAAAATACAAAAATTAGTCGGGTATGGCAGCGTGCGCCTGTAATCCCAGCTACTCAGGAGGCTGAGGCAGGAGAATCTCTAGAACCCGGGAGGCGGAGGTTGCAGTGAGCCAAGATTGCACCACTGCACTCCAACCTGGGCAACAGAGCAAAACTCCGTCTCTTAAAAAAAAAAAAAAAAGATTTATGCAGAGCAGCTCCATTTTATGAATTAACAGTCTACAGTTCAAACGTATACTATATACATAGGAGAGTAAGGCATTGTTCAGCATCAACAGCACTGATGCTTGGAAGTAATTTTTCTTACTGCTTTATTGTGCTCTCCAGCAGTTAGTAGGACCACATCTTCCTCTTGGGTCTCCATTAGTCTGATTAATTCCAGTCTTTGTGACTCCATTATGAAATTAGCAACTGGAGAATTCCAGTTTCTATTGGCGTTAAGGAATACAGGTAAGATTTCCTGTGTAAAAGAAAAAGACTTATTCACGTTTTTTTTTTTTTTTGAACAGTGGGATTAATTTATCTTCTTATAATACAAAGATTTCCGGTTCCCAATAGAAGAGAATTTAAAAGAGATTGTCTCTATTATCTCCATGAACCCATTCAAAATGATACTAAGGGAATTTTATAAAGTAGGCTTGGCACGGTGGCTTATACCTGTAATCCCAGCACTTTGGGAGGCTGAGGTGGGTGGATCACCTCAGGAGTTCAACACCAGCTTGGCCAACATGGTGAAACCCCATCTCTACTAAAAATACAAAAAGTAGCTGTGCCAGTTCTGTGCACCTGTAATCCTAGCTACTCAGGAGGCTGAGGCATGAGAATCATTTGAGCCTGGAAGGTAGAGGATGCAGTGAGCTGAGACTGGGCCATTGCACTCCAGCCTGGGTGACAGAGTGAGACTCAAAAAAAAAAAAAAAAAAAAGTCATTTCAACATAATGAAAAAAAGGGGGAGGGGATGAAGAATGGAGAATAATATCAGCAGATGAGAGATTTCTGCGAATTTTTGGCAGACTGCAAGTGAACTGAGTAGGAATGATTAAAGAAGCAAGGTGCAGGAAGGTCTGGCATAAAGAACAATGGAGGCAGCCTCAGCACAAGAAGGAACTGATTTTACCCTGCAGAATTCTGGAGAGGCTCAGGACTCTTAAGCCTTGAGTGCCTAGAGCAGCCTTGCTGCTCATGCTAAACTAAACCTAACCATTTACAAAGCCTCTCTCTTGAGCTTCCAACCAGCTTTTTTTTTTTTTTTTTGAGATGGAGTCTCGCTCTGTCACCCATGCTGGAGTGCAGTGGCCTGATCTTGGCTCACTGCAGTCTGCCTCTCGGGTTCAAGCAATTCTCCTGCCTCAGCCTCCCTAGTCGCTGGGATTACAGATGTGTGTCAACATGCCTGGCTAATTTTTGTATTTTTAGTAGAGACGGGGTTTCACTATGTTGGCCAGGCTGGTCTCAAACTCCTGACTTCAAGCGATCTGCCCGCCTTGGCCTCCCAAAGTGCTGGGATTACAGGCGTGAGTCACTGCACCCGGCCCCAACCAGCTTTTAAAATGCCCCTTTCTTGAATATGTACAGATAACCAACAATCACTGTACATTGAAGAAACTCTGCAGCATTAAAAAAAAAAAAAAGACCAAGATAAACCCAAAAAATTAGCCCCAGAGAAAACATAAGTTATGGACCAAAAGAGAACTTGAATCCTCAAAGGTACTCAAAAATATATTTTATGAATAAAACCAGAATAAGATGCAGTGAAAAAAGCTACTGGGAAATAAAAAAAAATTCAACAGAAGAGTTGAAGAAATCCCCAGGAAAATAGAACAAGACAAAGAAAATGGTGAAAAATGACATGCAAAAGAAAAGAGGTTAAATTGGTTTGACATACAACTAGTAGAAATTCCAAAGAGAGACTAGAAAAAATGATGAGGTCAAAATCATTAGATAATAAAATAATTTTCTACACATAAAAAGACATAAACCTTCGTATTGAAAGGGCTCTTCAAGTGTGTAACACATTAAATGAAAAATGATCAAAAGGCAAACAAACTCTGAAATTTCAGAACATAAAGAATCAGAAGGCAAAAAGCTTCCAATGAGAAAAAACCAGCTCTGCTATAATGGAATAAATTCACACAAGCATCAAAGCATCAGACTTCTCATCAGTAACAACAGATGGGAGAAGAAAGTAAAGCAATGCCTTAAATGTTCTAAAGCTGTGCTGTCTAGCAATGCACTGTTGCTATTTACATTTAAATTAATTAAAATGAAATAAAGTAAAAAGTTCAGCCCTTTAGTTGTACTATCCTATTTCAAGTGTTCACTAGCGACATTGGCTAGCAACAACTACACCGAACAATGCAGACATAAAACGTTTCCATCATTACAGAAAGTTTTATTGGACAGCACTCTTCTAAGATGATATGGCTGTCAATTCAAAATTTTGTACTAAGCCAAATTATTATTGATCAAGTGTGAGGTTTTAAACATAAAGACATTTTGTAAGAACTCAGTAAGTTGATCTCTCACATGCTTTCTTAGGAAGTTACTTGATTACATACTCCAACACAAAAAAGAAAGAGGAAAACCTGGGATCCAGGATGGGTGGCTTCAACTCAGAAAAGAATGAAGAAAAGGGCCGGGCACGGTGGCTCACGCCTGTAATCCCACCACTTTGGGAGGCCGAGGTGGGCGGATCACGAGGTCAGGAGATGGAGACCATCCTGGCTAACACAGCGAAACCCCATCTCTAGTAAAAATACAAAAAAATTAGCCGGGCGTGGTCGCGGGCGCCTGTAGTCCCAGCTAGTCAGGAGGCTGAGGCAGAAGAACGGCGTGAACCTGGGAGGCGGAGCTTGCAGTGAGCCGAGATGGCACCACTGCACTCCAGCCTGGGCGACAGAGTGAGACTCCCGTCTCAAAAAAAAAAAAAAAAAAAAAAAAAGGTTCAGAAAGACAGCTGTGCAGAAGGTACAGAGTAACTAGGTGAGGTCTGTATATGTGAGCCTCATCTCTCATGACAGGAAGTTAACAAGGTTTAAATGAATTAAGTAAAAAGAAAAAAAAAGTATGTAGAGATATTTCCAAAAACAGAGATACTCTGGCAGAATACTAGGATGGATGGGGCAGGCTAGAGCAAATGATTATTGCATTTCATCATTAATGGTTCTTTATTTTTTGAACCATGTGTATGCCATATGTTGCTAAAAACACATAAGATCTTCTGAAAGCAATTAGAAGCCAAATCAAGTTAAAACACTCATAAAAAATAGTAGTAGTAATACCCATTTCTTATATAAAAGTTCAGGAAATTAGGAAAGAAAAAGAAAACAGGAGAAGAGAGAGAAGAATGAAAGAAGAAAATGTAATAATAGTCCCATCAACTGAAAGCTGCCAAAGTTAACCTTCAGGCTTATTTCCTGGTCCTATGGTTCTTAGATGCAGATTTTATATACTAATAAAATAAAAATAAACAAAATTGGAAGATAAAGGGTTGCCAATTTTTAATTTTATAAAGAAAAGACATATTTCATCCCCCCGCCATCCCCACCGCCGACAGAGAAAAAAAGGATAGTTCTTTAAATTTGTTTAACTTTATGAAAAGCTTGTTATATTGCCCTGACTTTTCTGATTTTGTCTCAACCCATTTTGGGAACCACTAACCTGATCTTTTTTTCTTATATAAAAATCTACTTATTGTTCGTTGTGCTTGAGGTATGAGGCTTGGGAAATAGTGGTAGTAGAGGTAGGTAGTCCATTTTCAATATACAAATATAGTGTTTTTACATGGTTATAATCAGTATAAATATAGTCCTATAGCCTCCTTTTCTTACATATCATTATAAGAGCATTTTTCCTCTATTAAGTCTTAGAAAACAAGATTTTAAATAGGAACTTTAATATTAATTCCTTTGATTATAGCATAATTTAATTACTCCTATATGGTTTCATTTTATTCCTGTTATCATACCTAAGATTCTTTCCTTTTTTTTTGAGACAGGGTCTCACTGTGTCACCCAGGCTGGAGTGCGGTGGGGTGAACACAGCTCACTGCAGCCTCGATCTCCTGGGCTCAAGTGATCCTCCCACCTCAGCCTCTCAAGTAGTTGGGATGACAGGTGTGTGCCACCATGCCCAGCTAATTTTTTTTCTGTTTTTTGTAGAGACGAGGTCTCACTATGTTGCCCAGGCTGGTCTCAAACTTCTGGGCTCCAGTGATACTCCCACCTTGGGCTCCCAAAGTGCTGGGATTACAGGTATGCGCTTCCGTGCCTGGCTGGATCCTTTATTTTTTTTAGAGACAGGGTCTCACTCTGTCACCCAGGCAAGAATGCAGTGGCATAATCATAGCTCACTGCAGCCTTGAACTCCTGGGCTTGTGATTCTCCTGCCTCAGTCTCCCAAGCAGCTGGGACTACAGACATGTGCCACTATGCCCAGCTAATATTTATTTATTTAGAGACTGAGTCTTGCTCTGTGGCCCAGGCAGTAGTGCAGTGGCGTGATCTCAGCTCACTGCAACCTCCACCTCCTGTGTTCAAGCGATTCTCCTGCATCAGCCTCTCAAAGTAGCTGGGATTACAAGTGAGCACCAACACACCCGGCACATTTTTGCATTTTTTTTTTTTTTTGAGACAGAGTCTTGCTCTGTCGTCCAGGCTGGAGTGCAGTGGCACAATCTCGGCTCACTGCAAGCTCCGCCTCCTGCGTTCACGCCATTCTCCTGCCTCAGCCTCCAGAGTAGCTGGGACTACAGGCCCGCGCCACCACGCCCAGCTAATTTTTTTGTATTTTTAGTAGAGACGGGGTTTCACCATGTTAGCCAGGATGGTCTCAATCTCCTGACTTCGTGATCCGCCTGTCTTGCCCTCCCAAAGTGCTGGGATTACAGGCGTGAGCCAACGCGCCCGGCCAATTTTTTTTATTTTTAGTAGAGATGGGGTTTCGCCATATTGGCCAGATTGGTCTCAAACTCCTGACCTCAAGTGATCCGCCTGCCTTGGCCTCCTAAAGTGCTGGGATTACAGGTGTGAGCCACCGTGCCCAGCCCAATTTTTTTTCGAGATGGAATCTTGCTCTGATGCCTAGGCTGGAGTGCGGTGGTGCGATCTCAGCTCACTGTAGCCTCGACCCCCAGGCTCAGGTGATTCTCCCACCTCAGCCTCCTAAGTAGCTGGGACTAGGGGTGCAACTGGGCAGCATGGTGGCCTGAGCCTGTAGTCCTAGCTACTTGAGAGAAAGAGGCAGGAGCATTGCTTGAGCCTAAGAAATCAAGGCAGCAGTGAGCTGTTATGGCAACACTGCACTCTAGCCTGGGCGACAGAATAAGACTACATCTTCAAAATAAATATATAAATAAAATAAAAAGTAAATAAAAGCAGAAGAATGATCTGAAATAACAAGATGCTCAAAACTAATGATAATGATAGTTTAGTTAATAATAGTTAAAAATATTGAATCTGTATAAGGAAAAAAACTGCTCTAATTAACTCCTTACCTGATTAAAATGGTCAGCTGCAAAGTTTCTAATGGATTCAATGTCTTTCCTTTTTAAGTATTTCTGATGAAAGAAAAATCAAAGTAAACTTGTCAGTATGACACTTAGCTTCATAAACATGGTTATGCGATCAAATGACAAATATATTTTGTGTCTTTCTATTACAATAGTAAGATTTAATAAAAATTCAATGTCTGGGCTGGGCGCGGTGGCTCATGCCTGTAATCCCAGCACTTTGGGAGGCTGAGGCGGGTGGACTGCTTGAAAGTTGGGAGTTCAAAACCAGCCCGACCAACATGGTGAAACCCCGTCTCTACTAAAAATACAAAAATTAGTCTGGTATGGTGGCAGGTGCCTGAAATCCCAGCTACTCGGGAGGTTGAGGCAGGAGAATCACATGAAACCAGGAGGCAGAGGCTACAGTGAGCCGAGATTGTGCCACTGTACTCCAGCCTGGGTAACAAAGTGAGATTCTGTCTCAAAAAAAAAAAAAAAAAAAAAAAAAAAAAAAAATCCAATTTCTGCTACCAAATGACACATTTTTAAAGCTTGTTACAGTGCTTATTTTTTCCAGTTATGCAGATTTTTTTTTTTTTTTTTTTTTTTTTTTTTTTTTTTTTTTGCGATGGAGTCTAGCTCTGTCACCCAGGCTGGAGTACAGTGGCGTGATCTCAGCTCACTAAAACCTCCACCTCCCAGGTTCAAGTGATTCTCCTGCTTCAGCCTCCCAAGTAGCTGGGATTACAGGTGCCCACCACCACACCTGGCTAATTTTTGTATTTTTAGTAGGGATGGGGTTTCACCATATTGGCCAGGCTGGTCTTGAACTCCTGACCTCATGTGATTGGCCAGCCTCGGCCTCCCAAAGTGCTGGGATTACAGGTGTGAGCCACCACGCTGGGCATGCAGCTCTTATTGGAAATAGCTGTGAATGTATTCCACAGGAGACCCTCTATATCTAATATGCAGGATAAATGTTCAACATGAATGTCTACAACTGAATTGTGAAAGAAAACTTTCAGATCAATAAAAGGATTCAGAATTTGATTATTTGAGGTTTCTTAAAATCTTTCTTTTGAAATTATCTCAGTGTCTTTCAAGTGAGACATTATGGTTATCATGTTACATAACTTTGAAATGATCCAAACACTTAACATGGTTTGATGTTTTGGGGTGTATTCCCCCTCCTTTCGAGAGCATGATGTTTTATCAGATCCCCTATGTGAGAACTTCGAGTGAACTCCCTCTTCCCCCCAGGAATGTTACCTCAAACCTTATCATAACTCCCATGTGTGAATTACTGACCTCAACTACTGGACTTCAAAAATACATATAAACTTAAGAGTTCGACAGACACTTTGATAGCACATGCTGTGACTGGCTATACTCTGTCAACTGCTTCTCCTACAGCCAAGAGATGGGTGATACCCTGTTAGTCTTGGAGCTAATCTCTGAAGCCTCACCCACCCACACTGGCACTGCCCTCTAGCATCGAGGGACCTTAGATACAGTGTGTACTGTGGTGGTCAAACCAGCTTCTCCCAAGAACAGCTCATATAAGAGTACACCTCAAACTTTAATTAGACTTTACCTTCCCCAGAGGACTACTTCCATCCTAATAGAGCAAGTGGACTTTAATAATTTTGGAACTCACTCGCTATGTGATTAATGCACCTCAGCTACTGAGTGTTTTCCCTGTGAGGATTGTTCATGTTATTCTTTCTTTTTTTTTGAGAGGGAGTCTCACTCTGTTGCCCAGGCTGGAGTGCAGTGAGGCAATCTCAGATCACGGCAACCTCCGCCTCCGGGGTTCAAGCGATTCTTCTGCCTCAGCCTCCCGAGTAGCTGGGACTACAGGTGCGCACAACCACACCTGGCTAATTTTTTACATTTTTAGTACAGACGTGGTTTCACCATATTGGCCAGGCTGGTCTTGAACTCCTGACCTCGTGATCCGCCCGCCTCAGCCTCCCAAAGTGCTAGGATTACAGGCATGAGCCACCACGCTTGGCCCTTATTCTCTCTCTCTTTTAAGCATTGTGAACCTAAGAAAAAATTTTCTTTGTATGGCAATAAACCATGTGATTTGTGAAATCATACTTTAACCATCTTATTTCTCCCATATGCCACATATCATTAACTATATTAATGTGGCATTTAACTAGGTACGGAAGGTATAAAAAGATGAAAACATGATCCACACTCCTGCAGTTCTTATATCTACTTGAGAAAGAACAAACTTGAAATGGTGTAAATAATGATAGGCAAAATATCATACTGAGCTTACCTGAACATATTTCTTATGTCTGGACTAGAGTATGGACAATAAATTACTTTTTTTTTTTTTTTTTTTAAGATGGAGTGTTGCTCTGTTGCTCAGGCTGGAGTGCAGTGGTATGATCTCATGCTCACTGCAACCTCTGCCTACTGGGCTCAAGTGATTCTCCTGCCTCAGTCTCCCAGGTAGCTGAGATTACAGGCACCCACCACAATGCCCAGCTAATTTTTAAATTTTTAGTAGAGACAGGGTTTCGCCATGTTGGCCAGGCTGGTCTCAAACTCCTGACCGCAAGTAATCCACCCGCCTTGGCCTCCCAAAGTGCTGGGATTACAGGCGTGGGCTACCGTGCCCCGCATGACAATAAATTACTTTTTACTGAATATATGAAGTAAATAAAAAGTAATGAGGGGCCAGGCATGGTGGCTTACGCCTGTAATCCCAGCACTTTGGGAGGCCGAGGCGGGTGGATCACCTGAGGTCAGGAGTTTGAGACCATCCTGGCTAACATGGTGAAACTCCATCTCTACTAAAAATACAAAAAAAACTTAGCTGGGCATGGTGGCATACGCCTGTAGTCCCAGCTACTCAGGAGGCTAAGGCAGGAAAATCGCTCGAACCTGGGAGGCGGAGGTTGCAGTAAGCCAAGATCGCGCCACTGCACTCCAGCCTGGGCGACAGAGCAAGACTCACTCTAAAAAAAAAAAAAAAAAAAAAAAAAAAAAAAAAGAAAGTAATGAGACTGAGTTCCTGAGTTCTTACTCCATTCTGAATATAATGCTTATGTATCCAAATGAGTATAGACTTTCAAAATCATAATCTTATTTAAAATATAACTGGAATACTTCTTATGAAATTATTTTTTAAAGCAGATGTACTACCTACAGAAAAGAGACGTGTACCGTTGCTTTAGAGTCAGCACTTGCTCAGCCCAACCATTCTCTCTCTCTCTTCTACTCCCACTTCTTCCCCTTCCTTTTTGCTTTTTTAGCTCCATCTCCTTTTATTTCCCTGTTATTAGTGCAACTGAGATGAGAACTCTCAGAAGATAAAGAATCAACATGCAATGGCCATGCTGGTGCTGATACAGGGCTAAGAGATAGACAGACAACTGAGGCTGCAGACAGAATACTACGTATTATTTTATGCTCACATATTATCCACAATGAAGTACAGGAGTACTTCATAGCATCATTTATTTATGTATTTATTTTTGAGACACGGTCTTGCTATGTTATCCAGGTTAGAATGCCGTGGCACAATCATGGCTTACTGCAGCCTTGAACACTTTGCCTCAAGTGATCCTTGGACCTCAACCTCCAGAATAGCTGGGACTACAGGTGTGAGCCACCACGCCAGGTAATTTTTGTAGAGATGAGGTCTATGTTCCCCAGGCTGGTCTCGAACTCCTGAGCTTAAGCAATTCTCCTGCCTTGACCTCCCACAGTGTTGGCATTATAGGTATGAGCTACTATGCCTGGCTGATAGCATTGTTTAAAAGGGGGGAAAAAAAAGAAAAAAGAAAAACACCCCGGATCTGGAATGTAAACTCACATTCATAAAATTTTATTGTTCTCTACTTATGGTTTTAGAAATACTTTAGATTCTGTATAAAAATACCTACTTTTTTTTTTTTCAAACACAGTTTTGCTCTTATTGCCCAGGCTGGAGTGCAATGGTATGATCTCAGCTCACTGCAACCTCTGCCTCCCAGGTTCAAGCGATTCTCCTGCCCCAGCCTCCCAAGTAGTTGGGATTACAGGCACATGCCACCACGCCTGACTAATTTTTTGTATTTTTTAGTAGAGATGGGGTTTCACCATGTTAGCCAGGCTGGTCTTGAACTCCTGACCTCAAGTGATCCACACGCCTCGGCCTCCCAAAGTGCTAGGATTACAGGTGTGAGCCACCATGCCCAGCAAAAATCCCTATTTTTATTTAAAAAGAATTGTTCTTTCTGAAGTTTAAATATGACAGTATTGGACAAAGTTACTTCCAAAGCATACATTCTAGAGAAACATAGAACTGTACTTCACTTACTGCTCCTTCAGGGATACATATGGCTTTCACAGTTCCATGGGGCTTACTAAGTGCATCTTGAAGAAATCCAATCTCTGTGTTTCTAAACACATCACTGATATCTATAATCTGGAAAATGGGTAACAAAAAGAGATAACTAAATATGAAGTAATTTTTATCTGAAAACATTTTACAAACAAGATTTTAAAGAAGAGAATAGATCTTGATAATTTAACATTTATAGAATACATTCAAAGAGTGTTTACCATGGGTTAAGCAATATGACCAGTGTTTTACATATACTCATTCATTTCATATGAGGTTAGCACTCTTTATTATCCCTATTTCATAGATGAAACCAAGACACAGAAATAAGGAACTTGCCCAAGATGGCATAGCTAGTAAGTGGCAGAGCCAGAATTTAACACAAGCAGTCTGACTTAAGAACCAGATTAAGATTCCAGGCTCGGCGCAGAGGCTCATGCCTATTATCTCAGAACTTTGGGAGGCTGAGGTGGGCAGATCACCTGAGGTCAGGAGGTCAGCCTGGCCAACATGGCAAAATTCCATCTCTACTAAAAATACAAAAATTAGCCGGTGTGGTGGTATGCGCCTGTAATCCCAGCTACTCGGGAGGCTGAGGCAGGAGAATCGCTTGAACCCAGGAGGCCGAAGTTGCAGTGAGCCAAGATCTTACCACTGCACTCCAGCCTGGGCAACAGGGCGAGACTACGTCTCAAAAAAATACAAAAAAAGAACCACTATTCCATATTACAAACGAAGAAACAAGAAGTAGTTGAGTTGGCAGCTGTAAGTTGGTAGTTATGACTTTTTGTGTATTGTATTTTTTTCATTCTAAGAATTGACCACTGACTATTCACAGACCAGGCAGGACCAATTTCTAAAGAATGTGCACTGAGAACTGAGATATAGAAATGTCACTAGCATTACAGGGATCAAGGGATATTGCTCTTTAAGAGCAAACAAGTAGAGGCCTGGTAATGAAACTGTTCTATATAAATTCTACCCCTGCTTTAAATACTTACAGATAGTAATAATTTGAATAAACATTGTCATATGTTTGAGCTTTTTATGGACCAAGGAAACTTAGTAACTCCTTGGATTAAAAAAAAAACTGAAAAGGAAAGAATAGTTATTTTTTCTTTCAAGTTACCATTCATATCCATATAATCAATAACTTGCAAGTAATAAAAACTTTATAGCAAGAATCTCGCTCTTGGAAATGGATCTTGGAACATGAAAGATAGAAAGCACTGTATTGCTAACATGCTATTATTCTCTCTTGCTCTAGCTCTGTAACAACGAAGGTAACAAGGTAACAACAAAAATATCATCTAACAGTGTGTAACACTTGTCAATTTCAAAGTGGTTTAAAAAGACTGCAGGATTATTTGGGGACAGAGTCCTAGAAAAGTGAAGATAAGTACCTTCATTCCAAAGCGAGTGTCAGGTTTATCAGTTCCATAGGTGGCCAGCACCTCAGCAAAAGTCATAGTAGGAAAAGGAACAACCACAGGATCTTTGTCATTGGGCCAGGAATACTGGAGCAAACCCTCAATTAAACTCTGGATCCCAGTCTGGTCTACAAATGACATCTCTATGTCAATCTGAAACCAAAGTACCATATGGAAACTAATTTAGCCACAATATATACACATTTATATATTTTTCTGCTTTCAAGTTACTATAGAATTTTGCACATAATACATGCAGAGGGTATAAATATTATTGTACATCTCTTTTATGTCAGACACTGTGCTAATGGCCTTACATACATTAACTTGCTTAGTTCCCACAACCATTTCATGAAGGCTCAGAGAACTAAGTTACTTATTTGCGTATGTGCAATTAGTAAGCAGCGAAGCTACATCTGATCCCAGGTCTGTCCAACTCCAAAGCTCATAATTTTTTCACTTCAACACATGATTAAAATGCTATTGGCCAGGCGTGGTGGCTCACGCCTGTAAACCTAGCACTTTGGGAGGCCGAGGCGGGTGGATCACGAGGTCAGGAGATCCAGACCATCCTGGCCAACATGGTCAAACCCCATCTCTAATAAAAACACAAAAAATCAGCTGGGCATGGTGGCACGCATCTGTAGTCCCAACTACTTCGGAGGCTGAGGCAGCTGAATTGCTTGAACCTGAGAGGCAGAGGCAGCAATGAGCTGAGACCGCGCCACTGCACTCCAGCCTGGGAGACAGAGCGAGACTCTGTCTCAAAAAATAAAATAAATAAAATAATATAAAGTAAAATAAAATGCTATCATACAGAAAGCAAATCGTAACAGCTTTGGTAAGTCCACATATTAGATTAAAATATCAATATATAAAATTATTCATAATATATAAGAGATTTGTTTTAAGGACTTTATCATGAACATTAGAACACTTTAGGAACTTCTGGCATTCCTTAGTTGCTGACCACATTCTTTATGAAAAGGACACATGCTCGTTTTGGCAGCACACATACTAAAATTTGAATGACAGTGTGGCCCCTGTGCTATCCAAGGAAAGAAAAAAATTTAAAAAAGGACACATGAAATGAATAAAAAAAAAAGAATAATTAGTTTCTCAACTGCAGGTGAGTTTAATTAAATATCTGATGGATAAAATGTAATGAGAAGTAAAGTATTAATACTGCACTGGTCTTGAAAATACTATTTCAAAATAGTAAGCCTGAATTTTAAGAAACAAGTGAATATAACTTTGTACCTGAGTAAACTCAGGCTGTCTGTCTGGTCTTGAACCTTCATCTCGATAACATCGGGCAACCTGAAAATATCTACAATTGAGAAATAGCATTAATTGAGTTATGATTCTAGGAAGACATACACACTTTTCCCCAAAAGTTTAAAGCAATGCAAGCTATAAAACAATGATACTTAAAAAACGTAAGAAGGGCCGGGCATGGCGGCTCATACCTATAATCCCAGCACTTTGGGAGGCCAAGGCGGGCAGATCATGAGGTCAGGCGTTCAAGACCAGCCTGGCCAACATGGTGAAACCCTGTCTCTACTAAAAATACGAAAATTAGCTGGGCGTGGGTGGCGTGCGCCTGTAATCCCAGCTACTCGGGAGGCAAGGGCAGGAGAATCACTTCAACCAGGGAGGCGGAGGTTGCAGTGAGCCGAGATTGCGCCATTGCACTCCAGCTTGGGTGACAGAGCAAAGACTCTGTCTCAAAAAAAAAAAAGTAAGAAATACTTTTATTTTTTATGATGCTTTAATCGAATTAGACATACAGCTGACCTATGAGAAGTTAACTATTCTATATATTGTTTTCAAAATAAACACTGGCACCTCTGGATATTCATGTATTTAGACTAGCATGCAAATCAGTCCATGCCAGCTCTTTTTATTAAAACATTTTTTTTAGCCCATGCTTCTTCATATATACTCTTTTGCTTTGGCCAAAGTGAAATCTTTACTGTGCCATGGATACACTTGAGACTTTCTGTGCTATGCCATTCCAACTCTCATCTTCACCTGCTGAAATGTAGCTCTGTCCTCAACGATCTAGCTCACAAAGTTTTCTATATTTCCTCAAAAAGTATAATTTTAAAGCTCTTAACACCTAACTTGCAAATCTCAATACATTTACATTTGGTTTATATCACAGTTGGTTTTATTCATTATCCTATTCTGGCTTACTAGCCTTAACACCTTGAGAGTAGAACCTATTCTTTTTTTTTTTTTTTTAAATCCCCTCTCACATCTACTACCATAGAGCTTTGTACATAGTGGCCACCCAATAAACCTTTAATAAAGGATGACTATAAATTATGAGGGCATTTTATAAGTATTCTCCAAACTCTCATAAATTTTCTATCCTTCTCTTGAGAACAGAGAGGATTTTGTGTTTCCTTTTTTCCCTTTGTTTTTCTCTTTTCCTTTTCTGACAACTGCTAGCATAAAAAAAGCTCACCTGTCTAAACCGCCAACCATCAGAAGTTGCTTAAACTGTTGAGGACTCTGAGGGAGAGAATAAAACTTTCCAGGTTCCCTGGATGGTACTAAAAACTCTTTGGCACCCTTTCAAAGAGAGAGAAAGAGAGAGAAGACAGATTATTAAAAAACAAAAACAAACCCAAAGTATAACTAACTAGTAGAAGTTGTTACTTCAGTTTATCAATGAATGACTAAAGAACAAAGTTCCTACAATGACAGAGACAATTTCCTGCTTATCTTTGAGTCCCTAAAAAGACTTGGACATAGTAGACTTTAAACACCATTGTATACGGTAGGTGTTAAGTTTATGCTTGCGGAATTGAATTTCCAATTTTGTTACTAGATGAATGAATTTTGTGTATCATTTCCTATCCAAGTAATTCTTAATTGCATTTCCAAATTAAACTGTAGTTTTATAATTTCATAGACTGTATAAATCGAGTAACTATTAATGTTTAGAAATGTCTTTTTTTTTTTTTTGAGACAGAATCTTGCTCTTGTCACCCAGGCTGGAGTGCGATGGCACAATCTCGGCTCACTGCAACCTCCTCCTCCCAGGTTGAAGTGATTCTCCTGCCTCAGCCTCCCGAGTAGCTGGGATTACAGGTGCCTGCCACCACCATGCCCCGCTAATTTTTGTATTTTTAGTAGAGACGGGGTTTCGCCATGTTGGCCAGGCTGGTCTTGAACTCCTGACCTCGTGATCTGCCCGCCTTGGCCTCCCAAAGTGCTGGGATTACAGGTGTGAGCCACTGCGCCCGGCCAGAAATGTCCATTTTTATTTATTAAAAAAAATTTCTTTTTGAGACAGAGTCTTGGTCTGTCACCCAGGTTGGAGTGCAATGGTACAATCTGGACTCACTGCAAACTCTGCCTTCTGGATTCAAGCGGTTCTCCTGCCTCAGCCTCTCAAGTAGCTGGGATTATGGGTTCCCGCCACTGCACCTGGCTAATATTTTTTTTTTTTGAGACGGAGTCTTGCTCTGTTGCCCAGGCTGGAGTGCAATGGCGTGATCTTGGCTCATTACAACCTCTGCCTCCTGGGTTCAAGCAATTCTCCTGTCTCAGCCTCCTGAGTAGCTGGGACTACAGGTGCCTGCCACCATGCCCAGCTAATTTTTTTTGTATTTTTAGTAGAGACGGGGTTTCACCATATTGGTCAGGCGGGTCTTAAACTCCTGACCTCAGGTGATCCATCTGCTTCGGCCTCCCAAAGTACTGGGATTACAGGCGTGAACCACCGTGCCTGGCCTAATTTTTGTACTTTTAGTAGAGACAAGGTTTCACCATGTTGGCCATGGTTGGTCAGGCTGGTCTCTAACTCCTGACCTCAGGTGATCTGCCCACCTTGGCCTCCCAGAGTGCTGAGATTACAGGTGTGAGCCACTGTGCCTGGCCGAAAAATGTCAATTTTTAATATATAAGAGATTTGTTCTTTAAAATAATTTTTTTTCTTTTCCATTTTTTTTTCTTTAGGGTCTTTAAGACAAGAGATACGGTCTTGTTGCCCAAGCTGGTCTTGAACTCCTGGGATCAAGTCATCCTCCTTGCTTCAGCCTCCCAAAGTACTAAGACTACATGTGTGAGCCACCGCGCCCGGCCAATAGATTTGTTCTTAAAGAACCAATTCATTGGCTGGGCGCGGTGGCTCACGCCTGTAATCCCAGCACTTTGGGAGGCTGAGGCGGGTGGATCACCTGAGGTCAGGATTTCGAGACCAGCTGGGCCAACATGCGAAACCCCGTCTCTACTAAAAAAATACAAAAATTAGCCAGGTGTGGTGGTGCGCACCTGTAGTCCCAGCTACTTGGGAGGCTGAGGCAGAAGAATCACTTGAATCCAGTAGGCGGATTCAGGTGACAGAACGAGACTGTCTAAAAAAACAAAAACAAAAACAAAAAATACCAATTTATTAATGATTACATCTATAAAACTCAAATGAGACTGAGTAAGGTGGCTCACACCTGTAATCCCAGCACTTTGGGAGGCCAAGGTGTGCGGATCATTTCAGGTCAGGTGTTCGAGACCAGCCTGGCCAAAACGGTGAAACTCCGTCTCTACTAAAGTAAATACAAAAGTTAGCCGGGCATGGTGGTGCATGCCTGTAATCCCAGCTACTCAGGAGGCTGAGCCATGAGAATCGCTTGGATCCAGTAGGCAGAGGTTGCAATTAGCTGAGATCATGCCACTGCACTCCAGCCTGGGTGATGGAGTGAGACTGTCTCAAAAAAAAAAAAAAAACAAAAAAAAAAACCCAAAACAAACCAAAAAAAAAAAAAAAAAAAAAAAAACAAAAAAACTCAAAGGAAAGAAAATTTATGTGGAATAAAATGATTCTGACTCAAAATACCCAAATAATTTTCTCAATTCTTCAGAAAAACCTAGTTAATATGACCATCCTGAGGCAGTAAATAAAAGTGGACCAAGTGAATATAAAAGCAAAGTAGTCTAGCTTTATAACTAATAGGACATTATTAATAGACTGATTGAAGGAATATACATACCCCTGGGGTCCTCTTAAACAATGTGGGGGTTTCTATATCCACAAACCCTAAAAAGAGAGAAACATTATCACTTAGTAGATAGGAATGTGAAATTTGTCATATATGATGTCCACAATATAGTACAACAAATCTGAGGCTTCCCTTTAATTAAGAATTTTAGCTGAAATAAGCTACCAAGCCTACTGGTGCTGGTTTCTACAAATCTAAGAAGGAAGCTGAAGATTTTCATAAATACTATTCTGTTCATAAAGCATACTGTTCACATAAAATAATTCTAAATATTTAATGGATTCTTGTCTACTGAACTATTCTGATTTTTTAAATGTTCTGTTAGTGTAGAAATAACACAAATATAGCAGAAAAAGTCCAGGACTGAATGAGATGTCTAGTTTAATTCACATGACATTTTTGAGCTCCCAATAAGTGATGTATGCACATGATAAAGAATTAAGAAAACTGGCTGGGTATCGTGGTTCATGCCTGTAATCCCAGCACTTTGGGATGGTTAGGTGGGAGGATTGCTTAAACCCAGAAGTTTGAGACCAGCCTGGGCAACATAATGAGACCCTGTCTCTACAAAAAATTTTTAAAAATTGGCTGGGTGTGGTGGTGCATGTCTGTGGTCCTAGCTACTTGGGAAGGTGTGGTGGGAGGATCGGTTAAGCCTAAAAGGTTGAGGCTGCAGTGAGTTGTGGTAATGCCACTGCATTCTAGCCAGAGCAAAACTCCGTCTCAAAAAAAAAAAAGAAAAGAAATCTTATAGAAAAAGCCAAAGGGCTGTCCTGCCTTTGATGATGATGGGAAATACTATAATACATTAATCAATGTAATAGCGACTATCATCTTTATCATCTTTAAAATAATGTTAACTTTTCTTCAAAAACTACATTACACATTGAGTGAATTCCAGACTTCTGGCAACATCTTGACCTCATGCTAAGGAAAGGATACAATAAAACTGCTGAATAAAATAGAAGAGATGCTACAAAGCTCCAAAGAGCATCCAGGCATTTCTCTTACCATGCAGATTACAGAGATATTCCCGCATTTTCATGACCATCTGGGACCTCAGTCGCAGGTTATACTGCATTTGGAAACTACGCAAGTCTAAGTAGCGATACTGCAACCGAAGAGCCTCTGTTTTCTAAAGAAATTGAAAGATTTTTATATTTAAATATTTTTCAATATTAGAAAGGTATTATCTTTAGAAAGAGTTTGAATTTTCAAAAATTTTAGCTCTGTCTTTAGTTTCTATCATTAAGTAGCCCACTGTATGCTGTTAATTCCTACAACTTCTAAGTTTGTCATCAGTGCAGATTTTACATTTTTTTACTATTCATTATTAATAATATCACTCTTCACTGACTGAAATTTGCCTACTTTACTAAACATTTATCCATTAATTTAAGCCCATAGTTGAATCTTGAAAAAAATTTAAAGATTTCAAAGGTCTCTTAGAAAAATACACAGCACCATTATGCTGTATCTGGGCATGGTGGCATGTGCCTATAATCCCAGCTACTTGGGATGCTGAGGTGGGAGGATCACTTGAGCACAGGAGTTTGAGGCCAGCCTGGGCAATATAGCAAGACCCCATCTCCTAAAAAAAGATACATCAGAGTAGAAGATTCACCTGAATGGGACGCTGACTACAAGTGTAAAGAATGCAAAGGGACAGTGGATGGAATCTCCATGGCTGTACTAGTAGAAATAGTTTGCTTATTTTCTCTCTCTTTTTTTTTTTTTTTTTTGAGATGGAGTCTTGCTGTGTCACCCAGGCTGGAGTGCAGTGGCATGATCTCGGCTCACTGCAACCTCTGCCTCCCGGGTTCAAGCGATTCTCCTGCCTCAGCCTCCCGAGCGGCTGGGACTACAAGTGCCTGCCACCACGCCTGGCTAATTTTTGTATTTTTAGTAGAGACGGGGTTTCACCACATTGGCCAGGCTGGTCTCGAACTCCTGACCTTGTGATCTGTCTGCCTTGGCCTCCCAAAGTGCTGGGATTACAGGTGTGAGCCACCATGCCCAGCCTAGTTTGCTTATTTTCAAGGCTACAAATCTCTGCATCCCTCTTTGTGCTGAAAACTTAGGAAATGTCTATAACTTCTCTTTTTGAATGCTCATCTGGGGAAAACTATATATTTTCTTTTTCAAAATAAGGTCAACTCTATAATTACATTGCTCTTTCTAATTAGATAATTAAGTATTGAGAACTTAAATGTAAGACCAATTGGCCATGAACTTAAACGTAAGTATTGAGAACTTAAATGTAAGACTAATTGGCCATGAACTTAAATGTAAGACTAATTAATTAAGACTAATTAAAAATCTGTTAATAGATCAGTTTAAAAATTAGGAATATATAAGTCTATAAACTGTGACAAAGCTGAAAATCATATGAGTGTACAGCTCCATCAAGCCCTTAAACTTTGGCAAAGAACATTCTAAATTATGGTAATCCTATTTATATTTATATGCTTGGGAGGTCAAGCGTTGCTCTAAGCACACATTTTATCACTTAATAGATACAGGATCCCCTGTCCCATCTGGCCATTTCTAAGCTAGACATAAATTTCCTTTCAAATGTTAAACAATAGCAACGAAAAACTTGAATAATATAACACCTCAAGTTTTAAAGAGAGAATCACATTTTAATCTGTCTGAAAAAACAGTCTAGGTATTTAGGGACTGCAACAGTTTACTGAACTGTCATTATTTCAGGACAGTGTGCCAAGAAGTTGTAGAACTAAGAGAACACTTCATGATGTGTCTACAATAAAATGCTTAATTTTGTAGAAGTTAAACTTTTCTTTAAAAAACTCTGAAAATACTTGACTAGTCATCAACATTTTCTAGATACTCTATTTTATTAATAACAGAGGTTGGTACCTTCACGAAGTTCTTAATTTCAAAGGGCAGCTTCTTGCAGGCATTCAGAAGCTCAGCTGTTTTAACTTTGATTTCAATCTCACCTGTTGGCATTTTCTTGGAGAGTGAGAAGGAAGGGTTTTAAAAATTACTCATCAGGATATACACAAAATACACATTTGTAGAATCTATGCATTTATTTACATATGTAAAATGTGCAAAGTCCTTATAGTGTATAGTATAAAACATACATGTCTGTGCATGATTTTGACATTCTTATGCATATGTGGCTGATGTGTTCAGATATCAACAAATGTCATGGCATATCCTTGCAGTCTGATACTTGGGAGGCTGAGACAGGAGGATCACTTAAGCCCAGGAGTTCAAGACCAGCCTGGGTAATACTGCAAGACCCGTCCTGAAAAAAAAAAAAAAAGGGCCAGGCACGGTGGCTCACGCCTGTAATCCTGGCACTTTGGGAGGCTGAGATGGGCAGATCATGAGGTCAAGAGATGGTGACCATCCTGGCCAACATGGTGAAACCCTCTCTCTGCTAAAAATATAAAAATTAGCTGGGCGTGGTGGCATGCACCTGTAGTCCCAGCTACTCGGGAGGCTGAGGCAGGAGAATCACTTGAACCCAGGAGGCAGAGGTTGCAGTGAGCCAAGATCACGCCACCGTACTCCAGCCTGGTGACAGAGTGAGACTTAGCATGCATATTTACATAGATGTGTTTGTTTATAGTCAAGATTTTGAAATCTGTCAGTTCATTTGTAGAATTTATTCAACTTTAGTGCCTAATGTCCAGTCATGTGTTGCCAGAATGTGTACACAGATGGTGCAAATGCATACAAGCAAAAATTACACAGATATCTTCGAAACTACCTACTGGATTCTCTTGTCCTGCAGGACGGGAAATGACTGTACCAGACACTTGCACCACAGATTCCACAGGGGCTTCACATAAAATCTTCTTCACAGAGGCTGCCGACTACAGAACAAGGGGGAAAAGAGTTCTGAGAAACAAATGAACTTACAGGAATCTTCAGTAATTATAAGTAGATGGTTTAAAAAACGTTAATAGTCACAGCTTAATTACCATAAAGGCTGGGGCTGCTCCTTAATGACTTTATTACCAAATTTAGTAAAAACTGCATCCCCATTTTGACTCTATATAATACAGCAAGTAAAACTATTAGTTAAGAGCTTTAAAAAAACTTTCCTTAAAGGAAAATAAGGGTAAGAATGACTATTATTAGTGCAAACAAGTCCCACATACTTGAAAAGCAATTGTCTCCAGGGTTAGTCTTAGGGGCAGTTAAATCCCATAGCAATAATGGGTCAGAGTCAAAGGAGTTCTCCAGGGTTAGCTATACTCATCTCTGGATGTTGATCCCTAAAAGATAATTCATTGCTCTTTATTTATTTCAAAACTTAAGAGCTGAATAAATAATATTTTTCTTAGGCATACAAGCGTTAGTAAAAATTGCAATAGAAACCAACTTTGCCCAGTAAGTATGATGGAAGTTCTTTATTTTATCTAATTCTTTAATTTTAATTTTTTTTTTTGACACAGGGTATCACTCTGGTGTGCACTCTGGAGTGCAGTGGTGCAATTTTGGCTCACTTCAGCCTGAACCTCCTGGGCTCAGGTGATTCTCCCAACTCAGCCTCCCAAGTAGCTGGGACTACAGGCACATGCCACCACACCCAGCTAATTTTTTGTATTATTATTATTTTTTTGAGATAGAGTCTTGCTCTGTTGCCTAGGCTGGAGTACAGTGGCGTGATCTCGGCCCACTGCAACCTCTGCCTCTGGGTTCAAGTGATTCTTTTGCCTCAGCCTCCTGAGTAGTTGGGGTTACAGGAGCCCGCCACCACACCCGGCTAAATTTTTGTATTTTTAGTAGAGACGGGGTTTCACCATGTTGGTCAGGCTGGTCTTAAACTCCTGACCTCGAGATCCACCTGCCTCAGCCTCCCAAAAGTGCTGGGATTACAGGAGTGAGCCACCGCACCTGGCCAATTTTTTGTATTTTAGTAGAGACGAGGTTTCACTGTTGCCCAGGCTGGTCTCAAACTCCTGTACTCAATCTGCTGGCCTCGGCCTCCCAGAGTGCTGGGATTACAGGTGTGAGCCACCATGCCTGGCCTTGAATTTTTTAATTAAAAAAATTTTTTTTTCAGAATATCACTCTGTCATATTTTATCTAATTTCAATGGTAATTAAATTAAATACTTTTTTGAGCAGTAATACCGTCACATGGCTTCAAATTCAAGGGGTACAAAAAGATATAGTAAAAAGCTTCCCTCCTATCCTTGTTTTCAACGCCCTCAGTTCCTTCCCCCAGCAGCACCTAATGTTACCAGATACTTAGGTATCCTTCCAGAGACATTTCCTAACATATATACAAGCAAATACACACACACACACACACACACACACTGAATGTATATTCTGCATCCTTCCCCCAGTTTTTATACAGATGACAGCACTTAGAGTGCTGGAGTTTAACAGCTGCTCTTTTGTATACTCAAGAATACAGGGTTCTTCACTTAACAGTATTCCTTGGATTTTTTTTTCCCTATTAGAATAGAACTTCTTCATTCTTTTTTGTACGGCTGAGTAGAGTATTGTATTGTAAGAATATACATTATTTTTTAAGCCAGTCTCTTATTGGAGGACATCTGGGTGGTTCCCAATTTTTTTCCGTTAAAAAGAATCCTGAAATGAATATCCTTGTACATATGTCATTTTATATCTGTATAAGTCTAGATATAAGATAATTTACCAGAAGTGAAATTAATGGCTCAAAGGATATATGCATTTATAGTTTTGATATTGCCAAATTGCTCTCCCTTCAGCTAGTGCCAATTTGTACTCCCTCCAGGTATTGAGCACCTGCTTTCCCAAACACAGTGTGTTGTCAATCTAATGTGTTAAAAATGACAATTACATGCAGTTTCAATTCACATTTCTCTACCTATGAGTGAGGCTGGGCATACTTTCATTATGTCTACAAGCCATTTATATATTTTTTTCCTCTAAATTTTTTGTTCGTATCCTGGGTTCCTAATTCTACTGGGTCACTGGTCTTTTTGCTATGTCTTAACATTGCTTATATTTTTCAGTTTTCATTAACAATAAACTTCTGAATTTAAAACCTCTAACATATTCATCTAACTACTTAGCTTACCCCAGCAATAGCATCAAAGAAGCTTTTAGATAATAACAGGAAATTTTCTATTACCTCATCCTGGGGAATGATAACTTGAACAAGCCCATCGAAATCTCTTAGGACCAAGAATGTGTTTTGCCTGATTAATGGGGGGGGGGAAAAGAAACATTTTAAGATAAAATCTCTAAGTCCAAAGTTGAAGCATACAAAATAAAAAGCAAACAAAAATCCATGCAATTTTTCATGTTTCTTTTTTATGATAATTATAATTTTTCATGTTTTTTATGATAATTATGTACCTTCATTAGTTACATTCATGCAATTGTTATCTATGTAGCTCATTGCCAAAAAAAAGATTGTTTTTTATTTCAGTTTCAATTTTTATTGTCTACTTACCTGGTATATTAATCTTATACAGATGGCTTATTAATGAAAAATTATTATAGATGAACAATTAAAAGAAATTTCATTGGCTTAAGTCCTTTTAAGAAAATTTTATTAAATTTGGAAACTTTGCATATAGTAAAATCCAAAGATAGTATTTTAGCATAATAGAAACATCTGATGGATCATTTTTGAAATATAGCAATATAGTCTTTTTCTAAAAAAAGATACAATCTAACATTTTCTGGAAGAGTTCCAACTACTAATTTAATACCTCTATGAATCATCAAAAGGTCCCAGAAATGCCAACATTTTAACATCCAACCTCTATTTCTCATACTATCCTCAGCATCAGGAACAGGTACAGAAACCCTCTTCAGATTTGGGTTCAGGAAACAGTCACTAAACTTATGGGAAAAATATCCACCTACTTGGGACAAACTTTTTTTTTTTTCCTGAGACGGAGTCTCGTTCTGTTGCCCAGAGTGGAGTGCAGTGGCGCAATCTCAGCTCACTGCAACCTCTGCCTTCTGGGTTCAAGCAATTCTCCTTCCTCAGCCTCCTGAGTAGCTAGAATTACAGACGAGCATCACCCCGCCTGGCGAACTTTTTTTGTATTTTTAGTAGAGACGGGGTTTCATCATATTGGCTGGGCTGGTCTCGAACTCCTAACCTCGTGATCCGCCCGCCTCGGCCTCCCAAAGTGCTGGGATTACAGGCTTACACGCCAGGCTGGGACATATTCTTTAAGAAGGTCATATAACCTATGTATTTTGAATCTCTTCCATGTGAATTAATGTTCTATTCAGGCATGTTCTGGAATAGAGAGATGAACAACAACAAAAAATGGGCTCTGATCTTAAGGAATCACTGTTTATGTTTCTAGGCTTCTTCTCTACCTACATGGAATAAGATGAGCTTTTCCCCCATGCTATTGGAGTTTAACAGCTGGTTTATAGGAGGCTGGCCCATTTTTAATTACTGGTTATAGGAACTCTTCAGTCTTAGTAAGCCCAGTATCATTTCAGTCCACTGGTGGATCAAGCTTCGTTGTTATACCCTTCAACAGATGTTACTGAGATGTACCTACTGAGAATGACATTTGGGTCTTTCAAAATGTCTACTGAGAATGACACTTGGGTCTTTCAAAACTAAAACAAAGTTGAAAATTCAGTAAGTTCTTAATCCTGCAGGAGTTGCAAAACGTTTTATTCTTCGGACTGGTTGTAAATTAGTAAAGGTTTGGAATTGCCCTGGGAAAACCACCACCATGCATTCTTAGACTGTCTTTCTCAATTTACCTTCGGTACTGAATCCATCCACACAAGGTGACTTCTTGGCCTAAGTGAGACGAACGCAACTCTCCACATGTGTTGGTCCGGACAACAAAGCTACTGAATTCTTTAAAAAAAAAAAAAAAAAGAAACTTTAAAAGGCAAGATTAAAAATACATCACTTGCAGGTTGCTTAAAAATGAAAATTCTCAAAATATATCTTAGGTATGTCAGGGCTACAGGGGAAATTTATAAAATAAAATAAGTCAGAGTATGTAATTTAATTCATTCACTATTAAATTTACCTGCAAATGTGTCAAAAGCCAAGTGAATAACTGAATGTAAATTTCTGTCTTGTGTTAGGAAATCAAAATTTTTTTGATCTTCTAGCATTTGCATTGACCTAAAATCCTAATTACCCAATTCTTAATATTGCACATTTCTTCCTCAAATGAAATAGGATTTTAGAAACTGCAGAAATGGACGGTGTAGGAACTATTTAGCTTTAGTATGAATCTAGTGTTTAACAGCCACTTGTACACTAGAAAACACTATTATAATTCTGTGAAAAATGATTTTTTTTTTTTTTTGAGATGGAGTCTCGCTCTGTCGCCCAGGCTGGAGTGCAGTGGCGCGATCTCGGCTCACTGCAAGCTCCGCCTCCGAGGTTCACGCCATTCTCCTGCCTCGGCCTCCCCAGCAGCGGGGACTACAGGCGCCCGCCACCACGCCCGGCTAATTTTTTTTTTATTTTTAGTAGAGACGGGGTTTCACCGTGTTAGCCAGGATGGTCTCGATCTCCTGACCTCGTGATCCGCCCTCCTCGACCTCCCAAAGTGCTGGGATTAACGACGTGAGCCACCGCGCCCGGCCGAAGAAGGATTTTTTTAAGGCATCAACCAAAAGCAGAGTATTCTATATATTACGTGGTTACCTTTTTGTGGTCTTTCTAAAAACTCAGGGAAAAAAAACTGCCGTATAATGAATATAATGAGAGTGAATTTCGCTTCTACACATAAGGCTATCCAGTTAAGAACAGGGGAAAAGCCGGGCGCGGTGGCTCACGCCTGTAATCCCAGCACTATGGGAGGCGGAGGCGGGTGGATCACGAGGTCAGGAGATCGAGACCATCCTGGCTAACACAGTGAAACCCCGGCTCTACCAAAAATACAGAAAAATTAGCCGGGCGTGGTCGCGGGCGCCTGTAGTCCCAGCTACTCGGGAGGCTGAGGCAGGAGAATGGCGTGAACCCGGGAGGCGGAGCTTGCAGTGAGCGGAGATCGCGCCACTTCACTCTAGCCTGGGCAGCAGAGCGAGACTCCGTCTCAAATAATAATAATAATAATAATAATAATAATAATAATGGGGGAAAAAATGAAAAATGGAATAAAAGCTCTCCGGCCGTAGATAACAGGCTGAAGTACTGTTCATAGGATAGATCTCTTCGCTATTTTCACCTGGAATTCTCCTCTGTGAACTCTGCAACAGACTTCTGTAGAGAGAACCCCAGATCGGTTGGGTGGTCCTTCTGATGGGTCTGGATAAACCCCTGTACAGCTGACTTAACCAAGAAGGGAAGTACATGTTGGAGCCACACGATGGCGAAAAACAATCACGAAATCCCACGCTGCCGGTAGTTAAAAGTCAGTTTTGGAAATACACAGAAATCCCTTAAAATTCCAGGAGTTCCCACTCTCTTCTCGAATATTTAAGGCCTCCTCCGCACAACATTGGAGTACACGTGTCTAGAAACAAGACAAATCTCCAAGGTCTCTGGGGTGCTTGCTGGGGTGGAGATAAGGGAAAGACCTCTCCCTGAGTCTTAAAGCATCAGTCTGCACTTCTACTCAACAAGTCGGCAGCCAAAAGTGACGACGAGAGAGCGACTCCACGTAGCGGCGCCAGGCGCGAGCCCAAGACAACCAGAGGCGGTCACAAGGTATACGCCCTTCTCCTCTTTCCACGCTTCTCGAGAGGCTCCCGCGGCCAGAACCGGAAAACAAGGAGTAACAGTCGCGTTTCAAATCTCGCAGACCTGCTGGCCGATTTCGAGTCTTCTGAAAGAGGAAGGCGAGCAAAGCCAAAATTCTCCCAGAGCGCGAACCCAAACACAGATCGCCGCTGGGGTCCAAGCGCCCTTCAACTCCGCCCGCTAGTGCCCAAGATTACCGGGAAGGAATTCAACGAATCAGTGGTGAGGTGCCGCCGCCATGCCTACTACGGGCGGAAATTTGAGAGAAAGCTTCGCACCGGTAGGAAAACTGAGGAGCAACCGAGCACGATTGGAAAGGTTGACGATAGTGGTTAAGTGGCTCGGCCTTGCCCTCAGTTAAAATGGCAATTTTAGTTGCTTCACTGATACGGAATCGGCGAGGCGCCAAGGAGGCTTCCTGCGTGGGGCCGCAGAGCGAGTCGGGAAACGATTTTAAACTGAAGAGGCGGCGGAGGGCCGAATTCCCTTTTCTCAACGGCTTGATTTCAGAGCTGGGCTGGTCTCTGACAGGCTCAGCTGGAGAGGGACGGGTTGGGACGCACTGTCCTTTTGCCCTTCCCCCTCCGCGAGCAGAAGCTGACTCCGCAGGAGCGAGGGTCGCAGAGCTGGGTGAGCGGAAATGTCCCTCCCAGAGTGAAGTCGCAGGGCCCGCCCCGCGTCTGAGGGAGCGGAGGTCTTCCTGGGTGCGTTTGTGTCTCTTGTGAACCCACTTGTGGAGCGAGAGGGAATTTGGGAGGGCCAGGGGTTAGTCTGGCCTCTGTCTTAGCTGTCATTTTGGCGGTTTTTTTTTTTTTTCTTCAGGGGATTTCAGTCTCCACATAGTTTTGGAGCCGGACTTTTGAAGAATGATTCGTGAATCCGGAATGGGTGACAGCGTCATCACGGCATTTTATTGGTAAAGATGCTTTGTATTGGTCCCGGACCTGCTTTAACTTTGTATTTGCCCTGTTGTGTGGTCATTATCTTACAATACTTGCGTGTTGAGGTGTGTTTAAACACTACGTGCTTAACACTGGCTAAGTATTGGCATTGGGGCGGTTGGATTTAGGTATTGGTGGCAATGTAGAAAAGTGATCAAGTCAGAGCCCCTTCACGGACTAATCACAAGAGAAACAACAAAGCTTTACTTGTGTGCTGTGAACCACAACTGCAAGTGGAATTGTCAAGAGAACTAGCCCTGCCAAGCTCAGGAAAACTTCTGAGGAGATGGCACATGGAAAATGGATAAGATTTACTGAGACAAACGGGAGTAGAGAAGTGTTTTTAATTGGCGATAAGGTGAATAAAAAGGCAGGGAGAACAGTAGAGTGATCATCTGTCTAGAGTAGGGGGTGCATGTTTGGGTATAGGGCTGTCATTTAACCTCTTAAAGAATTGTCTACTGGAACTTTCTTCACTCCCATCCCCCCACCCCCCAATGTTGTATACAAAACCTTAGAGGAAGTGTATGCAGAATGTTGGATTTTGGAAAGGCTAATGTCGATGGATCTTGGGGAAGAACTGAAGTAGTAGAAAATGAACCTGGATAGGATCAGATAATAAGATCAAATACAGTAGTGCCTTGAAAGCCAGACAGGAATTCTGATTTGACTTCATATAGATGTGTGGGAACTGTTATGGGATCTCAAGCAAGGTAATGATAAAAGTGGTGACAATGAAAGACTGATGATGGATTAGGGAAAGGGGCTAAGATTGGGAACAAGATAAGTAGCTATAATTGAGAATGAAAGTGAAGCCCACATCTAAGAGGACAAGTGTATATCTTTTTAAGAAATATGTCAGAGGCCAGGTGTGGTGGCTTATGCCTGTAATCCAGCACTTTGGGAGGCCAAGGCAGGCGGATCACCTGAGGTCAGGAGTTCAAGACCAGCCTGGCCAACATGGAGAAACCCCATCTCTACCAAAAAATACAAAAATTAGCCAGGCGTGTTGGTGCATACCTGTAGTCCCAGCTACTGGGGAGGCTGAGGCAGGAGAATCACTTGAACCTGGGAGGTGGAGGTTGCAGTGAGCCAAGATTGCACCACTGCACTCCAGCCTGGGAGACAGAGTGAGACTCTGTCTTCAAAAAAGAAATATGTGAGAATTTGATGATAAAGTTAACAAAGTTAACTTTTTAGATGTAAAGGTGATGTTGAAGGAAGAGTAAAAGATGATGAAAGTTTTTTTAGTGGGGAAAGAAAATGAAAAGGAAGAATGGAATTATTACTGAGCAAAACAGAGTACAGTAGTTGGCAAAGAAAGATTGAATAAGATGTGAAGCGATGATTAGTTTTGAACTTAATGAGTTTGACGGAGGTTGGAAATGCAGGACTGGGTTGCAGCTGTAATGGTCTGAAGACAGAGATTTAGGAGTCATATAGAATGATTATTTTCCTATGTAGAATGAATGATTTTCAGAATCTGGGGCCACCTACTATTGGAACATGAGGAAAAAAAAAGAATCAGTAAATAAATTGGAACTATAAAAAGTAAGGAGGAGAAAAGCCCCTAAAAAATGGAATGTCAGAGGAAACAAGGTCCCAGAAAGTTTAGAGGAGTAAGGATGAACAAACTTGATGAACAAAGTATTTGGCCATGGTTTTGGCAAAAACAATGATCTTCGAAAGTACAGTTTCTTTGTAGTGATAGATGGAAGAAAGAGATTGCTGAAGATTTCTAGTAAAATATTTATTAGTAACTGGAGGCAATAGGTGTAGACGACGTTTCCAGGAGATTGGTCTCAGAAGGAATGAGACGAATTGGATTTAAACACAAATTTTTAATGTTAGAAATACTAGAATATGCTTGGCAGTGAAAGAAAAGGATCCTGTATAGGAGTGATTAAAGATGATAGAGATGTGAAGTACAGCCTGGTTGTGGTGGTGCACGCTTGTAGTCCTAGCTACTCGAGAGGCTGAGGTGGGAGGATCGCCTGAGCCCAGCAGGTGGAGGCTGCAGTGATATCAGGCCACTGCACTCCAGCCTGGACAACAGAGTGAGACCCTGTCTCAAAAAAAAAAAAAAAAAAAAAAAAGGCTGAAGTACACAAAGGAGATGGTGTCCAGGGGAGATACAAGTAAGAGGACCTCTTTGCTTCCGATTGGAAGGAAGAGTATTGGGACAGTAATATATTGAGCCAAGGTATATTAATAACCTCTGGATTATTGTGCTGGGCAAAAATTACACATTCTTGAGTGTGAGATGAGAAGGTAAAATAAGTATAAATCATTTGCTAATCTTTAATTCGTGGATTGGGCTATTTTACGTTAACATTAAATACACAATTGACATGTTTTTTCAAAACCATCCCTCTTAGTGCTGATAGTCTTTTTCTCACCTACATTTATTGCTAGACTTTTTAAAGTCACCTAGACTTTAAAATCTTTTTGGGATTCATAGCATTTCTCTTTTAAGGAGTCAAATTCAGCAGGGCTTATGTTGCCTCATAATTGATCCCTGTTTAAAAGGCAACGTGAAAGAAGTAGCTAAGTGCACTCATTGCAGAGTTAGACTGTCTGGATTCAAATCCTGACTCTTCCACTCTAACTTGTTGACTTTGGCAAGTTACTTAACTTGTCTGATTTCCTATTTGTTAGCTGGGAGCATGATCTACTTCATGGGGTTGTTTGAAGATTAAATGAGAAAATATTTATAAAGGGCTTAGAAGAGTACCTGAAACATGATGAATGCTCAATAAGTGTTAGCAATTATTGTACCAAGTAACAAATTTGAAGGAAACATTCTGTCTAAGTAGGATTGATTAAAATTCCCTTTGAAATAGGTAATTCAATATGCATTTAAAGCTAGGATGCTTTAGAATAGCTGCTATTTAAATTGTGTGGTGTCTGGTGTAGAGTCATGTATTCACTACAGTCAAGATACAGTTCCATCACCACAAGGAATTCTTGTGTTGCCTTTTTATAGTCACATTTATGTCCCTCCCACCCTCTTCCCTTTCCCTGATCTCTGTCAGCCACTCATCTGTTTTCATTCCTTTAACTTTGTCATTTTAAAAATGTTAAATGTATGAAATTTTATATGTGACCTTTTTGGATTGGCTTTAACATCCAAGTTGTTGCATGTATCAATAATTTGTTTCTTTTCATTGCTGAGTACTATTACATGGTGTGGATGTACCACAGTTTATTTATCATTCACCCACTGAGTTGTTTTCAATTTTTGGCTATTATGAATAAAGCTACTATGAACATTTCTAAAAATAAATAAATAAATTGTGTGGTATATGAACTTGCTCTGGACATTATTTGAGCTTTAAGGACAAATAATGCTACATGTTTAGTTTATGTATTTATTTATTTATTAATTAGAGAGGGTCTCACTCTTGCTCAGACTAAAGTGCAGTGGTGTGATCATAGCTCACTGCAGCCTCAAACTCCTGGGCTCAAGCACTCCTCCTGCCTCAGCCTCTGGAGTGGCTACGACTACCATCATGCCAGGCTAATTCCTTTTTTTTTTTTGAAAGATGGGGTCTTGCTGTGTTGTCCATGCTAGGACTACATGTTTAATTTGTGGAGTTTTGTGCAAGATATAAATGGTGTCCTAGTCTAACATATTGAAATAGAAGTTACAGGTTAAATCTGAAGTCTGAAATGCCCCATAACGTGAATCTTTTTGAGCACTGACATGATGCTGGAAGGAAATGTTCACTGGAGCATTTTGGATTTCAGATTTTTGGATTAAGGATGCTTGACCAGTGTGATACAAATATTCCCAAATTTGAGAAAATCTGAAATTCAAAAACACTTTTGATCCCAAGCATTTTGGGTAAGGGATGCTCAACCTGTGCTATTTTAAATATAATACTATTTAAATATGGGCCGAGTGCGGTGGCTCACACCTGTAATCCCAACACTTTGGGAGGCTGGTGGATCACCTGAGGTCAGGAGTTCAAGACCAGCCTGGCCAACATGGTGAAACACTGTCTCTACTAAAAATACAAAAAAAAAAACAAACAAAAAATTAGCCAGGCATGGTAGCGGGCAGCTGTAATCTCAGCTACTCAGGAGACTGAGTCAAGAGAATTGCTGGAGCCCAGGAGGCAGAGGTTGCAGTGAGCCGAGATCGCGCCATTGCACTCCAGCCCAGGCCAACAACAGTGAGACTCCATCTCAAAAAATAAAATAAAATAAAATAAGTAAATATAGTAATATAACTTTTTATTCGTAAAAAACTTTTCAAAAGGGTAATTGTGTAGTAGTTGAGACTAATAACTTTTGTTGTTGTTGTTGAGATGGAGTCTTGCTCTGTCTCACCCAGGCTGGAGTGCAGTGGTGTGCTCTTGGCTCACTGAAGCCTCCACCTCCCGGGTTCAAGCGATTCTCCTCTCAGCCTCCTGAGTAGCTGGGACTACAGGTGTGTGCCACCATACCCAGCTAATTTTTGTTTTTCTAGTAGAGACGGAGTTTCACCATGTTGGTCAGGCTGGTCTCAAACTTCTGACTGCAGGTGATCCACTTTTCCTCGGCCTCCCAAAGTGCTGGGATTACAGGCGTGAGCCACTACGCCCAGCTGAGACTAATCATAACTTTGAAATGATAATTCCTTTTAATGAAAATTGTATTTTAATTTTGTGTTTCTTTTTTTCTTGAGAGGGTCTTGCTGTGTCACCCAGGCTGGAATTCGGTGGCATGATCACATCTCACTGCAGCCTTGACCTCCTGGGCTCATGCAGTCCTACTTCAGCCTCCTGAGTAGCTGGGACCACAGGTGTGCACTACCACACCTGGCTAGTTATTTTTTATTTTTTGTAGAGATGGAGTCTCACAGCGTTGCCCAGGCTGGTCTCAGACATCTGAGCTCAAGTGATCCACCTGCTTCAGCCTCCCAAAGTGTTGGGATTACAGTCATGAGCTACCATGCCCGGCCCTAATTTGGAAGTTCTATGAAATACTTCCGTTTAATTGAACCAATACTTGTTTAACAATTAAAGGACACTCAGCCTTGTATTTGGGTAATTATACAAGAGAAATATAAAGCATGGTTTCAGTGACAGTAGCTTAGTTTTACTGAGGGTACAAGAAATACACACTGAAAAATGGTACAAGGAAGTATATGAACAGGGGCTAAAATGAGTGGTACAGACTGGGTGATTGAGGAAAGCTATGTGTGCTGGTATATCTCCAAGGATTTTGTAGAACATTCTTGAGGGATTTTTTCAGACTTATTTAGAGATGAGAGCTCATTCAGCACACACACACACATGCATACTCTGCTTCCAGGAATGAGCCACTGATAACAGATAACAGATAAAAATGTATGCCATAGGTATTTCAGGACCAAAAGGTTAAAAACACCCTAGTTTGAAAGGAGATCAAATTTCTAGCATGGTCTTAAAGGAGGTGAGATGGGAAAAGGACGCTTAAGATAGGAAATGCAGTTGAGAAGCAAACACATGAAGATAAGAATATGTTTATGTCCCAGGTTGGAGAGGAGAATTAGGAAAATAAAGAGAAGCTGAATTAGAAAGACCTTAAACCCAGCAGAAGAGTTTAGGATTTGTCTTGTTACTGTAAAGGTTTTTGCATAGATAAAATAAAGTGCTATTTTTGGAAGAATGGATTACTCTGGATACGGAGAACTCTTAGTTGTGGCTAAGGAATTAGCTTTGTGAAGGGATGACAGATTTTTTTTTTAACATTTTTAAAAAATTTATTTTATTTTTTAAATTATACTTTAAGTTCTAGGGTACATGTGCAAAATGTGCAGGTTTGTTACATAGGTATACATGTGCCATGTTGGTTTGCTGCAGCCATCAACTCATCATTTACATTAGGTATTTCTCCTAATGCTATCCCTCCCCCAGCCACTGACCCCTCGACAGGCCCCGGTATGTGATATTCCCCGCCCTGTGTCCAATTGTTCTCATTGATCAATTCCCACCTATGAGTGAGAACATGCGGCGTTTGGTGTTCTGTCCTTGTGATAGTTTGCTGAGAATGATGGTTTCCAGCTTCATCCATGTCCCTGCAAAGGATATGAACTTATTCTTTTTTATGGCTGCATGGCATTCCATGGTATATATGTGCCACATTTTCTTAATCCAGTCTATCATTGTGGACATTTGGGTTGGTTCCAAGTCTTTGCTATTGTGAATAGTGCCGCAATAAACATATGTGTGCATGTGTCTTTATAATAGCATGATTTATAATCCTTTGGGTATATACCCAGTAACGGGATCGCTGGGTCAAATGGTATTTCTAGTTCTAGATCCTTGAGGAATTGCCACACTGTCTTCCACAATGGTTGAACTAGTTTACACTCCCACCAACAGTGTAAAAGCATTCCTATTTCTCCACATCCTCTCCAGCATCTGTTGTTTCCTGACTTTTTAATGATCGCCATTCTAACTGGTGTGAGATGGTATCTCATTGTGGTTTTGATTTGCATTTCTCTGATGACCAGTGATGAAGAGCATTTTTTCATGTGTTTGTTGGCTTCATAAATGTCTTCTTTTGAAAAGTGTCTGTTCATATCCTTTGCCCACTTTTTGATGGGGTTGTTTGTTTTTTTCTTGTAAATTTGTTTAAGTCCTTTTTAGATTCTGGATATTATCCCTTTGTCTGATGGGTAGATTGCAAAAATTTTCTCCCATTCTGTAGATTGCCTGTTCACTCTGATGGTAGTTTCTTTTGCTGTGCAGACAGTATTTATTTATTTATTTTTTTGCTTTCTTTTTTTTCTGAGACGGAGTCTCGCTCTGTCACCCAGGCTAGAGTGCAGGGGCACGATTTTGGCTCACTGCAACCTCTGCCTCCTTGGGTTCAGCGATTCTCCTGCCTCAGCCTCCCAAGTGGCTGAGAGTATAGGCGCACATCACCATGCCTGGCTAATTTTTGTATTTTTAGTAGAAATGGTGTTTCACCATATTGGCCAGGCTGGGCTCGAACTCCTGACCTTGTGATCCACCCGCCTCAGCATCCCAAAGTGCTGAGATTACAGGCGTGAGCCACTGCGCCCGGCCTGGTCTTCAGTTTAATTAGATCCCATTTGTCTATTTTGGCTTTTGTTGCCATTGCTTTTGGTGTTTTAGTCATGAAGTCCTTGCCCATGCCTGTGTCCTGATTGATAGTGCCTCGGTTTTCTTCTAGGGTTTTTATGGTTTTAGGTCTAACATTTACATCTTTAATCCATCTTGAATTAATTTTTGTATAAGGTGTAAGGAAGGGATCCAGTTTCAGCTTTCTACATAAGGCTAGCCAGTTTTCCCAGCACCATTTATTAAATAGGGAATCTTTGTCCCGTTTCTTGTTTTTGTCAGGTTTGTCAAAGATCAGATGGTTGTAGATGTGTGGTGTTATTTCTGAGGCCTCTGTTCTGTTCCATTGGTCTATATCTCTGTTTTGGTACCAGTACCATGCTGTTTTGGTTACTGTGGCCTTGTAGTATAGTTTAAAGCGAGGTGGCATGATGCCTCCAGCTTTGTTCTTTTTGCTTAGGATTGTCTTGGCAATGTGGGCTCTTTTTTGTTTCCGTATGAACTTTAAAGTAGTTTTTTCCAATTCTGTGAAGAAAGTCATTGGTAGCTTGATGGGGATGGCACTGAATCTATAAATTACCTTGGGCAGTATGGCCATTTTCACGATATTGATTCTTCCTATCCATGAGCATGGAATGTTCTTCCATTTGTTTGTGTCCTCTTTTATTTTGTTGAGCAGTGGTTTGTAGTTCTCCTTGAAGAGATCCTTCACATCCCTTGTAAGTTGGATTGCTAGGTATTTTATTCTCTTTGTAGCAATTGTGAGTGGGAGTTCACTCATGATTTTGCTCTCTGTCTGTTATTGGTGTATAGGAATGCTTGTGATTTTTGCACATTGATTTTGTATCCTGAGACTTTGCTGAAGTTGCTTAACAGCTTAAGGAGATTTTGGGCTGAGACAATGGGGTTTTCTAAATATACAGTCATGTCATCTGCAAACAGGGACAATTTGACTTCCTCTTTTCCTAATTGAATACCCTTTATTTCTTTCTCTTGCCTGATTGCCCTGGCCAGAACTTCCAACAGTATATTGAATAGGAGTGGTGAGAGAGGGCATCCCTGTCTTGTGCCAGTTTTCAAAGGGAATGCTTCCAGTTTTTGCCCATTCAGTATGATATTGGCGGTGGGTTTGTCATAAATAGCTTTTATTATTTTGAGATATGTTCCATCAATATCTAGTTTATGGAGAGTTTTTAGCATGAAGGCCTATTGAATTTTGTTGAAGGCCTTTTCTGCATCTATTGAGATAATCATGTGGTTTTTGTTGTTGTTTCTGTTTATGTGATGAATTACATTTATTGATTTGCGTATGTTGAACCAGCCTCGCATCCTAGGAACGAAGCTGACTTGGTCATGGTGGATAAGCTTTTTGATGTGCTGCTGGATTCAGTTTGCCAGTATTTTATTGAGGATTTTTGCATCCATGTTCATCAGGGATATTGGTCCAAAATTCTCTTTTTTTGTTGTGTCTCTGCCAGGCTTTGGCATCAGGATGATGCTGGCCTCATAAAATGAGTTAGGGAGGATTCTCTCTTTTTCTGTTGATTGGAATAGTTTCAGAAGGAATGGTACCAGCTCCTCTTTGTACATCTGGTAGAATTTGGCTGTGAATCCATCTGGTCGTAGCCTTTTTTTGGTTGGTAGGCTATTAATTATTGCCTCAGTTTCAGAGCCTGTTATTGTTCTATTCAGTGATTCGACTTCTTCCTGGTTTAGTCTTGGGAGGGTGTATGTGTCCAGGAATTTATCCATTTCTTCTAGATTTTCTAGTTTATTTGCATAGAGGTGTTTATAGTATTCTCTGATGGTAGTTTGTATTTCTGTGGGATCACTGGTGATATTCCCTTTAGCATTTTTTATTGCATCTATGTGCTTCTTCTCTCTTTTCTTCTTTATTAGTCTTGCTAACGGTCTATCAACTTTATTGATCTTTTCAAAAAACCAGCTCCTGGATTCATTGATTTTTTTGAAGAGTTTTTTTGTGTTTCTATCTCCTTCAGTTTTGCTCTGATCTTTGTTATTTCTTGCCTTCTGCTAGCTTTTGAATTTGTTTGCTCTTGCTTCTCTAGTTCTTTTAATTGTGATGTTAGGGTGTCAGTTGTATATCTTTCCTGCTTTCTCTTGTGGGCATTTAGTGCTATAAATTTTCCTCTACACACTGCTTTAAATGTGTCCCAGAGATTCTGGTACATTGTGTCTTTGTTCTCATTGGTTTCAAAGAACGTCTTTATTTCTGCCTTCATTTTATTATTTAACCAGTAGTCATTCAGGAGCAGGTTGTTCAGTTTCCATGTAGTTGGGCGGTTTTGAATGAGTTTCTTAATCCTGAGTTCTAATTTGATTGTACTGTGGTCTGAGAGACAGTTTGTTGTGATATCTGTTCTTTTACATTTGCTGAAGAGTGCTTTGCTTCCAATTATGTGGTCAATTTTAGAATAAGTGGGATGTGGTGGTGAGAAGAATGTATATTCTGTTGATTTGGGGTGGAGAGTTATGTAGATGTCTATTAGGTCCACTTGGTGCAGAGCTGAGTTTAAGTCCTGGATATCCTTGTTAACCTTCTGTCTCGTTGATCTGTCTAATATTGACAGTGGGGTGTGAAAGTCTCCCATTATTATTGTGTGGGAGTCTAAGTCTCTTTCTAGGTCTCTAAGGACCTGCTTTATGAATCTGGGTGCTCCTGTATTGGGTGCATATATATACATATATATGGTAGTTAGCTCTTCTTGTTGAATTGATCTCTTTACCGTTATGTAGTGGCCTTCCTTATCTCTTTTGATCTTTGTTGGTTTAAAGTCTGTTTTATCAGAGATTAGGATTGCAACCCCTGCTTTTTTTTGCTTTCCATTTGCTTGGTAGATCTTCCTCTATCTCCCTTATTTTGAGCGTATGTGTGTCTCTGCATGTGAGATGGGTCTCCTGAATACAGCACACTGATGGGTCTTGACTGTTTATCCAATTTGCCGGTCTGTGTCTTTTAATGGGGGTATTTAGTCCATTTACATTTAAGGTTAATATTGTTAGGTGTGACTCTGATCCTGACATTATGATGTTAGCTGGTTATTTTGCCCGTTAGTTGATGCAGTTTCTTCCTAGCATTGATGATCTTTACAATTTCGCGTGTTTTTGCAGTGGCTGGTACTGATTGTTCCTTTCCATGTTTAGTGCTTCCTTCAGGAGCTCTTGTAAGGCAGGCCTCGTGGTGACAAAATCTCTTAGCATTTGCTTGTCTGTAAAGGATTTTATTTCTCCTTCACTTATGAAGCTTAGTTTGGCTGGATATGAAATTCTGGGTTGAAAATTCTTTTCTTTAAGAATGTTGAATATTGGCCCCCACTGTCTTCTGGCTTGTAGAGTTTCTGCCGAGAGATCCGCTGTTAGCCTGATGGGCTTCCCTTTGTGGGTAACCCGACCTTTCTCTCTGGCTGCCCTTAACATTTTTTCCTTCATTTCAACCTTGGTGAATCTGACAATTACGTGTCTTGGGGTTGCTCTTCTTGAGGAGTATCTTTGTGGTGTTCTGTGTATTTCCTGAATTTGAATGTTGGCCTGCCTTGCTAGGTTGGGGAAGTTCTCCTGGATAATATCCTGCAGAGTGTTTTCCAACTTGGTTCCATTCTCCCCGTCACTTTCAGGTACACCAATCAAACGTACATTTGGTATTTTCACATAGTCCCATATTTCTTGGAGCCTTTGTTCGTTTCTTTTTACTCTTTTTTCTCTAACTTTGTCTTCTCGCTTTATTTCGTTAATTTGATCTTCAGTCACTGATATCCTTTCTTCCACTTGATTGAATTGGCTATTGAAGCTTGTGCATGCATCATGAAGTTCTTGTGCCATGGTTTTCAGCTCCATCAGGTCATTTAAGTTCTTCTCTACACTGTTTATTCTAGTTAGCCATTCATCTAACCTTTTTTCAAGATTTTTAGCTTCCTTGCGATGGGTTACAACATGCTCCTTTAGCTCTGAGAAGTTTGTTATTACCGACCTTCTGAAGCCTACTTCTGTCAACTCATCAAAGCCATTCTCCATCCAGCTTTGTTCCGTTGCTGGCGAGGGGCTGTGATCCTTTGGAGAAGAGGCCCTCTGGTTTTTAGAATTATCAGCTTTTCTGCTCTGGTTTCTCCCCATTTTTGTGGTTTTATCTACCTTTGGTGTTTGATGTTGGTGACCTACAGATGGGGTTTTGGTGTGGATGTCCTTTTTGTTGATGTTGATGCTATTCCTTTCTGTTTGTTAGTTTTCCTTCTGTCAGTCAGGTCCCTAGACTACAGGTCTGTTGGAGTTTGCTGGAGGTCCACTCCAGACTCTGTTTGCCTGGGTATCACCAGCAGAGGCTGCAGAACAGCAAACATTGCTGCCTGATCCTTCCTCTGGAAGCTTCGTCCCATAGTGGCACCTGCCTGTGTGAGGTGTCAGTCGGCCCCTACTGGGAGGTGTCTCCCAATTAGGCTACACGGGGGTCAGGGACCCACTTGAGGAGGCAGTCTGTCTGTTCTTAGTGCTCAAATGCCATGCTGGGAGAACCACTGCTCTCTTCAGAGCTGTCAGACAGGGATGTTTAAGTCTGCAGACGTTTCTGCTGCCTTTTGTTCAGCTATGCCCTGCCCACAGAGGTGGAGTCTATAGAGGCAGTAGGCCTTGCTGAGCTGTGGTGGGCTTCGCCCAGTTTGAGCTTCATGGCCACTTTGTTTACCTACTCAAGCCTCAGCAATGGCGGACGCCCCTCCCCACCACGAGGCTGCTGTCTCGCAGGTCAATCTCAGGCTGCTGGGCTAGCAGTGAGCAAGGCTCTATGGGTGTGGGACCCACCAAGCCAGGCACGGGAGAGAATCTCCTAGTCTGCCGGTTGCCAGGGCCATATGGAAAAGTGCAATATTTGGGTGGGAGTGTCCCATTTTCCCAGGTACAGTCTGTCATGGCTTCCCTTGGCTAGGAAAGGGAAATCCCTGGACCCCTTGCGCTTCCCAGGTGGGGCAATGCCCCACCCTGTTTTGGCTCACCCTCCATGGGCTGCACCCACTGTCCAGCCAGTCCCAGTGAGATGAACCAGTTACCTCAGTTGGAAATGCAGAAATCACCTGTCTTCTGCATCGATCATGCTGGGAGCTGCAGACCGGAGCTGTTCCTATTCAGCCATCTTGGAACTGGATTAGACAGATTCTTGACAGAAAAATTCAGTAGAATGTGCTTAATGACTATGTGTTAAAGAATGAAGGTGGGGGACTACATGAATTTAAGTTAACTTAGCAAATTGACAGGAATTTGAAAATGGATCAGTTAGCTTTTTGAAGGAGGAAAAGAAGTTGAATTTAGTTTTGAACATATACTGTTTTTGAGGTATCTGTAAGATATACATAAAAGTGGGCTATAGCCAATGAGGAATATAGGACTTGGTTTAAAAGTCAAAACTGGGGATAGGGAGGGGAAAAGACAGAAAGAGAAAGGATTCCTTTAGAGTGAGGAATCAGTGAAACTGTAAGCATGAATTAACTTTTTAGTGCTTAGAATTCTGGTTTTGTTTCTTCTTATGCAGACAGACCATGGATTCTTACAGTGCACCAGAGTCAACTCCTAGTGCATCCTCAAGACCTGAAGATTACTTTATAGGTGCCACTCCTCTGCAGAAACGATTAGAATCGGTCAGGAAGCAGAGTTCATTTATCCTGACTCCACCTCGAAGGAAAATTCCCCAGTGTTCGCAGTTGCAGGTATGCTTTTTGTGTCCCTTTGTGTTAGTCAATAATTGAGAATATCTGTGAACAAAACATTTCAATTTTTGTAACTATAGTATTCTTAGTATCTTCTTAACCCCTCAGCTAATAAAATAAATGAGAAAGAAACAATTTCATAACGATCAGTGCTACCTCTTTATGTCTTTTATTTGTTTTTTATATTTGTATTTATGTATTTATTTATTTATTTTGAGACAGAGTCTTGCTCTGTCACCTAGGCTGGAGTGCAGTGGCGCGATCTTGGCTCACTGCAAGCTCTGCCTCCTGGCGGCCATTCTCCTGCCTCAGCCTCCCCAGTAGCTGGGACTACAGGCGCCCGCTACCATGCCCAGCTAATCTTTTGTATTTTTTAGTAGAGACGGGGTTTCACCATGTTAGCCAGGATGGTCTCGATCTCCTGACCTTGTGATCTGCCCGCCTCAGCCTCCCCAAGTGTTGGGATTACAGGCATGAGTCACCGCGCCCGGCCTGTTTATTTATTTTTAAAGTAATTTTCAAACATGCAACCCATATATACGAGGAGTTTTTATGTATTTTAACCTCCTTTAATCTGAATCATGTCCACGGTATTTTTTTTTTAACTTTTATTTTAAGTTAAGGGGTATATGTGCAGGATGTGCAGGTTTGTTTTCTAGGTAAACGTGCGTCATGGGGGTTGGTTGTACAGATTATTTCATCACCCAGATGTTAAGCCTAATATCCATTAGTTATTTTTCCTGCTTCTCTCCTTCCTCCCACCCTCCACCCCCGACAGGCCTAAGCGTGTGTTGTTCCCCTCTATGTTTCCATGTGTTCTCATCATTTAGCTCCCACTTATAAGTGAGAACATGTGGTATTTGGTTTTCTGTTCCTTTGCTTGTTGGCTAAGGATAATGGCCTCCAGCTCCATCCATGTCCCTGCAAAGGATATGATCTCATTCATTTTTATGGCTGCATAATATTCCATGGTGTATATGTACCACATTTTCTTTATCCAGTCTGTCATTGATGGGCATTTAGGTTGATTCCATGTCTTTGCTATTGTGAATAGTGCTGCAGTGAGTGTATGCATGCATGTGTCTTTATGGTAGACTGATTTATATTCCTTTGGGTATATACCCAGTAAGGAGATTGGTGTGTCAAATAATATTTCTGTCTCTAGGTCTTTGAGGAATTGCCACACAGTCTTCCACAATGGTTGAACTAATTCACACTCCTACCAACAATGTATAAGCATTCCTTTTTCTCCACAACCTCACCAGCATCTGTTTTTTTTTGACTTTTTATTTTTCTCCACAACCTCACCAGCATCTGTTGTTTTTTTACTTTGTAATAATAGCCATTCTGACTGATGTGAGATAGCATCTCATTGTGGTTTTGATTTGCATTTCTCTAATGATCAGTGATGTTGAACTTTTCTTCATATGATTGTTGGCCTCATGTATGTCTTCTTTTGAGAAGTGTCTGCTTATGTCCTTTGCTGACTTTTTAATGGGGTTGTTTTTTTTTTGTTGTTGTTTTGTTTTTTTTTTTTAGAGAGTGTCTCACTCTGTCACCCAGCCAGGCTGGAGTGCAGTGGCATGATCTTGGCTAACTGCAACTTCTGCCTTCCAGATTCAAGCGATTCTTCTGCCTCAGCCTCCTGAGTAGCTGGGATTACAGGCATCCACCACCATGCCTGGCTAATTTTTTTTGTATTTTTAGTAGAGACAGTGGTTCACCCTGTTGTCCAGGCTGGTCTGGAACTCTTGACCTCAGGTGATCAACCCTCCCCACCCTCTCAAAGTGCTGGGAGTCTTGCTCTATCACCCAGGCTGGAGTGCAATGGTACGATCTTGGCTCACTGCAACCTCCGCCTCCTGGGTTCAAGCGATTCTCCTGCCTCAGCCTCCGGAGTAGCTGGCACTACAGGTGCCCGCCACCACGCCCAGCTAATTTTTTTGTATTGTTAGTAGAGACCGGGTTTCACCATGTTGGCCAGGCTGGTCTCGAACTCCTGACCTCAGGTGATCCACCCGCCTCGGCCTCCCAAAGTGTTGGGATTACAGGTGTGAGCCACCACGCCTGACCTGGCCCATTTTTTTTCTTGTAAATTTGTTTAAGTTCCTTATTGGTGCTGGATAGTAGACCTTTGTCAGATGCATGGTTTGCAAAAATTTTCTCCCATTCTGTAGGTTTTCTGTTTACTCTGTTGATAGTTTCTTTTGCTGTGCAGAAGCCCTTTAGTTTAATTAGATCCCATTTGTTAATTTTTGCTTTCATTGCAATTGCTTTTGGCGTCTTTGTCATGAAATCTTTGCCTGTACCTATGTCCTGAATGGTATTGCCTAGGTTGTCGTCCAGGGTTTTTATAGTTTTGTGTTTTACATTTAAGTCTTTAATCCACCTTGAGTTAATTTTTATATATAGTATATGGTATAAATGAAGTGTTTTTGTTTTTAATCGTACCTGTGGTTCTAATAGAGCATGGCAAAAAATATTCCCAAATATCTTTTTTTTTTTTTTTTTAAGACTAGTCTAGCACAGTAGTGACAAAGGGGGAAGGGGGAAAGAGTAGAACAGGGAGTTGGAAACAAGGAGTTTGATCTATAACTGATTGTGAACAATCAACTGAGATAACTCACTACCTTTGGACCAGCCCCCAAGTATCTTTTTATTTAATCTATTGAATTGGGCATGGTTTCATAAAGTAGATTTGCTGCCAATTTTTTTTTTTTTTAAGGCAGAGTCTCGCTCTGCCACCCAGGCTGGAGTGCAGTGGCGTGATCTCGGCTCACTGCAACCTCTGCCTTCCAGATTCAAGCAATTTTCCTGCCTCAGCCTCCTGAGTAGCTGGGATTACAGGTGCACACCACCATGCCTGGCTTATTTATTTTTGTATTTTTAGTAGAGATGGGGTTTTACCATGTTGGCTAGGCTGGTCTCAAACTCCTGACCTTGTGATCCGCCTGCCTCAGCCTCCCAAAGTGCTGGGATTACAGTCGTCAGCCACTGTGCCTGGCCCAAACAATTTTTTAAATTAAGACTAATCAAATTAGATACTTTAGGAATGGTTACTACTTTTGAAATCTATAGTTTGAGGTTTCTAAAAGTGAAACATAAATTTTATGTTAAATATTTATTGAACACTTATTCTAGATAGCATTGTTCTAGAGAGAACTAAATAGACAAAATCACTGCTGTCATCCAGCTTATACACCAGTAGGGAAGACAGATAATAAAAATACAAAAAAATTGCAGACAAGAATATAATGTTGGGTAGTAATAAGTGCTGTGAAGAAAAGTAAAGCCAGATGAGGTGATACAAAGTTGGAGTGGGTGCAGGTGCTACTTTAGATCGAGTGGCCTCTTGGATTACATTTGGGTAGAGAACTGATGAAGTGAAGGAACTTGCCATGTGAACACTTGGGAGAAGAGCATTCTAAAGAGAAGGTACAGCAAAGGTAAAGGTCTGTTCAAGGATCTGCAAAAAGTCCTGCAAACTCATTTGGTTGGAGTGCAAAAATCAGGTACTCAATAATATATTTGTATTAGATGTTTTAAATGCTATGATTAAATTCTTATTGTTTCCTAATTCTTAAACTTCTTTTGTCTTGATTTTTTTTTATAGGAAGATGTTGACCCTCAAAAGGTTGCATTCCTTCTGCATAAACAGTGGACTTTATATAGTTTAACTCCCTTATATAAATTCTCCTATAGTAATCTCAAAGAGTATTCTAGACTTCTCAATGCTTTTATTGTTGCTGAAAAGCAAAAAGGACTTGCTGTGGAAGTGGGAGAAGACTTCAACATCAAAGTGATTTTTTCTACTCTCCTAGGAATGAAAGGAACACAAAGGGACCCGGAAGCATTTCTTGTCCAGGTATAATACATAAACAGTTCTTGCTTCCTAGGGGAAAAGTATTATGTCTTGTTTGACTAAACTATAATAATTAGATATAATCAACTTAAAAAATTTTTTCCTATATATATAGGTAGTTTGTGTACAAAATCATGTTTATTTTTAAAAACTGAGGAAATACATAAAAATACCAAAAAAGTTAAAAATTATAGTTTAACATTTTGGTATATATGTTTGGTTATCTGTATCTATATAGTCTTGAAATTGGGATCATATTGCCCATACTTTTACATTATGATATTTTTACTAATATTGTAGACAATTACTTATATCATTAGGAATTCTGTATTTTTGTGGTTTTTACTGGGATTAAATTTCTATAAGTAGAATTTTAGTATAAAAATATATATCATTAAATTTTGTGATACTTCATGCCAGGTTACTCTCAGAAATGTAACATTTTAAGGCTGGGTGCAGTGGCTCATGCCTGTAATCCCAGCACTTTGGGAGGCTACGGCGGGCAGATCACCTGAGCCTAGGAGTTTGAGACCATCCTGGGCAACATGACAAGATGCCATTTCTACAAAAAATACAATAAATAAATAAATAAATCTGGTTTCTTAAGATAGTTCTGTTGCTCTTATATACTACTTACAGGAAGGAATATAAAATGTTGCGTTTATTTTATTTTATTTTATTTTTTTGAGACAGGGTCTCATTTTGTCACCCAGGCTGGAGTACAGTGGCACGATCTTGGTTGACTGCAACCTCTGTCTCCTGGGCTCAAGTGATCCTTCCACCTTAGCCTTCCAAGTAGCTGGGACTGCAGGTGCATGCCACCACACTCGGGTAAATTTTGTATTTTTTGTAGACAGGGTCTCGCCATGTTGCCCAGGTTGGTCTTGAACTCCTGGGCTCAAGTGATCCACCCACCTTGGCCTCCCAAAGTGCTGGGATTACAGGCATGAACCACCACACTCAGCCTCAGATTTATTTTGTTTATTATTCATGCCTGCTGCTTCTGTTTCTTTTGAGCTAACTAATCTTAATAATGGATAAGGAAATTAAGTTCTCAAGCAGTTGAAAAGGACTGACTTTTTGTTTGTATAGATTAGAGTCAGTAAACCATGGCCCATAGGCCAAATCTGATCTGCTGCTTGTTTTTGTAAATAAGGTTTTATTGGAACATAGCCCCTTTTATTTGCTTATATATTGTCTGTGGCTGCTTTTGTGCTGCAACAGCAGAGTTGAGAAGTTGCAACAGAGCCCATATTGCCAGCAAAGTCTGAAATGCTTACTAACTGGCCCTTTACAGAAAAAATTTGCTGACCCCTGATATAGGTCATGGTATTGGCAAAGATCTCAAGATGTTCTGGGATTAGGGTTAGCCTAAATAACAGTGAATTAAACAAGATAGTGGTATACTGTCTTTTTTTAAAAAAAAAGTGCATGGATGTAAGCTGTCCGAGGCTGGTATGATGCTTGATGAAATCATTAATAATCTAGGCTCTTTCTTCTCCTTAGTGCATGGTTTTCATCTTAGAAGTTACCTTATTGTCTAACATAAGATGTCTCCAGCAGCTCTAAACATTATATTCAAGTTCCAGGCAGGAAGTAGGAAGAAGATGGGAAGGACAAACAGAACCTGATGCAGAGTAAATCTTGCTGAGACCCAGTAACTTCTCTTTACATCTTAGTTGGAAGGGAGGCTAGAAAAGACTTTTTTTTCAGTGAGTACTCTGCCAACTTAACTAAAGAGACTTTTTTTTTTTTTTTTTGAGACAGCTTCTCTGTCACCAGGTTGGAGTGCAGTGGTACTGTCTTGGCTCACTGCAACCTCTACCTCCTGGGTTCAAGTAGTCCTCCCTCCTCAGCCCCCCAAGTAGCTAGGACTATAGGCATGTGCCACCGTGCCAGGCTAGTTTTATATTTTTATAGAGACAGGGTTTCACCGTGTTGCCCAGGCTGGTCTCAAACTCCTGAGCTCGTGATCCACCCGCATTGGCCTCCCAAAGTCCTGAGATTGCAGGCATGAGCCATCTCGCCCAGCCATAAAGGGACTGTTTTATTGTGGGAGGAAAAATGGATACTCAAGAGACAATTAGCAGTTTTTGTCAAGTGAAGCACTTGATGCACAGAGAAGTTTTGTGACTTGCATATTATCAGTCAAGCATCTACCCTTGTGAGGATTAGAAATGACCTCTTGAATTCCTGGTATAGTGTTCTAATAGTTTTCAAATTAAATTTCGTTTCTTGATAGGGTTACAAGACTCTTAGGTCATGAAAGTGTGATAAAGTTAATATATCTAAGCTTCCAGCTATTTGAGAGTCTTTCATAATTTCTTGAACAAGGAGAAATATGTTAAAAGAACTGTGTAAATGATCATTTCTGAAGGGGTATGATACAAAGCTATGATATTAACCTTGGTCTGCTTAATGCTTTAACAGAGTTCTTTGAGTATCCGGAAGGCATGTTTGTCATGTAACTTAAAATTTAGTTTGAGGGGTTAGGCAATCAGCTAAAAATATAATAAAATATCCTAAATGTTCTGAATGGATTGTCCAATGAGCCAAATCAAAAGAGATTAAAATGTTAGTAGGAATAAATTTACAGCCTCAGTATAAGTTGGGAGAGATTTACCTATAAAGCAAACATGAATATACAGGGCTAGTTTATATAAAGCTGTCAACTAAAAACCAGAAAACTGCAATCTGAGATTACATTAATAGGAGTATAATCTAGTTAAAGGTGGTGGTTAGTCTTGCAATGAGACCTTTTTCCCCCTTCCTTCCCCGAATCAGAGCTTTTTAAAGTAATTATATTCACTTATGAATGATTCCTATGCAGAATAATTTCAGGGAAGAGTGACTAGAATAGTGAGAGAATGTGAATGTATGTCATAGGTGAATGGTTGAAGAAACTGGAAATATTGAACTTAGTACTATGTATGATGGGGACCATCAAATATTTGAAGGACTTTTCCTGTAGAAGAGAGATCAGATGTGATTATATTCTGCATGCCCAAAAGGAAGAAAGCAGGACCAGTGGGTAGAAACTGTAGGGTCTAACATATAAAAGAACATTTTAAGTTGATAGTGCTGCCTTAGGAAATATTGAAGCCTTCCTCAATGAAAGAATTCAAACATGTTAGATTTTGTGACCTTTCACAGTTCTTTCTAAAGTTGAGGGGTTTTTTTTGTTTGTTTGTTTCAGGGTACTACACCTGGTTATGCCATATTGGTAGCTCTTATTTTGCAGTTTGGTTACACCAAGATTTTGCCATATATCATGTTTCCACTGTATAAGAATATTGGGGGCCGGGCCTGGTAGCTCACGCCTATAATCCTAGTACTTTGGGTGGCCGAGGTGGGCAGATCACCTGAGGTCAGAGGTTGGAGACCAGCCTGACCAATACAGTGAAACCCCATCCCTACTAAAAATACAAAAATTAGCTGGGCATGGTGGTGCATGCCTGTAATCCCAGCTACTTGGGAGGCTGAGGCCGGAGAATCACTTGAACCCAGGAGGTGGAGGTTGCAGTGAGCTGAGATCACGCCACCGCACTCCAGCCTGGGCGACAGAGTGAGACTCCATCTCAAAAAAAAAAAAGGCCAATTATTTTGATAAGCCCTGTTAATCATTAGGGAGACTATTCCCTCTATGTTTTTTTTTGCAAGTATTACATTGGCTCGTCTTATTTTTAATGAACTAATTTTGAGAAGATGGAATTTAGAAGTAAATGTACTTTTGAATTTAAGGAGCCTGTTTACTTTCTTTGTAGATTGTGTCAAAATCTCAATTGCCATCTGAGAATAGAGAAGGTAAAGTGCTGTGGACTGGCTGGTTCTGCTGTGTATTTGGAGACAGTCTTCTGGAGACTGTTTCAGAAGATTTCACCTGTCTGCCCTTATTCCTTGCAAATGGAGCAGAGTCTAACACAGCAATAATTGGAACTTGGTTTCAGAAAACCTTTGACTGTTATTTCAGTCCTTTAGCAATCAATGCATTTAATCTTTCCTGGATGGCTGCCATGTGGACTGCATGCAAAATGGACCATTATGTGGCTACTACTGAATTTCTTTGGTCTGTACCCTGTAGCCCTCAAAGTCTGGACATTTCTTTCGCAATACATCCAGAGGATGCAAAAGCTCTATGGGACAGTGTCCACAAAACACCTGGGGAGGTTACCCAGGAAGAAGTTGACCTATTCATGGATTGCCTTTATTCACATTTCCATAGACATTTCAAAATTCATTTATCAGCCACAAGATTAGTTCGTGTTTCAACATCTGTAGCTTCAGCACATACTGATGGAAAAATAAAGGTTAGTTTGAACAATCTAGTTAAGTAATTTTTCCTTGTTTTATGGTTTTAAAAATGTATGATGATTGTATTGTCCACTCAATTGAAGAAACACACTTGAATGTATTCAAGACAATAGAGAGCTTTTATTTTATGGTTTATGGTTTATTGCAGTCTTTAGCCTTCTAGATATAGCCTTATAATGGAAGGACACTATATGCTGTGTGCTTCAGCTTTTGGTAATAATGTGAATTATTATTTTGTAGTAACTTTGAAACTTTCAGAATTGTTCCTTGTGAAATTTTGAAATAATTATCAGAGTAATAGAGAATTTTGTGTTAGACAAAATTATAGCCAGAAACACAGAACTAAGATGTCATCTTTATGTTCCAGGCTTTTCTGTCCTCATTGGGAAAGAAATAATAGAGACATTGTTTTATTCTCTACAGAGTGATTTCTGATAAGAAGTATCAGAAATAGGCCAGGCATGGTGGCTCACGCCTGTAATCCCAGCACTTTGGGAGGCCGAGGCGGGCGGATCATGAGGTCAGGAGATTGAGACCATGCTGGCTAACACGGTGAAACCCCGTCTCCACTAAAAATACAAAAAATTAGCCAGGCGTGGTGGTGGGCATCTGTAGTCCCAGCTACTGGGGGAGGCTGAGGCAGGAGAATGGTGTGAACCCGAGAGGCGGAGCTTGTAGTGAGCCGAGATCGCGCCACTGCACTCCAGCCTGGGTGACAGAGCGAGACTCCGTCTCAAAAGAAAAAAAAAAAGTATCAGAAATAAACTGAGAATTGGCTCCTAAAATATATTAAAATACACAGCCACAATGTACATTCAGTAAATGTTTCCTGTGATCTTGTTACTGTGCTAAGAGTTTAACAGACTTAAATTCTAATCTTTAGAGCAACCCTGTAGTTAGGTGTTTTTTCTGTGTGTGCTTTTTGTTTTTTTTTTTGAGACAGAATCTCACCCCATCACCCAGGCTGGAGTGCAGTGGTGCTATCTCAGCTAACTACAACCTCTGCCTCCTAGGCTCAAGCGATTCTCGTGCCTCAGCCTCCTGAGTAGCTGGGACTACAAGCATGAGCCACTACACCTGGCTAATTTTTGTAATTTTACTTTTTTTACTATTTTTATCTTTATTTATTTATTTATTTTGAGACGGAGTCTTACTCTGTCACCCAGGCTGGGGTGCAGTGGTGCAATCTCAACTCACTGCAACTTCCGCCTCCTGGGTTTAAGTGATTCTCCTGCCTCAGTCTCCCGAGTAGCTGGGACTACAGGTGCCTGCCACCATGCCCAGCTATTTTTGTATTTTTAGTAGAGATGAGGTTTCACCATGTTGGCCAGGCTGGTCTTGAACTCCTGACCTCAAATGATCCACTTGCCTTGGCCTCCTAAAGTGTTGGGATTACAGGCATGAGCCACCATGCCTGGCTAGTTAGATTTTTTTTTTTTTCCTTCGAGATGGAGTCTTGTTTTGTTGCCTAGACTGGTGTGCAGTGGTGTGATCTTGGCTTACTGCAGCCTCCGCCTCCTGGGTTCAAGCAATTCTCCTGCCTCAGCCTCCCGAGTAGCTGGGATTACAGGCTCCACCACCATACTTGGCTAATTTTTGTATTTTTAGTAGAGATGGGGTTTCACCATGTTGGCCAGGCTGGTCTCAAACTCCTGACCTAGTGATCCACCCACCTCGGCCTCCCAAAGTGCTGGGATTATAGGCATGAGCCACCGTGCCTGGACAGTTAGGTGTTTTTATCCACATTTTATTTTAAAACAAGGAAACTGAGGCCAAGATAGGTTTAAATGACAAGCAAGATAGATTATCAAGAGGAAGAATCAAGATTTGAACTCTTACCTCGTAGATCCAATAAGTCAATACTCTATAAGCACTATATTCATGTTTTTCAAACTGGAGGTCACAGTGCAACAGTAGGTTGGGAAATAATTTTGATGAGACCAGCATTAAAAAACAAAAAGGGAAAGAAATAGAAAATGTAAAAATGAGGGGTTTTTTGTTTTAGAGAGAGTCTCATTCTTTCACCCAGGCTGGAATGCAGTAGTGTGATTATAGCTCACTATAACCTTTAACTCTTGGGCTCAAGTGATCCTCCTGCCTCAGCCTTGTGAGTAGCTGGGACTATAGGTGTATACCATTACACCTGGCTGTTTTTTACATTTTAAAATTTTTTTGTAGAGATGAGGTCTCCCTTTGTTGCCCAGGCTGGTCTTGAACTGCTGGGCTCAAGTGATCCTCCTGCCTCGGCCTCTCAAAGTGCTGGGATTATAGGGATAAATCACTGTGCCTGGCCAAAAATGAGTGTATTGCATGTGGTAAGCTTCATGAATTAAATCTAGAAGTTAAACCAATATAACATTGATTATTCAAATATCAATCTGCTTTGTTATAATTAATACTATTCTAATTTTAAATGTCTCCTTCTTTTTCTTTTTGCAGATTCTGTGTCATAAATACCTTATTGGAGTGTTAGCATATTTGACAGAACTGGCAATTTTTCAAATTGAGTGAAGCCTTATGTGGACTATAAGTTATAGATTATATACTCTTATTGATAACTTGCCTAATTGCTATGCTGAAAGAGACTGCAGGAGAAATAGGCATCTATCTCTGCATCTGTTTTCCCCACCATGCCTTTGGAGTTGCCAAGATGGAAGCCAAGAAGGATCTAGAAGAACAAAGAATATGGTAGTAGATGAGCCACAGCCAGGTGCCCATGTACTAATCATGATAACCTGACATGCCATTCTCAAAATGCTGAGTTGTTAATTTCTTGTCATCTTTAAATATATATATATAGGCTGGGCTTGGTGGCTCACACCTGTAATTCCAGCACTTTGGGAGGCTGAGGTGGGTGGATCATTTGAGGCCAGGAATTCAAGACCAGCCTGGCCAACATGGTGAAACCCCTTCTCTACTGAAAATACAATAATTAGCTGGGCGTGGTGGCACATGCCTATGATCCCAGCTACTGGGGAGGCTGAGGCAGGAGAATCGTTTTAACCCAGAAGACAGGCTGCAGTGAGCCAAGACTGCACCACTGCACTCCAGCCTGGGCAACAAAGTGAGACTCTGCCTCAAAAAATAAAAAAGAAATAAAATAAATAAATACAGCGTTTATTATGTTTAAACTCTTAGGATTCAAATGAGATGTATCTAATGGATATTTCTGATTTGGGTCTTTAAAACCTTTAATCTCTTTTAAGCATTTTAGACTTGCATTCAGAAAGAATTCTGTCTTCTAAAGACATTTTCCTAGCATTTCACTGCGGAGAACTGGCAATCAAAATCCCCTCAAAAGGGAACTAAAGATTAATATACACATTTTTTTAGTCATTAATATGCTTCTGTTTTAAATACAGTTCAACTCCTGTTGCAATGTTGAATTAAATGTTTATTTTAAAATGAAGCAATGTGTTTATCAATGTCTCGACATCTTTTAATTAATATCTCAGTAGTGGAAATTGGTAGGCTTTTTCTGTTAACACAGAGGGTACAGACTAACAATTATATAGAATCTTACAAATTGTAGAGTTGAAAGGCACCTGTGAGCCCCTTTTGAGGTCAGAAATTATCTTATTTAACCTTCATGTCCCAGTTTAGCATAATGCTTGGTAAATATCTATAGATTAAATCAATTTTAATCAACTCTTTCTTTTTACAGATGAAAACTGTGAGATCGAGGAACTTAAGAGTCTTGCCCATGATGTTTTATCCAAATCTCTTCTTTTTACTTACTGAGCATAAGATTTTCTTTTACTTTAGGAATAATTTTTTAAAAATCTTGATTGAAAGAAAATTATTAGGCTGTCATTCTCAAAAAAACAAAGATTGACTACTGGAATGGGATATTATTTCAGATGTACTAGGAGCAGTAGATGTAATGGGAAAAGCATGGGCTTTGGAGTCAGACATTCATCCATTCAACTAATCTTAAACTCCTACCATGTGCTTAGAATTGTACTGCATAATAGGAATATAGCAGTGAAGAAGTGAAAAAAGGTCTTTGTTCTGAGGAAATTATATTTTAGTGAAATAAGGCAAAAGGTTAATAATTTCAGATGGAGACAAATGCTATGAAGAAAATAAGGCAGTGCAATATGAAAAAGGGTGACTGGGGTGGGGCCTACCTTTCATACAGTAGTCAAAGAAGGTCTGTCTGAGGAAGTGACCTTTTGAACTGAGTCCTGAATGATGAGTTGGAACCAGCCATGTGAAGATCTGAGGAAGGGTGTGCTAGGCAGGAGAAACCTTGAGATAGGTAAGAGTTTGGCTGCTTTGAAGAACAAAGGAAGTTTTTTGGCTAGAGCATAGTGAATAAGGGTGTATGGCCTATTATGAGCTGAAACTGAATAGGTTGTGCAGCAAAGACTTCTTCCATGGCATAAAATGTCCCAATTTTTGGCTAGGGCACCTGGCTGCCCAGAATAAAGATGATATTTTCCAGCCTTCCTCGTAGGTAGGTATAGTCATATGAATATGTTCTGATTTGGGATACAAATTGAAGTGTCATATAGAGCTTCCAGAAATCTTACCTATAATAAAAAACAACTGGCATGTACCCCTTCCCCCTTTTCTTACTTTTCCCTTCTTCCAACTTTGCTGCCTGGAACATTGATATTATGACTAGTACTATAGCTATTCTCTTAGGTCTTGGGGTTGAGGAACAAGTCCTAGGGATGACAGAGCATGGCCTGGGAGGAGCTTGTGCCCTGAGGTTTTCTTGAAGGTGAACTCCAGTGCCAGCCTTGGGCAGTCTTCCTCTAGACTTACTTGTCAGAGAAGTAAACTTCTCTCTTGTTTTAGCTGTTGTCATTTTGGGTCTTTCTTGCTCATAGTCAAACTTAATCCTAACTTGATACAGAGGCAGGAGCTCTATCATCTAAGTTTTTATAGTGTGAAGAGATTGGATTTTATTCTAAATGCAATGGGAAGCCACTGAAAGATTTTAAGTAAGAGAGTAATATGATTCAATTAGTATTTTATAGGATTTTATAAGATATGAGGGAGAATGGGTGTAGGTAGACAAGAGTGGAAGAAGGGAAACAGTTAAAAGGTTATTGCAAATGATAAAACCCTAATGGAGAAGAAGTTAGCAATATTAAACAAAACTATGTGTGCAGTCACCCTTTGATTAGCAATTCCACTTCTAGGATTCTGTCCCAAAAATTCACTGGCAAAAAAATATGAAATGAAGCATGTACAAGGTTACTTATTACAATAGTATTTGTAATAGCAAGACTAAAAACAACTCAGATGCTCATCAGGCCTGGTATAGCTGCAAAATGAATTACTACTATGCAGCTATAAAAAGGATTGGGGAAGATATCTCTTTACTCCCATGGAGTGATCTCCAAGATGTACTGTTATGTGAAAGAGCAATGTATGTGGACAGAATGTAGAGTATTGTACTTTTTATGTAAGGAATGAGGGAGATATGAGTGTATTTCCTTATGCTTTCAAAAAACAATGAAAGGATAAACCACAAACTTATAACTGTATTTACTTATAGGGAGAAGGAAGGAACAGAGTAGAGGGGACAGGAATGAAAGTTAAGATTTACCTGAATGTTCCTTTTTAATAGTTTAGAACCATGTAAGTGTTTTGTATAATTATGAAAGAAAATTAGAACAAAAGGAAAAAACAAAGCAATCCTTAGCAATTAAAAAAAAATGAGCCTAACTGTATTAAGTTCATGGCATAATCACACAAGTTTTTTTATTCTTTTTTGAGACACGGTCTTGCTCTGTTGTCCAGGCTAGAGTGCAGTGGCACAATCACAGTTCACTGCAGCCTTGACCTCCCTGGCCCAAACAATCCTCCAAACTCAGCCTTCCAAGTAGCTGAGACCACAGGCATATTGCCACCAAGCCTGGCTAATTTTTTAATTTTTGTAGAGATGAGGTCTCCCTATGTTGTTCAAGCTGTTCTCCTGGGCTCAAGCGATCCTCCTGCATTGGCCTCCCAAAGTGCTGGTATTACAGGCATGAGCCACTGTTCCCAGCCCACACAAATTTTTTTCAGTATCTATTTTAATTTAATTTACTTTTATTTTATTTTGAGACAGGGTCTGGCTCTGTTGCCCAGGCTGGAGTGCAGTGGCATGATCTCAGCTCACTGTAGCCTCTGCCTCCTGGGCTCAAACCATCCTCCCTCCTCAGCCTCCCAAGTAGCTCGGACTACAGGTGCATGCAATAATGCCCAGCTAATTTTTTGTATTTTTGGTAGAGATGGGGTTTCAGTATATTGCCCAGGCTGGTCTTTAACCCTTCCCACCTGAGCCGAGGCTCAAACAATCCTCCTGCCTTGGCCTCCCCAAATGCTAGGATTATGGACGTGAGCCACCACACTTGGCCTTTATATTTTTATTTTAGAGATGGGATCTTGCTGTGTTGCTTAGGCTGGGCTCAAACTCTTGGGCTAAAGTGGTCTTCTTGCCCCAGCTTCCTGAGTAGCTGGACTACAGGTGTGTAACACCATGTCTGGCCTTTTTTCTTTTTTTTGATAATTTTTTTTTTTTTAGAGTTGGGGTCTTGCTGTGTTGCCCAGGCTAGTCTTGAACTCCTGGGCTCAAGTGATCCTCCCCTCTTGGCCTCCCAAAGTGCTGGGATTGCAGGCAGGAGCCACTGCACCCAGCCTGGAGTATCATTAAATTTGTGTATCTTTAAATTTTTAGTATCTTTAAATTTGTGGTATTTTGGTTGTATATTCTAGCAGGCTCCATCCTAGAAAAAGAAGAGCAGCAAATAAATTTTAAATCACATTCAGTTGTCTTAATAATGTAGCTATTATTATTTCGGCCTATTTATAATATGGTAACGTGTGTAAGAATTCAGATTTTCAGTGTAGGCTGGGCATGGTGGCTCATGCCTGTAATTCCAGCACTTTGGGAGGCCGAGGTGGGTGGATCATCTGAGGTTGGAAGTTCGAGACCAGCCTGGGCAACATGGTGAAACCCTGTCTCTATAAAAATACAAAAAATTAGCCAGGCATGGTGGCACATGCCTGTAGTGCCATCTACTCAGGAGGCTGGGGTGGGAGGATCACTTGAGCCTGGGAGGTGGAGATTGCAGTGAACCAAGATTGTGCCACTGCATTCCAGCCTGGGTGACATTAAAAAAAAAAAGAGAGATCATCAGTGTAAAAGATACACAATTATAAAATCAAGTAAGTAAAAACTCTAATATTACATTTAATTGGGAATATCAGAATTAACTCTTATTTTTAAAGTGCAAAAGTTTTAAATTTTCATTAAGTCTGACCAATTTTTGTTCTTTTATTGCTTGTACTTTTGGTGTTGAATCTAATAAATCATTGATTAACCTCAGGTCCTAAAGGTTTACTTTTGTTTTCTTCTCAGGATTTTCTAATTAGAAAATTAGGTCTGTCATTTTGAGTTAAATTTTGTGTATGGTGTGAGGTAGGGGTCCAAATTCATCCTTTTGCACATGGATATTCATTTGCTTCAGCACCACTTGTTGAACAGACTTTTTTTCCTATTGAAGTGTCTTGTCACTTTTTTTCAAAAATCAGTATTTCATGGATGTTTGGGTTTATTTCTGGACTTTCTATTTCATTGATCTACTTGTCACTTCTTATGCCAGTACGACACTGTCTCAATTACTATAGCTTTGTAGTGAGTTTTGAAATCAGGAAGTGTGAGACCTTCAACTTTGTTTTTTTCCCAAGGTTATTTGGCTGCGTCTTTTGTATTTCCATAAGAATTTTAGGATCAGCTTGTCAATTGTTGCCAAAAAAAAAAAAAACTTCCTGGGATTTTGATAATGATTGTGTTGAATTCATAGGGCAGTTTGGGGAGTGTTGCCATAATGATAGTAAATCTTCTAATCTATGAGCAGGATGTTTTTCCATTTATTTAATCTTTAAATATTTTATTATTTTAGATCTATTGAGAATGGAATTGTTTTCTTAATTTCATTTTCAAATTGTTTGTTGCTAGCATATAGAAATACAAGTGATTTTGTATATTGCTCTTGTATCCTGTGACTTTGCTGAGCTTATTTTAGTAGTTTTTTTTCACTGAATTCTTTAGGATTTTCTACATAAAAAATTCATATCATCTGTGAATAAAGACAGTTTTATTTCTTAATTTTTAATCTTTTGTTTCTTTTTCTTGCTGAATTGCCTTGGCTAGAATCTCCAGTACAATGGTGAATAGAACTGGTAAGAATATACATTTTCGTCTTGTTTTTAGTAGGAAAGCATCATGTCTTTTACAATTAAATATGATGTTGGCTGTAGGTTTTTTCATAGATGTCATTTATCAAGTTAAGAATGATCCTTTCTATTCCTAGTTTGTTGAGGGGTTTTATTATGAATAGGTGTTGCACTTTGTCAAAATTTTTTTTCGGCATCTACTGAGGTTATTCATGATTTGCTAAAAAACACATAGCTTTGTTTACTGGAGAGGCCCGGAAGCAGTAAAAAGCCATTAACAATGAACATTACTAACACACAGATTATGTTCTATAAGTATTTCCCACTAAAAGGAGCTAAAACTTCTTGAGGAAGGGCTGATTTCAGGTTTGGGACAAGAAATGTATAAAAATAACCTTTCATATATCAGAAAAGCAAGATAGCTATCAACAGTTGTGTCAAAAGGCTAGGAGCCAAAATGAAGGGGGACCCTACTTGCCAAAGGTGAGACAATTCACATATCAAAAGGAAAAAGTGTAATTGATTGAATATATAAAAATTTATTTATATCAATATTAAAGTAAAAATAATTTATGAGCTCATACTAATACTAAACAAAATTTTAGAAATTGGTGTTACTTTTGGAGGTTGCTGCAGAATCAAGTTCTGAAAATTGGTAAAGGGGAGAAGCAAACATTTTCTACTTTCTAGTATAAATTATATTTCAAGATAATCAAATAGCTGATCAAGGTAAGTTTTTTAGATATATTTCAGCTGATAAATGCAAAGGAATGAGAAGGCATCATTTATAACTCTCAGTGAAATAATAGATGTAAGCATCAATCATTAGTATCTGCTTAAACCCTTAGGTGAAAGATTGATGGAGTATTTTATAATGGAGCTAGCTGATAACACCCGAGGCCACTACCCACTGTTAGTATCTCTAAACACGGGCTGTCTAGGTATCACGTATGTTATGACTGGGTGCTATAGAGCACCTATGAAGTATTTCTAACAGCCTCTTTTTTTTTTTTTTTTTTTTTGAGACGGAGTCTTCCTCTGTCGCCCAGGCTGGAGTGCAGTGGCGTGATCTTGGCTCACTGCGAGCTCTACCTCCTGGATTCACGCCATTCTCCTGCCTCAGCCTCCTGAGTAGCTGGGACTACAGGCGCCCGCCACTATGTCCGGCTAATTTTTTTTTTTTGTATTTTTAGTAGAGACGGGGTTTCACCGTGGTAGCCAGGATGGATAACAGCCTCTTAATGTGAGTATCTTCGTAGAGAAATACGTTTAACTATATCTGTTGCAGTGCAGATACACACACCAAATAGAATAGAAACTATAGAAGAATTTCTAAAATTAAAGGGCAAAGGAACGAAATAGAAATTTGACCAAGTGAGCAAAAGAAGGGACAGGAAAAAAAGAAAACTTCAAAGTATAATAGTAAACAAATTAAGTGGTAACTAGGGGAATTTTAACATTGATTGGGTATTAGATGATATTAAGGAATGTTTATTTTATCAAGTGTGATAATGTTGTTATAGTTAGACCTTATCTGTTAAATACTCAAATGTGGGTGAAATACAGTCATGCATCACTTAACGACAGGGGTATGTTCTGAGAAATATGTCTTTAGGTGATTTCATCTTTGTATAAACATCACGGAGTGTACTTACATAAATCTAGATGGTATAGCCTACCATATACCTAGGCTATATGGGATAGCCTGTTGCTCCTAGGCTACAAACTTGTACAATGTATTACTTACTGTACTGAATACTGTAGGCAACACAATGGTAAGGATTTGTGTATCTAAACATATCTAAACATAGAAAAGGCACTGTAAAAACACAGTATTATAATCTTATGAGACCACTGTCATATATGTGGTCTGTCAATGACCAAAACGTTGTTATGAATGAAGTGCATGACTTTAAGGTGATGGCTGGGATCTGCTTTAAAATACTTCAGTGGTGATGGAGAGGAGAAGTAAGAGTGGGAGGAGACAGATAAAACAAAATTTACAAAATCTGTTAATTTTTGAAGCTGGATGGTTGGTATATGGAGGTTCATGGGTTTCTTATATTCTTTTATGTATTTGCATTTCCCAGAGTGTGAAAGATGAGAGAAAAACACTCAAGACAAAAGCTAGATTCTTTTTAAGCCTAATTTTGGAAGTGACATACCACCCCCCTATACTTTTTAATAGAGTTTATTTTTTAGAGCAGTTTTAGGTTCACAACAAAATTCAGTGGATGTTTACAGAGATTTCCCATATACCCTTTTTCTCTACAAATGCATAGCCTCACCCATTATCAACATTCCCCACCAGAGTTCCTAGCATCGCTATTAGGCACACAGACCAGACCAACCCTGGTGCATTTTGGGAGAGGATTACACAAGGGTGTGAATACCAGAATGCAGGGATCACTGGGGGCCTCTTAGAGCCTGACCGTGTACACCCTCACAGAACTTACTAGAATTAACATCAGAAAAGAAAGCTGAGAGAAAAGTACTGGGATATGAGGCCCTTATGATGATACCTGGTTCTCCTGTCTTATTTCTGGACACAGGCTTTTTTTACTTTATTCTCCTGAAAGCAGACTGCTTTGATTTCCCTGAACAGCCCATGCTGTCTCACTGCCTTCCTTCTGTATATCTTACACATGCTGCTCTGCCTGGAATGTCCTTTCCACTCTTGTCCACTTAGCAAAACTATTACTCTCTTTCAAACCTTTCTCAGGCTTAACTTCTTTTCTAATCATTCTTACAGTCCACATCAGGGCAGACTATTGAATCGCTTCTGCTGGGCTATGTAAATAATTCAATTGTTGCATGTTTTATACTGAGATGCATTATGTAAAACATTACCTGCCTTATTACCTGAAGTTTGGTGGTTTTGTTTGTTTGTTTTAAAGAAAGGCAGACTGCCACATGCAGCAACTCACTTGGATGTGTCTGGAGTCTTGGAAGCTTGACTTCAAAGAACCCTACGTTCTCTTACAAATGAACCTTGAGAGCTTGTTTGGAGGTTCTAGTAGGGGAATGCAGCTACTTGTATACCCTTGACTGCAGACTGGCCTTCCTCTATTGGGGATGGCTGTCCTCTTCCACTGAGTGTGCACAGCTTCAAGAGGGAAGCACATGGAGTGGTGAGGGAGGAAGGGGACTCCTGCCTAGCTAGCCAGATCAGCCGAATCAACCCTGGCGATCAATAGAGTGACAGATGTCACAGTCAGATCGCCCTCATATCTGGCTGGCTTTTTTCGAGACAGGGTCTTGCTCTGTCAATGAGGCTGTAGTGCAGTGGTGTGATCATGCACTGGCCCAAGTAATCCTCCCACCTCAATCTCCCAAGTATCTGGGACCAGAGGCATGTGCCAACACACCCAGCTTTTATATATATATATATATAATTAAAATTTATATATAACATAATTTATATATAATATATAATTTTAATATATAATTATATAGTATATACATTTTATATTTTATATATATAAATTTTATATATATATGTAGTTTTTTGTAAAGACGGTCTCTCTTATTTGCCTAAATTGGTCTTGAATTCCTGGGTTAAAGCGATTCTCCCGCCTTGCCCTCTCAAAGTGCTGGGGGATTTTATTAATAGGTATGAGCCACCGCTCTAGGCTGATGATATGAGTCTTAAATTCCTTTTACTCTGTCAGTTTCTCCCTCTCCACTTTCTTTCCTTGCAATTCAATTTTTGGAGAAGCAAAGTTATTTGTCTTGTAAAGTTTCGCACTTTTGAACTCTGCTCATTGAATTGCTATGAAGTTAACACATTCCTCTGTTCCTTTGTATTTCCTGTAAACTGGAAGATTTAGAGCAGCAGTTCTCAAACATTTTTGCCTTGAGATCCCTTTAAAGTCTCAAAAACTTGAGGACACAAAGAGCTTCTGTTTACATGCATTACATCTAGTGATTTACCATATTAGAAATTAAAATTGAGAAATTTAAAAAAATTAGTGCATCAAAAATAAACCTATTTATGTGCTTTTTTTTTTTTTTTGAGACTGAGTCTCACTCTGTCACCCAGGTTGGAGTGCAGTGGCATGATTTCGTCTCACTGCAGCCTCCGTGTCCCAGGTTCAAGGGATTCTTCTGCCTCAGCTTCCCAAGGAGCTAAC